>NC_000024.10:16550505-17160053 GCF_000001405.40 Homo sapiens
TCCAAAGTAGCTAGAATTGCAGGCACCCACCACCATGCCTGGCTAATTTTTATATTTTAGTAGAGACAGAATTTCACCATATTGGCCAGGCTGGTCTTGAGCTCCTGGCCTCAGGTGATCTGCCCTTCCTCTTGGCCTCTCAAAGTGTGGGAATTACAGGCACCACACTTGGCTAAGACCCTATACACTTCTAATAGTCAACATTGAAATACATGTGAGATCTACACATATTTAAGAAAGGTTAATAAAGCAAGATAATTCCTTACCCAATGTTTGGTGAATCAGTGAGTGATGGTGGTCATAGTGGTGGTGGGTTAAATCCAGGAATAAATTTTTACCAAGTGAAAATTCTCAGGTGCTTCTTCCACCACCATGCAGTTCAAAAGGAAATTATCACACATATGACAGCTCACCAACCACTTTGAACCACAGAGATTATTGCTGTAGACTTTACAAATTTTTATTTCACAATAGTTTTTATCCATTTATTTATTTATTTTCCAAACTACTTATTCCAGTTCAGGTCTCAGATGGCTGGAAAATCTCCCAGCTGCTCAGTGCACTAAGAAGAAACCAGACATGGACAGAATGCCATTGCATCACACGGCACACTTACACATGCACACAAAACCACACTGGAATCATGTAGACATACTATTGAACCTAATGTGCACATATTTGGGATAAAAGAGGAAACCAGGACTCATGGAGGAAATTCACAAAGACATGGAGTGAATAGGCAAACCCCATAAAGATAGTATCCCTAACTGGAATTAACTTTTTTTAAACCCCTCTCATCGATGTTATAATGAAATGACATTGAAATTAAAGGTTATTTGAGGATCTGCTCTATAACCGACCAACATACTATGACTGTTGTTTAAAGTTGTCTGATGTGGTTTGGCTCTGTCCCCACCCAAATCTCATCTTGAACTGTAGCTTCCATAATTCCCAGGTGTTTTGGGAGGAACCCAGTGAGAGACAATTCAATCATGGGTTCAGACTCTCTCATGCTGTTTTCTTGGTAATGAATTAATCTCGAAAGAGCTGATGGTTTTATAAGGGATTTCCCCTTTCGCTTGGCTCTCATTCTTTCTTGTTGCTGCCATGTGACATGTCTCTTGACCCTCTGCAGTTATTGTGAGGCCTCCCCAGACATGTGGAACTGTGAGTTCATTAAGCCTCTTTCCTTTGTAAATTACCCAATCATGGTTATGTGTTTTTAGCTGTGTGAGAACAAGCAAATACCATGTCTATGCAGGCAAATTGCCCAGACATTTTTGGAAATAAGAACTCAGAACAAAAGTCTAAAACTCCCATCAATAGCACAATGTTTCCATAATCTACAGCATGGGATGTGATATGGAATACTCACTTGTATTTTCAAGCTCTTCAATACTACACTAAAAACTATAACTAAAAACTGCTAGAAAGCAATCATTGTATCCCAGGACAATAAATTTTATTCTCTTGCTCAGAATAAATGTTGGCCACAGGTCATCTTCTGTCCTGTGTCTTGCCTTCCACAAGCTAACTCCCAGGCTGAGTGATGAATGCACATCTTTGACATGGCCATGCTTCTAGGAGAGTAAAGGGTGAAAAGTAGGTGGAACTAGGGTAGTGGTTCCTAGAACATCTGCTTGGAAACTGAGTACAGTTTCCACTCATATTTCAGTGACCACAACAAGTTGTAAGTAAGGTTGTGTCTGGCTTAATGGGACAGAAGTATCATTAGTGCATGGGAAGAGCCAGTTCCTTTAGGGACATTCCTGGTGATGATGGGTCAAGTTAGGTTTACAGTAATACCCTCTGCTGTACATTGCACAGGATGATAGGAGAACCAGTTAGAGGAAGAGGGAAAGGAGACAAAGAATAAGAGCTAAGGTTTCTCGAGTGTTCCTCATGGACTAGTAATCATTTTTCTTTCTTTCTACACATTCCTCTTGCTTACTGACTCTTGAAGTCCACTCACAGTAGGTGCCAAAGAGTTTAAACCCACCCAGTTTTAAATCAGAGCAACTCTACTTTGCACTAGGAGACATGTGTAAATCAATGGAAATGGCAAATTGTAAACATGTAGATGTGTA
The DNA here is from genome assembly GCF_000001405.40 of Homo sapiens. Lineage (NCBI taxonomy): Eukaryota > Metazoa > Chordata > Mammalia > Primates > Hominidae > Homo > Homo sapiens. The sequence goes on from NC_000024.10 coordinate 16,552,593, forward strand.
AAACAATTTGCCAAAAATGACAATCTTTTTTTAATCCTCAGTATAATTCTTTGCCCATGTCTGTTGATGTGTATTTCCAAGAAAGCTGATAAAACATCTCTAGATATTTTCAGTTAAAGAACGTAGAACAAAGGTACCATTTTTACATCTAATGAAGTGATATAAAGTATAAAGATTTAAAATATACTGACATCAAAAAGGATGATATGTAATTCCATAACATCAGTTCATTAATATAATCTTTATAATCAAATAAAGAAACTGAGAATTCTGCTAACCTGCACAGAAGCCTCCCCACAAATTCTCAAAGACACCACAAAATAGAAAGATGATAAAGAAAATAAACAAAAACATAGACTCGGATTAGCATAACCAGGGTAGAGAAAATTCAAGTTAAACTTTTAATCTGAAAGCAAAATTAAGAAATAGGACAGGTAGAGAAGAAAGTATCTCAGATATGGTAAGATTTTAGTTAGTTTCCTATTATAGTCCCTTGTACAAAATTTAATTCCTTAAGAGATAATTTTGGCATAGGCTTACTATGTAAAAGTTTTTACCTGGAAAATAATTATTATTGATGATTATGTATCTATACATATATTTTTTTCTTTATCTTACCTGTTTGTGTTTTTATGTACTTCAACATCTATCTACATTTTCTAAGATGAGAATTAAATGTTCCTTTGAAAAATGCTGGTTATCTCAATTTAACCAACATGTATGCATATTTATATCTGCTTTGAATTTTATGTTTTTTTAAACTAGGTCACATTAATAATCTATTGTGTGTTGGTGTGTGTTTGTGCCTGAGTGCACATACATGTGCATGGGAATCAATGAGATGATGCATGTGAAAACATCTCATATTCCATAAACCCATAAACCACCAAGTGTATGCATATATAAAGAATATGTGGCTGACATGTATAAAGTAATTCTCCCCTTTGAGTCACAAATAAGACCTGTGTCTATTAACCTTAGTCTCATTTTCTTTCTGTGTAACCATAAGAATGTCATTTTTAGCAAACCGTCTTGGGTTTACATGTGTTTAGCAATAATTACCCTTGGACATGATGTCCGGCATGAATAATGAACATGTCTATGACATACAGGCACTCTCCTGGTGATGAAAAGCATTTGTTTTTCTTGAAAATACCTACCTCCCCCCACTTTCAATCACTTAGTAAATTATTGCTATCACTTCATGACTATTACATAAAAGATCAACACGGTGTGTATCAAATTCAATAATTATTTGATAAAGTGAGATATTAGCATATAAGATGCACTAATTTTCATAATTCAATTAAGCCTTACAATTTTCTGAAGATCCATTGTTAATTGTTTTAAATTGATTAATCAATGTGAACCTCTGAATCTCTAATTTTCAATTACAAGAAATATGCATTTGCCACAGTAACAGAGCCAATTTCAAAATATAGCATCTAATCCTATAATGGTTACATGCAATATCAAGTTTAAAATAAGTCAGCACCTAGAAGGAAAAGTATTTAAAAAACTACTTCATTAGCATTTTACTATGTAAGCCTAAAATGTTCCATAATTCTGGCAGAGTACCTAATTCATATTTAATCCCATTTAAAACATTCAGTTGAATAAATTATATTTTAAGGGAGCTATTCATATTAAGTCTTAAAAGGATAAACAGCATTGGAAAATTCAGGCAAAGAACAACTACCCTATTTGGCGACAAGTCAATAATGTGTTCATGTATGCAACCAATATAGACTCAGTTGCTAGAAATAATGGAAACCATAAGACTTCACTCCAGTAGCTTAATATGCTTGCAGGATTTATTATACTCTATTAACCAAAAACAAATTACACTATTGTATGTGAAGGTTCCATTATTTTAGAATTGAGAAGGCTCTCATTTAGATACATGAAAAGAATATTGATAGATGGAGGAAGGACATTGGTTCTCAGAATAAACCAAGAAAGAATTATGCAATTGTAGGCAACAGCATAATTCTGACAGTGAGGCTGGGTGCCGGGGTGATGCCTGTAATCTCAGCACTTTGAGAGGCTGAGTCAAGATGATTGTTTGAGTCCAGGAGTTTGAGACCAGCCTCGGAAAATCAGTGGGACTCTGTTTCTGCAAACAATATATTTTTTTAAATTATGAAGTCATGGTGGCACCCACCTGTGGTCTCAGCTACTGTGAGGCTGCGGCGGGTACATTGCTTGAGCCCAGAAGGTCAAGGCTGAAGTAAGCTATGATCATGCCAATGGGCTCCAGCCTGGAAGATAGAGTAGAGATCCTGCCTCATACCCCAAAAAACAGTAATTCTGACAATGTTTGTTAAGTTAATGTTAATATGTTAAATATAATTAATGTTAATAATAATGTATTGATAGTTAACAATTAATATGTTAATAATTCTGACAGTTTATTCCATAGTAACATCATAGCACAGAAACACCATAGCATATGAAAAACAGGGGATATTAGTCCTTCATTGAATTGTCTCTCCTTTATAAGCCAGAGAGTTCTCCTCTTTGGTGTTTAGTTTACTTTGCTCTTGCTGGGATTGAAATGAATTTCAAAATCTATTTTTTTCTCTAAAATCTTATGCTGCTATAATCACTTCCACAAAAATTATGCATGGATATATGAGTACATGAATAACAATACTAAATAAAAACATTGTATGGCATCCACAACGAAAACTCCCACTTAACATCTTCCCTAATTCTATTTGTTTCTAACTTGCTTTGCAATTTTGTATCATCTTAACTTGATAGAGCAGAAAGCATGACATAATTCCATTTTAAAGCAGTTCATGATAGAATAAAAATCACCAAAATGATTGCAATTAGGGTATACAATGATTTTTAATAAAGTCTTAAATTCCAAACACATACAGAGATTATTTTATTCAACTATAACCCTGAATTATAAATGGAACAACATTAGGATGCTAAACAGGAAGTCAGGAATCTTAGAGCCTCACCATTCCTGATTTGCATGAGTATGGGGAAGTGGAAAAATTAAGAATGGGAATTTTAGAAAAGGAGTCAGAGAAATGTGCAGCAAAAAATGGTACTTAAAAAGCAGAAACACAGGGCCATTGTGCTTAGGAATGATAAACATGTTAATTGAGTTATGTCATTGACATTAGGAATTAATCAATCTAAGTCAATGAAATCAGTCTAAAATAATCTTACGTTGAGCATACAAATTTAATGTTCATTTTATACAAAGTTAGCACTTATGCCCTATATCATAGAGTCATTCTCATCTTCATTTTTCCTGCACCTCTTTCTTTTGCCAACCAGCAAATCCTGTTGGCTTTGCAATTAATTTACATGTCAAAAATGATTCCCACCACCTTGAACTCATGCACTGTGTCTCTCTCAATTTCACATCTCCCACAGCAATTAGGTGAGCTGGTCTTTTTCTAATTATGTCCAGTATGGACTGAATTGTGCACCTCCCCCCCCCGAAAATTTATATATTGAAACTCTAACCCCCAATGTGACTGTATTTAAAAATGAGCCTTTAAAGAGGTAATTAAGGTTAAATGATGTCCTAAGCTTGGTGCTCCGATTCCACAGAATGGTGACCTAATTAAAAAAAAAAAAGAAAAAAAGAGATCAAAGATACACCAGATTTCTCTCTCTCTCTTTCTCTGTTTCTCTCTTTCTCTCTCTCTCTCCTCTCTCATCCCTGTCTCTTCACATGCACAGAGATAAAATTATGTGAAGATATAGCGAAAAGGCAGTCATCTGCAAGGCAAAAACATGACCCTCACCAGAAATGTACCCTGCTGGCACCTTGATCTTGGACTTCCAGCCTCCATATCTGTGAGCAAATAAATGTGGTGTATTTGCAACAAGCCTAGAGCAATGTAGCTAACAAAACATCTTTATCCGAGCCACTGTTTTCATAAAAGCCAGAATATTTTTGAAAAACATAAACTAAAACAGGTTGTTCATACATCTCTTGCTTTTATAATCACATGTAGAATATAATCACGTGTAGACTATTCATATGAATGTTATTATCACATGTTGAATATCAGCTAAGTCTTGAATTTGGCCCCCAACATATTACAAAAGCTAACTTCCAATTGTTTATTCAACCTTAATTTATTTGAGTATTCTGTGCCCATGGCAAGCATACTGCTTTCACCAGAGTTCTTCAATTTTTGTCTCTGTTGCCTGGAATATTGAGTCTCTGAGGAGTTTCAGGAAAAGTTTGCTCACTTGATGACAGACATTCTGCAAAAACATATCTAGTGGACTTCTCTGAGATAGAGAGAAGTTCTTACTTTAGGTCACATGGTACTTCCTTTTATTGAATATCTTTCTAGTTTATTGTAATTTCTATCATATTACTTGCTATAGGCTGGATGTTTGTGCCTTCCCAACATTAGCATGTTGCAATTCTCACCTCCCAAGGTGACGGTGTTAGGAAGCAGAGCCTTTGAGAGGTAATGAGGTCATGAGGGTGAAGCCCTTATGAATGGGATTAGTGGCCTTACAAAAGAGGTCCCAGAAAGCTGCCTCACCCCTTCTACCATGTGAGGACATAGAGAGAAGGTACCATCTATGAACCAGACAGGCTTCTCTCACTTAGCAATATGCATGTCAGACTCATCCATTTCTTTGAACAGCTTCATATATGACCTTCTTCTGTTGCTGAATAATGTTCCGTTGCATGGATGTACCTCAGCTTGGTTATTCACTCACCTTTTGAAGGTGTGTCCTGATTCCTTAAAGTTTTTGGCCATTGGGATGAGAACGTAGAAACATAATCACATGTTGGTTTTTGTTTACAAAGCAGTTGTCTATATACCTATGAGTGCAATTGTTGGCTTTTATGGAGACCATGGGTAGCTTTGGGAAAGACTGTCAAATTGTTTCCTAAAGTTGCTATACCATTAGGCATTCAATCAGCAGTAAATGGGAGCTCTGGTTGCAATTTCTATTCCATTTAAAATAAACATTTTAGCCATTTTAGGAGGTATGTAGTGTTATTATTAAGATACCTAGTGGATGTCTACAAACCAAGAAGCAGGTCCTTATCAAACACAGAATCTGCTACACCTTGATTATGGACTTCTAGCCTACAGAACTGTGAGCAATAAATGACATTGTTTAAAATCCACACACTCTATAGTTTTGTGTTAAAACAGCCTGACATAGCTAAGACTGTGATCATCACTGTTTTATTGCATTCAACATGTGGGTGTGTATTTATTCATTTTCCCTCTTTTTCTGCATTTAGGGTCAGGAGAAAGGATAGGAGACAAGAGGAGATGGAAAGCGGCACATTGCAAAGGCTCATATGTTTCTGGTCATGGCTTTGCAAAAAGCCTTGAAGCCAGATGATGAATGGGTCTCTAGATGCGTGGTGCCTAAAAACAGAAGAGAAGCACCGTATTTGTTTCCAATTGCAGCTACCACATATCATTAAATGTATGCTGTGCACCTCGAAGATGGGAAGGAAAAGAGATTACCCCCAAAATCAGCAAGATGCAGATATTTATCCTCCATCTTGGAAGAAAGGCTTCCTGCTTCCCAACTCTTCCTCATTAAGAGGAAATGACTCAGCCTTCCTGACAGTGCTTCCCCAGTTATCTACTAAAGTTTCTATAGAGATGAAGTCCAGGCTGGGCGCAGCGGCTCACATCTGTAATCCCAGCACTTTGGGAGGCCGAGACTGGTGGATCACGAGGTTAGGAGATTGAGACCATCCTGTCTAACATGGTGAAACCCCGTCTCTACTAAAAATACAAAAAATAAGCCAGGCTTGTTGGTGGGCGCCTGTAGTTCCAGCTACTCGGGAGGCTGAGGCAGGAGAATGGCATGAACCCGGGAGGCAGAGCTTGCAGTGAGCCGAGATTGCGCCACTGCACTCCAGCCTGGGCCACAGAGCGAGACTTTGTCTCAAAAACAAACAAACAAAAACAAAACAAAACAAAAAAAAGATGAAGTCCAACTTCCCTGTTTGCAAAATAATGACAACAAAGCACCAAAATGAAGAACATCCAAAACTAATACTTGGGTCAGTCCACTGGACATACAAGAAGGTTTTCCAATAACAACCAGGCTACACAAGATGACGGAGAATTACCGTTTGGGGCAACTCACATACTCTCTATAATAGCCGTCCCCAACTCCCCAGCGACAGATCAGTAGTGGTTCTTGGGCTGTTAGAAACTGGGCCAGAGAGTGGGTGAGCAATGGATCTTTATCTATATTTACAGCTGCTACTCATCACTTATATTACCACCTCAACTCTACCTTCTGTCAGATCAGTGATGGCATTAATTCTCATAGGAGTACAAAACATATTGTGGAATGCATATGCAAGGGATCTAGGTTGCATGCTCCTTATGAGAATCTAAGGCCTGATGATCTGTCACTGTCTCCCATCATTCCCAGATGGGACTACCTAGTTTCAGGAAAGCAAGCTCAGGGCTCCCATTTATTCTAGATGATGGTGAGTTGTATAATTATTTCATTATATATTGCAATGTAATAATGATAAAAATAAAGTGCACAACACATGTAATGTACTTAAATCATTGTGAAACCATCCTCCCCCACTGCCTCAGTCCATAAAAAATTGTCTTTCAGAAAATTGGTCCCTGGTGCCAAACAAATTGGGCACCACTGCCCTATAAGACCATCAGCTCCGTAACAGTAGACATATGTGTGAGTGCCTGAATGGGTGAACCACCTCCTACAAACATATAACACTAACTATGTGTTCCTTTATTTAATTCATCCCATATTAGTTTCCTACAACTGTTCTTAAAAATGACCACAAACTTAGTGTTAAAAGCAACATAAATTTATTAACCACACTTCTGAAGACCAGAAGTCAAAGTGGATTTTGCTGGACTGAATCAAGGTGTGAGGTGATTGTGTTCCTTCTGAACACTCTATGGAAGAATCTAACTCCCCAAATTTCCAAGTTTCTATTTTTCTATTTTTTGTTTGTTTGTTTGTTTTTGAGACATGGTATTCTTCTGTCACCTGGGCTGGAGTGCAATGGCATGATCACAGCTTACACTGCAGCATCAAACTCCTGGGCTCAGCCACTCAATTACTTGGGACTACAGGTGTGCTTGACCATTTTATTACTTTTTCATAGAGAAACAGTTTCACTATGTTGCCCAGGGTGGTCTCAAACTCCTGAGCTCAAGCAGTCTTCTCACCTTGGCCTCCCAAGGTGCTGGGATTACAAATGTAATCCTCTGTGCCTAGCCCCCAAGTTTCTAGATGCTGCCTATATTCCTTGGCTTGTGGCCTCTTTTCAGTGAACAATAGCATCACTCCAATCTCTGCTTCTAGTTTTTCCTTATAAATCCCTTGATTACACTGGACCAATGTGGGTCATCCAGGATCATCTCCACACTTTTAGGTTATATCTGCAAAGTCCCCTTTGCCCTTTCATGTAGCATATCCACAGGCACCAAGAATTATGACTTGGGCATATTTGTGACAAGGTGTATTTTGCTACACCAAGCTCTAGATTTCATTTTAGATTCTGGACAGCTGCAGAGCCTTAGAAAGGAAAATTGTGAACCCATATAAGTGTTCTTTTCAGAAAAAAAGGAATCATTGGTAAGAATCAGGATGACTACATAAACACATTTCATGTCCAACACACCCACTGCCCCAAGAATGGGGAGTGAGAACATGGTCTCATTCACTGTGGTCACTCTTTTACTTATACTTCTGGTCATTACTAGTAGGTATTCAATAATTAAGTAAAGCCCAAATAAATAAAATAGTAGTCAAAGCCTCTAAAACATGCTGATTCAAAAGGTAGACTGGTACCTAATTCTTGCAAATAATTTCCCCAAAATTGAAGAAGAAAAAGAGGTAGTTATTTGCCATGGTAAAAAGAGCAATAGTTTTTGTTTTGTTTTATTTATTTATTTATTTATTTATTTATTTATTTGTTTATTTTGAGACAGGGTCTTGCTCTGATACCCAGGCTTGAGTGTAGAAATACAGTCCTAGATTACTGCAGCATCAAACTCCTGGGCTCGAGCTACCCCATCACCTTAGTCTCTTAAGTGACTGGGACTACAGGTATGCACTACTATGCCTGGGTACTTTTGCTTTTTGTAAAGATGAGGTTTCACTATATTGCCCAATCTAGCTTTGAATGCCTGGCCTCAAGTGATCATCCTACACCAGCCCCGCAAACTGCTGGGATTACAGATGTTAGCCACTGTACCCTGCCCCATATATTTTTCTAAATTTATATATTTATTTTTAATTTTTTTTAAAAAAACATAAACTACACATATTTATTCAAAAATATGACTGCAAGAGCAAAAGTAACAAATTGTGCATTAACTGATTTGTATGAAGCACCAAAAAAAGTCAAATGTACAGAAGCAGAGAGGAGAGTAAATTTCAGTTCTGCAGGATGACGCTGGTTAATAACATTGTTGATGTCTGTTGTGAGACCTTAGTTTTTGTCTTCTTAGTTTAAAATAATTTAAACAAGAGACACATAGTAAAGGAGATACACCATAGAATAATTTATTGCAAATTAAAAAGAATATTTTGAAAATTAAGTGTAGAATAGACAGGTAATACACACTGAGAGAGAGAGGATTCAGGTGGGCTGCTTTTAAGGATGAGACAGTATTGATTATTGCTGGAGAAACTCCCTTTATGGAATCTTATATAATGATTCATAAGGATGTGGGAGAGGTGTTGCTAGTAAGCATTTTCTGGGTGGTCCTTCGGGCACAAATGCATGGTAGCTGTACTTGCTTGTTCATGGGTCGCAGGTCTCATTAACATCTTATATCTCCACCCAGGGGTGTGTATTTTACTATTACAATGAGCCAAGGGTCATCATTCCCAGATGGGACTATCTACTCCGATGACAGGTAATATCAAAGTGGACATTCTCTCTGCAGCGTGAAGTCCCTACTGAAGATAGCTTTGCTTGAATGAGCTCAATTACAATACCAATGCTGAGACTGATTGTGTTGATTGTATGATCCCCATGGTTGCTACATCTCCAGGACATGGTCACTTTCTTAACTACCTATCCTGCCTAAACACAATATTACATATTTGAAGTTTGCTAAGAGAATAGATGTTCTCACCACACACACATGCACACATGTGCACACACACAAAAACACACACGCACACTAAGTATGTGAGGTAGCAGACATGCTAATTAGCTTGATGCTGGTAATCATGTCACAATGTTCACATATATCAAAACAGCATAGTATACTGTAAGAAGATGTGTAATGGTTAATATTGAGTGTCAACTTGACTTTTTTGAATGATGCAAAGTATTGTTCCTGGGTGTGTCTCTGAGAGTGTTCCCAAAGGAGATTAGTGGACTCAGATTTGAGTCAGTGGACTGGGAGAGGGAGACCCACCTTCAACCTGGGTGGGCACCATCACATCAGCTGCCCATGTGGCTAGGATAAAAACAGGCAGAGGAATGTGGAAGGACTAGAATGGCTGAGTCTTCCAGCCTACATCTTTCTCTCATGCTGGGTGCTTCCTGCCCTAAAGCACTGGACTCCAAATTGTTCAGCTCTTGGACTCTTGTACATTCAACCACAGATTAAAGGTTGCACTGTCAGCTTCTCTACTTTTGAGGTTTTGGGACTGAGACTGGCTTCCTTGCTCCTCAGCTTGCAGACAGCCTATTGTGGGAGTTCATCTTGTAAAGTCTTTATCATGTAAGTCAATACCCCGTAACAAACTCCCTTTTACATATACTTCTATCCTATTAGTTATTTTCCTCTGCAGAACCATGACTAATACAATATGCAATTCCTATTTTTATTTACACTTCAATAAATCTAAAAATGTCAAAAATAAAAAAGGCAAAACACTGACCAGTAGCATTATATCTCTCCACCCCCAAAAGCCAGAACTAAAGTAGCTAAAGTCATTCATAAGCACTAAAGTGAAGGAAGTTGTGCCTATAAACTACACACAAGCATCATCCATTCCCAAGAAATTGAAACAACTGAAGCCAATGGGAACATGTGTTAAGCGGGACTGATATGGACTGAATATCTGTCTGCCTCCAAATCCCTGTCTTAAAATTTTCAGCCACAAGGTGGCGGCAATAGGGACTGGGGGTTTCTAGGACATAAGATGATGAGGGTGGAGCCTCATGAATGGGATGAGTGTTCTTGTAAAATGGATGTTAGAAAGCTTCCTTGCCCCTTGTACCATATGAGGAGAGAGCAAGAAGGTGCCATCTATGAACCAGGAAACAGGTCCCCACCAGCGACTGAATCTTTCTTACACTGACCCTGGACTTCTAGCCTCCAGAATTGTAAGCAATAGAGTTTAACTGTTTATAATCCACTCAGTCTATGTCATTTTGTCATACTAGCCCCAAGAGACTTAGATAGGAATTTCAGTGCATGATTGTGTATTCAAATTTTTAGTTTAATTATCTTTGTAAACCTGTTGTGTTTACTGAAACTGCTTTTGATGGAGCACATTTTCTTATTTGAGAAACATGGTTTCCGACATTTCTCTGTGAAGAATTTAGCCAAAGGATTGAGATGTTTCTTTTAATTTTTAAATTTTCTTCTGTTTACAACAGTAGTTGTTATCTCATTACATTTTATCTTTGTATGAAAATATTATAGTAACAAAATGGAATGCTTGAAAGAAAAATGTCTGATAGAGTCTATAAAATATTATCTACTTTTAATATTTCTGCACTGACTAAATGAAAATGATGGAAGATTAATGTGGTCAAAAACATTTGCGGATAAATTGTTCAATATATGAGTGTGCTCTAAATAAAGTCCTTTCTCTATCAAAAATATTCTTGGTCACAGAGGATATACAATTCAAAGGAAATCAAAATAACTATACCTGCAGTTCTGTTGTCTTCAATTGCTCTACCTGGATTGGTAATGATATTGAGCATCTTCCCTTGGGATACTTTTGGTTTTGATGTAAACATTTTTAATTTGTTAAATCTCCAATAAAATCCAGGCCAGTGTCTGGGTCTCGAAGGTGGGACTAGAAAATAACAGTGAATATGTTCTTTTGGGGTGGCTATAGGCTCTTGTCCCCCAAACGTTTGCTAAAAATCACTGGCATGAGGTAGATTGATTAATAGGAGACAGGACATACAAATTTCTTTAATGTGTCTACATGGGTGCCTTCAGAATGGAGATCCCAAACCCCACTGAGGGCCAGAAGCTTAAATACAGTCTTGAAAGAATTAGGACTTGGATCCCGGTAGAACAGTGTATTAGTCTTTCCTCACGCTTCTAATAAAGACATACCTGAGACTGGGTAATTATAAAGGTAAAACATTTAATGCACTCACAGTTCCACATGGCTGGGGAGGCCTCACAATCATGGTGAAAGGTGAAAGGCACGTCTCACATGGCAGTAGGCAAAGAGAATGAGAACCAACCAAAAGGGGTTACTCCTTATAAAACAATTATATATTGTGAGACTTTTTCACTACTGCAAGAAAAATATGGGGGAAACTGCCTGCATGATTCAATTATGTGCCACTGGTCCCTCCCACATCATGTGTGAATTATCGGAGCTACTAATCAAGATAAGATTTGGGTGGGGACACAGCCAAACTATATCAAAGGAGTTATGAGAAAGGGAGAAAAGGAATTCTGTGGAGTGGAAATATGATTGTTAGGGAGAATAATTGAATATATTGAATATGGAACAGAGATTAACTTAACTGGGTAACTTAATTTAATTGATCTTTGGAAATAGTCATTATAAAAAGGTCTCCTCTGGTGTGGCCACACCTTGATTTTGTTTTCTTCAGTAAATAATGAGGTAGTAGAGAAGTGGAGAAAGAACAACTGTTACCTTTGGTGGCTCTGAACCTTAGGCAGACAAAGAAACTTCAGCTTCTTTGGGAGAGACAGCGAGAGGTGTGGGGAGGGTAAGAGAGATCTTGAAGCTTCTTAGCTTGAGCACGTCAAAACACCATATTTTGGAGCATAAGTTTCTAAGCTCCAAAATTTTCAATAATAATGTTTGGGAAGAAGCCCATTTATAAAATAATCCTTGGAATTCAGAAGATAGACTTGAGAATATCAAGTATAGAATATAGGTTTGAGCTCCAACTTTATTTGGAATTATTTTCATCATGAGTTTATGTAAAAGCAAGATGATTTATGCTAACGTTCATTGATTAACTCATTAAAAAAAATCCTGAACATAGGGTAATGAAATATCCATTAAACACTGCATTCCAGACTAAAGCATGTTATTTGGGGGAGATGTTTGATAATCTGTAAATACAAACAAATATGTTTCACATGAACTTTCATACATAAAAATGAATTCATAAAGTATTTATAATCAACCCACTGTAATTCCCCAATTGTGGGCAATAAACAATAGAAGGAGTGTGTCTCATGAAGTGCATGGGGCAGTTCATTGTGATTTAATGGTTGACATTTGAGTGATGGGACATCCCCTCAGAGGTATATAATAATAAACAAGAGTGAAAACATAGACATGAAGCACAACCGTAGTTTAGGGATAAGCTTCAATTAGGTATTTCTAGAGACTCAAACCATTGATATAATCTGTTTTGGAAATGTTTCTCTATCAACTGTTGGATACAGAAAGACAAACCCAAGATCAAATGGCATTCCACTTAGTAAGTGGATATTGCAATGAATTTATACCTCAGAACTTCTGAAAGTGTTTGCAGTATCTGGGAGTCCAAAATCAGAATAACACAAACAAACTGTAAGAAAAATAACTGCAAGAATTGTGCATTTGAATAGGTGCAGGAGTGGAAAATTAATATATTTAACCAAATGTGTCTGATTTTCTTGAGCTATCTTTTGCTTTCAAATATCAGCAGTGCTAATGACTGTCAGCTTTACTGAGGTCACCATTACAATGAGAAACTACATTTCTCATGCTGACTCAATGTGGAGTTGATGTTCACACCATCATCTCTACAGGGCAGGGAACCTTAGGGTTATTCATGTGTGCTTATAAGAGAGAAACAGCAAAGAACCTGTATTGGTCCATTGTCACACTGCTATAAAGAACTATCCTACCTAAGACTGGATAATTTATAAAGAAAAAAGATTTAATTGACTCAAAGTTCCACCTGACTAGGGAGGCCTAAGAAAACTTACAGTCATGGCAAAAGGCAAAGTGGAAGCAAGACACATCTTACATGATGACAGGAGTGACAGAAAGACCAAAAAGGCAAGTGACACCTTTAAAGTGTCAGATGTTATGAGAATTCACTCATTTTCATGAGAATAGGATGAGGGAAACCACGTTCATGATCCAATTGCTTCCCACATGATTCCTTCCTGGATACATGGGGATCATAATTCAAGATGAGATTTGAGTCAGGACACAGAGTCAAACCATACCAGAAGGGGTTTCTCAAAATGAAAAACTAAACTACAATTCTGAAATAATGAGTTCCAATCCCACATTCTCTATTGCATTTCTATTCAATTCATTCCCTGAAGGTCCCTGATTCCTGTAAGCCATGCCAGGTCATAGGGCTAGTCTATACATCTATCTAAAAGGTGAAATTCTTTAATGTGAAATTCTGGTTATTCATGGAAGTAGTTCCAGGGTGATCTGATCTTTGAGAACAGCATAACCTATATTTAAATATCTAAAAGAGTAAGTAAAAAGTCAAATCAATACAATTTACTACTTGCAACAGTAGAATAAGATAATATAACATTACAGATATAATCTATTATAAAAGTAATTCCTAACATTCCTTTATTTTATTTTTAATTGACAATAATTGTACATACTTATGGGGCACAATATGATATGTTCATATATGTTTACACTGTAGAATGATTGCATTAAGCTAATTCACAAATCCCTACCTCACTTCCCTTTCATTTTCTTAATGAATTTCATTGTAGAAGGTGGAATTTTCAACAGCATACATAATTCGGGTCTCATTAAGAAGGCCTGTATTTATATGCACAAACTTGTCTTAGCATCTATCTAACTTAACTGGTGTGGTAGGTCAAATTGGGCATGTTTGTCATGATGATAAAGTGGTATGCAGACCTGGTCAGGACAGAAGGCAATCTGTATATTGCTAGTTCAGAGACCATATTTTGAGAAAGCCTGGCTTAAGAAATAGGAAAAGCAAATTTTTGAAAAATTTGTAAAGTGGTAAGAATGTCATTTGGTAAAATTAATGCATTAATTTGTCCCCAAGATTATTGGATATAACTGACTGCTGTAGTTGGGTAATTTCTTAATGACTACAAAGTGAAAACAACATTTTTACACTTGATATTGCTTCATTTCAGGCAATATCATTATTGAACCCATCAAACATTTTAAATAATAACAGTTCAGTATGACCTCTGAAATATGATAAAAATAACAATTTGTGTTGACTCTTACAGAAAATGTTCTTTGCTGAAAACACATTTAACAACTCTGTGTAACTATTCTTATAAAATCAAGCAGTATTAAATATGTTCTTTATGCAAAATATGTTATGACAAAAAGCATTATTCAGCATCCATTATAAAGGAAGTTTTTGAAAACTAAATGGAAACACTTACAATCAAAGCAGGGTAGCTAGGCAAATAGACAGCCATGCCTGTATAACAGAAAAATGGAAGTGGTAATTAAGGCAAAGAGAAAAACTCTGAAACAAATGACAGCAGTTTTGTACAAGGATGTCCTAATTCAAAGTTTTTCTCAATAGCTTACCATAATGTTATTCTAAATATTGTATGGATGCTTATTGCTTTAAATAAATTTTCAGAAGAGTATTTCACAGCATAATTAATCCTTTCATTATGTCTGCACCGAAAATTAAGCTAAAATCATTGCCACAAATTTATAAAAATGCAAGGAAATTAAAATAGTTTTCTAAATGTAGAATACACACACAGTAGACCTTCTCACTTCAAAAAAAATCTTCTGTTTAAAATTAAAATTTTGCTCTACAGAATGAAGCTGTTCTTTGATTTCTTTGTCCTCTTTCATGATAATTACCTCTACTTTTACTTTAATATCCTGGGAAGGATATTAAATACCATTTGTAAATAACATTTTTCAAGTATTTCTTAATAAACTATTCTCTTTTTATTATGCAATGACAGTGGCATGTGTATGCATGTATTTATAAACGTAAAATGTAAATACCAACACCTCACCAAGGCAAGTAATAAGCAGATCTATTTTTTTCTTTCCAGCACTGTGTTCCCTTAACATAGCACTAAACATATTTTCAAGAAAATTATTTAAGAAATTTCTGTAAATACACTGCCATCTTCCTATGATTGCATGAGATATTTCCTCAGCCATATATGTTACACCTACTACAGTGAACATAAGCACTTAGGCTAGCTTACCTTAACAGAACTCTGACATTAGCTTACAGTTGGACAAAATCACCTAACACAAAGCCTATTTCATCAGAAAGTGTTGAATATCTTACGCAAAAAAAAAAAAAAAAAAAAAAAAATTGAAATACAGGTTGTCACTGGGCAGAGTAGAAATGTATAAGTAGCATCTGTTTAGTTTTGGGGGGATGCCTTAGGATCATGATATTTCACTCTAAAAAAGCAAATATCACATAAAATATTTTAACATTTCAGAAATCTGTGGAGTCAATTGTGTTTTTCAAAAGGATGGTGGACTCTTCTCAGCAGTAGATTACAGAAGTGCTAATCTCTACAACAAGATGCAGGACAGTTCTGAACTTAGAATTGTCCCTTGACTTCACACTTTTCACAGATTTCCCTAGACGTATACATAGGTGAAAAATCTGTTTATAACTATTCAAGTATGGAAGCTAAACCCATTTCACTGATGATGATGAATAATGTTTTGCATGCTTCTCATACACACTGAATTTTCAAGGAACACAATTATGGAACTGTAAAAAAAAATGTTTTGTTCTATTAAATTCATTTGTAAGTGAATATTTCTTTCCAGATAAAATAATAGCAAAGTTCATGTAAGTTGCAAGGAAATTCTATTTGAAATAATGACTGTTTCTATACTATTAACATTCTCACACAAGTGGTCATGTTTTCTTGATTACAGTGTAAAATCTCCTTTGAATTCTGCTCCCCAGTGAAAACATTGTCTGTCTTTCAAATCTAATTATGTCGGTAGGTAAAGGTGAATGTTCATTTGTGATTTCCTGTCACTAATTTTATTTTCCCTTAGCATGGGAAAGCAATCAGGGAGATACTTCCTTCATTGAAGAGGATTATTTAAAAAACAAAGAAACAACAACAACAACAACAAAAAACAAAAAACAAAAAACATAGATCCTTGAGAATAATGAGACTTTAATTCAATTTTTGTTTTATTTGTCCTCTACATGCACTGCTACAATGTGAAAATGCCAACTGCATCTATTTTCCATTACTTCTATTAAGCTTTACTATTTTGGAAATTTAAATGGTATAAACACTTTATAATCAATGATTATATGGTTTTACATCCTACAAAAACAGAGAGAGACAGAGAGAGACAGAGAATAATGCAATTTGGGATACTCAAATTTCCACAGTTTACACCTCCTTTAAAATCTCACTGGCTAGAGTAAGAAGCAACACAAAAAGATTTTTGAACACATGGCAAGAACTTGACCCAAGAGATGAATATACTATATTTTTTCATGCAATTTCCAGAAGCCTATTATCTGAAGAGGTGCCTTAAAGCAACCTGTCATTTATGAATTGCTTCAAATATATAATTCCAAAAATATTGAATGTGCTTATGAAAGAGTTTCCCTGACCAGACTTAGCTAGGGTCAGAGTAGTTCCAAACTTTAAATCACCATAAGTACCTATCTTAAACAAATTGCAATAAAATGGCACTGAAAGAAGAATTCTTTTAAAATAGTTACAGAATCTTCCTGTAAAAGTATAAAAACTGAAAAAGAACATAAGAGAGATAGGAGAGAAGGATAGTTTTGTCTGAAAAAATGGAGAATGAGAGTGATTTAAGCTCCAAGCAGCAAAGCCATGTTTTACCATGCTTTACCTTCCCCTGGCCTTTCACCTAATTAATGCATGAGAAAGAAATACAGAGATGATTTCCACACAAACTGCCAAACAGCCACAGTTCTAAAATGTAGAACACCTTGGAAAATTTCTTCATTGGCCACATCTCCAATCATTGAGGCTGCCCTTTGCAGTTTAGCAGAGGGTCTTTAAGAGAACAAGAAACATGAATAAACTGCAAAATATTGGGACATTATTCCTAGTGAAATAAGCCAAGCCCTGTGATCTCACCTGTTCATGGAATCTAAAAACAGAAATAAAACTCACAGAAGCAGAAAATAGAATGGTGGTTACGGAGCTGGAGCAGGGGAGATGATGTGTAGATATTGGATAAAGGAAACAAAGTTATCAAGGATATCAGTTAAATGAAACAAAGTTATCAAGGTTATTAGTAAAAGGATACAGAGTTATCAAGAGTATTGGTTAAAAAAACAGAGTTATCAAGGATATTGGTTAAAGGACACAAAGTTATTAAAGATACTGGTTAAAGGAAACAAAGTTATCAGGCATAATGGTTAAATAATGCAAAGTAAGGCTACTGGAAAAATGACAGGAAGTTAGGGTGAATAATTTCTGAAGATCTATTGTACAGTATGATGACTATAGTTAATAATTATGTATTGTATTCTTAAAAATTGCTAGGAGTAGATTTTAAGTGTCCCCATCAAAAACCATGATAACTCTGTGAGGAGATGGCTATGCTAACTAGCTTGATTTAATAATTTCACAATGTACACACATACCAAAGAACTGTGATATACTCCACAAGTAAATGCATTTTTTTGTCAACTAAAATATTTAAAACACAAATTTATCATATTAAAATTCCAAGAAACAGCACAATTATATAAAGACAGGTCAGAACATTAAATGTAATGGTGTGGTGGCTCATGCCTTAATACCAGCAGTTTGGGGGGCCGAGGTGTGTGGATCACCTGAGGTCAGAAGCTTAAGGCCAGCCTGGGCAACATGGTGAAACAACATGTCTACGAAAAATACAAAAATTACATAGGTGTGGTGGCAGACCCCTGTAATCACAACTACTTGGGAGGCTGAGGCAGAAGAATCGCTTGAACCTGGGAGGTAGAGCTTGCAGTGAGCCGAGATCATTTCACTGCACTCCAGCCTCGGTGACAGAGCAAGACTCCATCTCAAAAATAAATAAATAAATAAATAAATGTCAGAATATTAAATGTGGCCAGGTGTGGTGGCTCATGCCTGTAATACCAGGACTTTGGGAGGCCGAGGTGGGAAGATCACTTGAGGCCAGGAGTTTGAACCACCCTGGGGTATGTGGTGAAACCCCATCTCTACCAAAATACAAAAATGAGCTAGGCATGGTGGTGGGCACCTGTAGTCCCAGATACTTACGAGGCTGAGGCAGGAGAATCAATTGATCCTGTGAAGCAGAGGTTGCAGTGAGCTGAGATCATGCCACTGTTGGAATGATTTGAGGCCTATAGTGGAAAAGGAAATATCTTTCCTTTTCCAGCCTGGGCAACAGAGTGAGACTCTCTCTCAAAAACAAACAAACAAAACACTAAATGCTGTGGAATAAATCATTCAGTAGAGATGGATATCAAAAAAAATTGTCTAGTGCCAAAGTAAGGAAGTGGGAAATGGGGGATGATAAAACAGATAAAATATATTGTCAGTATGAATTATGCAACCATTTTTTTTGTGAAAGGAGTGTGCATAAAGATGAACGTGAATGGTCCTCAGGGTACAGGGTTGTTTTATGAAGGTAGAATTCACGGTAGAGAATTTATTTATATTATCTTCTAAAAGTATCCACTCTTGGTAAGTTGTTTTTGCTGTTTATTTTTGTCCATTCGTTTTCACATAATATGCCCCTGGAGGAAAGAGTGTAGAAGTGTTAGCTGGAGCAAGGAGTGAAGGTAAATTTAAAGTCATTCCCTAATTTCGTAACAAGAAAGGAGCTGTAAAGGAAAGAGGGTAGGATTTTGACACAGGTACACCTCTTGCATCGCTTTGTTGAGCTAAATCTGCAGAAAAGAAAAAAAAAAGGAAAACAATAATTACCTACATGTGACATTTGTAAGAACCAGGTGGGTTATATAACAGTCCCTGATATATTACAAGTGTTCAGTGTGCTATTACGACTATAATGATGGCTAGACCAACTGGTACAGTGGACTTCTTTAAAGTTCAATATGCAGGAGGATCAAAGTGTGTGATAACTTGACTTACAAGAAATTCACAATCTTTAAAAAGGTATCTGTTACTTGGGTATGTTTCCAGGCCCTGCATCCATCACAATTCCTTTCATTAATTAGAAGGCTTTGCATTAAAAGGAAAATGTACCTTTCCTTGGTGCAACTCTAAATAAGAAAAATAAATCTGAACAAGAGACAAGAGCATTCCCACCACAACAATTGCCTGAACACTTGCCCAGAGACATTCAAAATTATGAAACTCAATAATTAGCACTGAAATCAAAGAAAATTTGAATCATCTCTACCAGTAGGAAAAGTATGTCTGCTCTCTGCACTAACCCGAAATTCCTACTTCACTCAATAGGTCCCACTTTTAAAGGCCACCTGTTAGGACTTGGTCAAATGTATTAAACAGGAAGTTTTCGCCTGACATAATCAGACAACTTGCATTAGCAATGTATCCATGACTAATCCTTAAACAAGGAATGTTGAGAATTGTCTGTTGCATTGACTATAAGTACCCTGTATGTTGTTTTGGTCAGTTCACTTGCCAGATAAACCAAGAGAGTAATTGATTAGTTTGTACAAACCAATATGTGATCTATTGTCGAGAAGGAAACACTTTTCTTATAGCTTACTGACTTCTTGATGTAATTTAGAAATGTTTATGTTAAAGTAAACATTCTGCAACCATTTTAAAGCAATTCTACTTTCAGTGCTATTTTATTACAGTTTGCTTAAGATGAGTACATATGGTGATTTAAAACCTGGAACTACTCTGACTTTAACCAAATCTGCTCAGAGAAACTCTTTCATAATTTCTTATATAGAATGTTTTGTTTGCTCAAGGTTTGTATGCATCATGTGTTATTCTAGTTGTTGGCAATTCTTCTTAATTCTTAGTAATATTATTCTGCTTTTTCAATCTGAACTGATTTTTCTTTCGTATGTGATCTTTCATCCTAATATTTTCCTCCCTGTTTCTTGAGTTTTGAAAGAAACATTAGAAAATGTGCAAAGTTTTATGTTAGGAAGAAGTGAGACACATACAAAAACCTGCATAGTGTGCAGAATAAGAATGACAGATCTAAAAGAACATGGAAATATTTTGCTCTGTGACCATATAAGAGAATAGACACTGGATCTACCACGTCTAAACAGAAAGCTTCCAAGTGCTGAAAAATGACTAAGTGATCACCGTGTTTGGAAGTATGGCAACAATATTGAAGAGGTTAAAACTTTCAGAGTAGGATGTTAATCAACATGGTACCCTGAGAGGAAAATTAATGTTGTTGGTAGCAATATTTACCAATTATCTACCATGTATTAGAGATTGAATCACTGCAATCATATGATGCACGGATTAGAGGTTGTGTTAATAAATGAAAAGAACCTGAAAATTTAGCTCCTAAACCCATACGATTTTCACAGAATAATTATTATTTTCACAGATTATTACTGAGTGCTATTGGAAATTCTCCTAAATTCTTAATTTTTTACTTCTCAATAAAAATTATCCTCTTTTAACAATCTGAAAGGATTTTTACTTTACAGTCTCTTATTCCAAAGTTTGCCTTCACTGTTTCCTGGATTGAATCAATTATGTTTTAGAATCTGGGTTTCATTTACGTGATGTTTTGTTTTTTCCTGTACAGTATTCTGTGAAAATCTCATGTGTTTAGTAGCCAAATTTTCAGATTATTTCCAATTCTAAGAGAAACCTGAGTTATCCAGCAAGACACATGACTGAAGTGGGTATCAGCACCATTTTGCATTGCCTTCTGGAAAGACTCTAGCCACCCCACCCCCCTTTTTATTTATCTCCACTCCTCATTGATTTGTGCCTCACCCCCCGGGCTTATTTCAGATTTATTAAATAACTAAGAAGTTCAATTAATAAAGCAGTTCTACTTGGCTCATCATAGGTTCCTGGGGAGGTGTTCTCTGTGTGTGTGTGTGTGTGTGTGTGTGTGTGTGTGTTTAACTTAACAATTTTGCATTATCAAGTGTGGCTGGCTCACAAGACACTACTCTAAGTCGAAAATACAGAGCTTCCATAAGTTGTGGAATCAGCATTTTAATTAGCAGGCCTTCCACAGAGAATTGACAATTGATTTTCTTAACTTCGGGAGCCAGTCAGTGAATAATTCTCCTAGGAAAATTCCTGTGCTAGAAGGTCATATTAGGCATGTTTAAGAAATACTTTTAGAGGCCGGGCGCCGTGGCTCACGCCTGTAATCCCAGCACTTTGGGAGGCCGAGGCGGGCAGATCACGAGGTCAGGAGATGAAGACCTTCTCCATCTCTACCGAAAAAAAAAAAAAGAAAGAAAGAAAAGAAAAAATACAGAAAAAAAAAATTAGCTCGGCGTGATGGTGGGCGCCTGTATTCCCAGCTACGCTGGAGGCTGAGGCAGGAGAATGGAGTGAACCCGGTAGGCGGAGCTTGCAATGGGCCGAGATCGTGCCACTGCACTCCAGCCAGGGATGCGGAGTAAGACTCCGTCTCAAAAAAGGAAAAAAAAAAAAATCTTTTAAATACTCTCTTTAATTAACTTCTGAAGTCTTCCAATCAAGGTGTCATGATTAGTTGCATTTCAATTACTTTATAGTAGGAAGAGGTTCACTGAAGATGCAAAAACACTCTGTGTCTCAAATACAACGGCTGCTGTCTTAGAAACTCTTCAGTGGGTATTTTCACACAGGTAACCTATGTCTAGTTTTCCAACATCAAACGCATCCCATTTCGGAGATGCAGCTGCACAGTACTTTTTTTTATTTCCATTTTCCTGAATGCTGAATTAACAATTTGAATCGCTACAATCTTATGATGAAATGATAATTTGAAGGAAGTATTTACTTTTAAAATCTAATGCTCAGACATCATGTGTCTCATTTCTGGCCATTACTTAGAAATATAGATGCACTTATGAGTAAAATATCCAGGAAATATTGTCTTGTTTTTTGAACACAAATATGGTGCTATATTGTATTGAAACAATAAAACTTTAAAGCATAAAAATCTCTTAAAGATAATTTTACTCAATTACCTTATTTTAATGAAGAATAAGCTGATCTCTACTGCTCTTTGGAAATATGTCAAAGATCATATGGCAAGTAACTTTCACTGTCATTCAGAAATCATAACTGAAAACTCCTGACCTTCAATTTAGAACTTTGATATTCTGCCACTCGTATTTGGAGAAACAGGGAAAAATGGGGGAGAGAAAGGTTGCATATGGTGAGAATTTTTTTTTTCTGTTTGTTGGAAAAAAGAGAAGCAGAGTGAGCCACACAAGGAGATTACTAAGATGATATGTTTTGCAAATCTGCATTCTGTTCCAGAATTAAATGATTAGATCATCACCAAAGCTTCTGTAATATTTGTGTTTCTTGTTTATGACCTGGTGATGTTTTACATGGAAACATCAACACCTGGTGTTATGTATTAGTTGTTCTTTTCACTTTAAATTACTTTTATTGCAAAATATAACACGCAAAAAGTATATAAACAAACACAAATAAAAATGACTTATACTTGAGACAGCTCCCTTTTAACATTAATTAATGTCAATAAATAAGTTTGATTCCTCAAAGGAAAGCACACCATTCCAGTTAAAGCCTTGATAAAATTACCTGTTTCTTCAATTTTGTCCTGTTACAAAAGAAAACAGATTTTTTTCACTTGTGTAAATATCTACACTGCCATAACTTAAGAATACTCACAGATTGTTTACAAATTCTGGAGAAAATCTCACTCATAGGCGGGAATTGAACAATCAGAACACATGGACACAGGAAGGGGAACATCACACTCTGGGGACTGTTGTGGGGTGGGGGAGGGGGGAGGGATAGCACTGGGAGTTATACCTAATGCTAAATGACTAGTTAATGGGTGCAGCACACCAGCATGGCGCATGTATACATATGTAACTAACCTGCATATTGTGCACATGAACCCTAAAACTTAAAGTATACTAATAATAAATAAATAAATAAATAAATTAATTAATATTTTTCTACCAAAAAAAAAAAAAACAAATTCTGGAGAACATCAGGTAGAGAGAAACAAGTATCTGCCTAATTTTGTTCACAGTTTACTAAATTGTTAAAAACTGTCAATAGCTCAAAAGAAAAGTTTATTTGACTTTGAAGTGCAAAACAAAGGATTAGCAATATTTTAAGCAAAATGTCAAAAAGATTACTCTAGTTCCCTACTAGTTCAGTTCATGTAGTTAATTTCTGTCCTGCTTTTTATTAGAAACCTGCATTCAAGGGCACATTGTAGAGCTTTAAACCTGATTATAAAACACCCTCTAAAGAGGACCAGAAGAAAACAACAATTGTTCCTGGATGACAAAAAGTTTTAGGGTAGCCATAAAGTTGCAATTGACAAGGATATTAGCTACCTTTGTGGCACACAATAATTTTAATATAACAATTCTAATTATTACCAATAGTGTACACCAGATATATCAGAATTATAGGAGACTCCCATAACTTTGGAACATGTATCAATAGCATATTTCTACAAATGTTGCCCAAAGAAAGCCAAACACCGTTTTATATTTGACAATGCTTCCTGTGTAGTTTTATGTAAAATAAGCCAAATTTTACCTTATAATATAACCTTATATTTGTGTGTTATTAATGTTAAATTTATTTTTAAATAAAACCTTATACACACATTTGCCAAATTTTAAGTTTGACTATCACATAAGATTTGTATAGGCTGTTTTTAACCTTTTATAATTTTTTTAAAGAGTGGGTTAGTGCTTTAAGAGAAACCTATTGTATTTTTATTTTAATGCTCAATTTACAAAAAAAAAAAAAAAAAAAACAAAAAACTAAATGATACCTATTAACTTTAGCCAATGTTTACACACAGAATTTCCTTTACAATTAACCCTCTGAAACTTGCTTAAACCTTCAAAACAATTCTTTAACCTTTTAATCTAGGTAAAAATCCACATTTTCATGTCTCCTTATAGTATTTTTACCAAAGTGTATGCAAACTGTTTTTTCAATAGTCTTACATACATGTTATACTGTTAACTTTTAGCAAACTTTACTTTTGTTGGTAGGTTTGAAATTTTAGTTATGTACTAGGTTCACTAGGTTTAGAGCCTAGGACATGGACCGAAGTGCATGTAAGTTCTGGCTTATTCCAGCATTTAACTGCATGTGTCCTAGGTCCTGCCTCATTGCATATATATGTTGACCATGTTTATGTCTTCTTCTGAAGAGTCCCTTCAAGTCCTTTGCCCACGTTTAAATTGAGATATACATTTTTTTGCTTGTTTTGCCGGTTTGTTTGTTTTAACCCCTCACAGGAGACACTGATGTTACTGGTTAACCAGGATACTATTAATAAAAAAGTTGAAAACTAATGCAAAATCAATCTATCTTATTAAATGATAAGAAAGTCTCTCTCATGTGGGAAGCCTAGTGACTGGCAAGAAGTCCAACATGGTGCCTGAATTTCCAAAAATATTCTGTACTTTTTGGGACAGTGTTCATAAATTCTTCTTCTGTAGGATATCTATGGGATTTCATATTTATTAATGATGAATTTTCCCATAAGTATGGCTTATTTCTATAAAACATATTCTTTAAACAAAAGCTTTTTCTCAAATATTTAGAAGGAATTTTATTCATTTCAAAGTGAATGTCCTTAGCATTACAAAGTGATATGTCCTCTTGTATATTTATGTAACATTATACTATAGTAACATTGGTGGAATTGGTACTATCCAGTGTTGAATAATAATTGCATGCCTTGAAAAAATTTTGCAAAATGAATACTGCCCAACACTAAAACAAAACACTCAGTAATTCTAGATGGCTAAACAGAATCAATATGTATTTCTCTGTTATTTTAGAATAAAATATATTTTAGCTGTTAATTCAAAGAATGTGGCATCAAAATAAATGCCCATGCAATAAAATATATTTTAGCTGTTAATTCAAAGAATGTGGCATCAAAATAAATGCCCATGCTTTTTAAACATGATTATATCAACAAGAATAATTGACACTGTTTGTAGAATTTGTCTTCTCATAAAATATCATGAAAATTTCCTTTAATGAAGCCATTAACCACAAATCTCTTTGTACATCTTATTTAGGAACTGCATGTGGATATGTTCATTCAGTAATATACTAGGCAGTGAACTTTAAAAAACCTCAGTTCACAATCATTTCATCCACTAAAAGCCTAATAATCAGAAAAATGGCTGGGTAAGTTTTTCTTTGCATATATTACTTTTTCCTTGAAACAGTTTTTCAGATTAAATATTATAGTTATAAGAATATAAATTTGAAAAGTAAAAGCTATGTATGTCTAAATATTGCTAAATTATTAACATTTATATTTAAACTACCTCAATATTTTATATAGTCATATTAATTAATATCTATATTTAAGGTTAAGCTATATACAATCAGTAATTTTTTAAAGTGTATTTATATAAGTATTATATATCATTACAAATTTTATATACATATTCTATATTAATACTGATTTTTTAAAGTCTGTAATTATAAAAGTATTATAGCCAACTGAATTTCTGGCTATAATACTTATGTAAATCTAAATTTTAAATATTTCCTTTTAGTAATTCCATAATTTTCATGTAGAATTTGTAAACCTAATATTTTAAAGCATTAAAAATTATTAAGCCTGTCTGACTCTATAAGATATACTATAATTTTCAAATTTATTTTTGAAACAATACTTTCTTGTTTCAAAACTTTAAAATTAATGTATAAATGAATATGCATTAATAAGTCTCATTTTATGTGCATTAATAAGTCTCATTTTATATACATGTCTTTATACATCCAGACCTGCTGACCTCATTAGATAATTTCATACATTTTTGTATGTTGCTGCTGTAGTCTAAACATTTGGGCTACACAAAATTCAGACATTCAACCCAAACCTCAAGTTGATGGTATTGGGAGGTGTGGCTTTTGGGAGTCATCACCTCATAAGGGTGAAGACTCATGAATGAGATCAGTATCCTTATAAAAGGCTAAACAAATCAGACTTTTTCTCTTCCTCTGCATAAGGATATAGTTTGAAGGCACAATTGGTGAGAATGGAAGCAAGAGTTCATTAGGAATGAAATCAGTGAACACGTTGATCTTGCACTTCCCAGCCTCCATAATTGTGAGAAATACATTTCTGATGTTGAAGCCCTCAATCTGGTATTTTGTTATGGCAACCATAATAAATTAATGCTTTTTCTCTCTCTCTTCTTTGCCTCTTTACCTACCATAAACAGATAGATTAGATAGATAGATAGATAGATAGATAGATAGATAGATAGATGATGGATAGTTACATAAATGCCAATAAAATAAACATACATATATATTTAAATATGTATGGGAATGTATACATGCATAATGTATTATTCATTTTTACTCAGAATTTGGGAGATCTGCACCTTGACTTTTATTTCCCCCCAAAATTATCTGTTCTGATCATCTTTTCAAATGCCTTCATAAGGTGTTTACTTTTTTAACTTACATAGTATTAATTGGCTAGAATGATTTTCATAGGTTGATTCCAGTCTCTTGAAATGACAGAAAACCTTTATTTGAATAATGTGTACTATGTCACTTTGCACAGCTACGTGTTTATCTAAAAAATAAAGTGTATATCACTAGTTCAACAGGCAAATGCACTTGTCATGTTGACAGATGTTTCAAATTATGTCCAAGAAAGAAGACACCAAACTTTCTTCTGTCACCGGAGACAAATGAGACTGTTCATTTTCCTAAGGCTTTGCCCACCTCATGTGTTGTTGACCTGTGGATTCTGCCAATGCTGTATAAAATTATTTTAGAGTTGACATTAGGATTTGCATGGCTCTCATTTCTACTTGATACACATTGCAATGATACTTACGTGAAAACTTTAAAATTATTTTAGACACCAAAAACAAAGCCATAACTCTATGTGTTCATTTGGATTTCTAAGCACAGGATATATTAAGGTGAATCACAGTCACTGAATCATGTTCCACACAAAACTTAATAGCAACAAGTGTTGGTAATGATTAAGTTCTTGACATGAGCAAGACAACCTGTGACATACATGGATTAGCTGATATAAACTCTCTGAGATAGATAGGTGCTATTATTAACCTTTTTTTTTTTTTTGAGACAGGGTATTGCTCTGTTGCCCAGGCTGGAGTGCAGTGGTGCAATCATAGCTCACTGCAGCCTCTACCTCCCAGGCTCAAGCAGTTCACCCACCTCAGCCTGCAGAATAGCTGGGACTACAGGCACATACCACCACACCCAACTCATATTTTTAAAAAATGTAGAGATCGTAGCTTACTTTTTTGGCAGGCTGGACTCAAACTCCTGGGATCAAGCAATACTTCCACCTCAGCTTCCAAATGTGCTGGAATTACAGCCTTGAGAAACTGCACCCCCATTAGTTGCCAATATTTAATCTCCTATTAGCTTGCTCAAGACTACCAAACTGGAAGTAGAAACATAACCAATATGCTTTTCCTATTGCAGTCATTAACTTGACTTTTAGGTTGTGTAAACTTGTGTCTCTGCTACACCAAGTCATTTAATCTAATAAACCCAATCAGCATGTCTGACCCCAATATTACCTTTCTCTTTATTCAAGAGGATTTTCTATTGCTCCTTGAATTTATCTTCTCCTTTTATCTCTTATATTAGCTTTTTAGTTCTTGTCGATTTATTCTTTACCAGGCCTTTCAGATTTGAGCTTTTTCCTTTCACCACCCCAGGTGGATACACCAACTCCAGTTCTTATTCTGTATAAAGCATCTGGTATTGTTTGGCTCTGTTTCCCCACCCAAATCTCATGTCCAATTGTAATCCCCAGTGTTGGGAAAGGGACCTGGTGGGAGGTGGGCAGATTTCTTCCTTGCTGTTCTCATGATAGTGAGTGAGTTCTCACAATATCTTATTGTTAAAAAGTGTGTGGCACCTCCCCCTGTGCTCTCTCTTGCTCTCCTGCTGGACATGTGAAGACAAGCTTGGTTCCCCTTTGCCTTCTGCTGTGATTTTAAGTTTCCTGACGCCTCCACAACCATGCTTCCTCAATAGCCCAAGGTACCATGAGCCAATTAACCCTCTTTTCTTTGTAAAGTACCCATTCTCAGGTAATTCTTTATAGCAGTGTGAAAACAGGCTACTATCATACCTAAAAAGAAATAAAACATTTTTATAACACATTTTCTGCCCCTACCTTAAACTTTCATTTCTAAGCCCTTTGGATTGGCTTTGAAAACCAACTGTGAGTAGGCTTCACTTTTGTATCCAAGCTTACTTAGCTGCTACAACTGCTACATTACTGTTTTGTGGTATCAAGGATGCTTTCGTTTATTTGTATAATTCCTTCTTTCCTTCAAGAAACCCATTTTGAGGCGTCTCAGCTTCCCAGGTACTGTGTTAGATACTTTACAAAATCATCTACTCGTGCTTTGAGAACCAATTACTTTGATTTCTTTAGGACTACCTGTGAAGAAATGTCTGCTGTGGCTTTATGAATTGAAGGGAGAGCTGTCTCAGCATCAAGAGAGTCACAATGAGAAATTAAGTCTGAAGGACTACAGTTACAATGTTCAAATGTGACTAAATAAAAATTGATGAAAAAAACCTTGAAAACCAAACATTCTTGGATTTACAAGAAAGACAAATTCCTCTGCCCCTTAGACTAAACTTGACAAAACTACAATAACATGGACCCACAAAACAAACTCTTCTAAAGATTATATAAATAAAAGCATAAGTACATAATTGCCATCTGTACACTGTGTATTATTAGTGCATGTGCATATATTTATAATACTATATACGATGTATACAAAATAGCATACTGTATTTATATTACATCACAGTATGCATATAGATATATATTATATATAATATGCATGGATACAACAATATGTATATAATATATATTAAATATAATATATACACATAATATAGGTATATAGATAATACAAATTCAAAGGTACATAGATAAGATAGTATATATTAAAATGAAAATATACTATATATTATAGCATTATGTACAGTATACATATATATGTGTAAACATAAAATGATATACATTTTATATTAATCCTTTGGACTAGAGGTTGTTATATAAAAAAATTTTAATCTTATATACAAACAAACACACACAACAACTTTGTGTTCTTAATAAGGTTTTCAGCCAAAAATAAAAGTCTTACTACATTTTTATGCAGCAGTCTTTCCTAATAAGTTAAATTGTTTTCAGAATTTCTGATTAAGCCCAGCCAACATAAATTCAGAGGAAGATAATTTGACTCTTAACATTTTTAAAATCCTGCAAATATGCTTTATGATTATTAAAGGTGCATCTGCATCAGGCAAGCCCCCTCTCATCTTTCTCATTTTTATTAGGCATACTGGCTTCAAACAGCAGCTCTTGTGGTTCTCAAGTTCCCCAGTGGCTTCTGAGAGACAGCAAGTCTTCAAATCAAAGCAGGTTTACTCCTCTAGAAGGAGAATGAGGAGACTTATTTCCTGTCAAGAATTCAGCAGTGCTTGAGAGAACAAAGTGTGCTCTCTGAAGACTCTTCAACAAAATATCTCTAACAAACATATGGAGAGGTTAAAAGAGAATTCTATACCACTTCATGATTTAGGAAATGCTTAAGAATTTCCACTGGGTTGGATCAGGCTATAATCTCTAAAATACTAAAGTGGTGTTTACAACAACATGAACATTTCTTTTTTAAATCATAGGAAGGAAATACCTATAGGTATCTGATTTATAATCTAGAGATATGCAGAATTCTCCATGTCTTGCCACCAGTAAGAACTTCAACAATCTATATGTGCTTGTGGTAGACCAAAAATGTATGCCCCCAAATTCCTAGACCTACTGATTATTGCAAGTTTGTGTTCCCAGCCCTACATCTCCAACTCCCTATGTATTCCTGCACCAAGGCTCACTTTCAGAGTTCCTCCACTATCTCATTTTGCAGCCCTAGGTCTTGAGCTTGGTTGGGTAGATAGTAGGTCAGCCTCCCCAACCAGGGTCTCTGATGTTGTCAATTTTTGACTCTTTCTTCCCTGAATTTCTGAAAGTTTCATTGATGAGGAGATAAATAAATGGCAACTTGATTCCCATTAATAGAGAGTCTTGGTAGGGTCTGTGTTTTTGGAGGGTCTGTATAGTAGTATTTTAAGGAGTCCAATATCTAGACTTTGATTCTGTAAATGGGTTGATATACTGGGCATGGGATCATGTCCAAATCCAGGGATTACAAAGGTCAGATTATTTTGAAGGGTTGGTGACCAGACTCCAATGAATCAGGAACAGTGTGAGAACTGTAAGTGGCAATTTTGTCCCACTTATTTTTGGTCATCAAAACGGGGAAGGAAATACACTTTTGTCCACTGGCATAGGGTGGATAAAAGTCAATATAATGCACAAATTTACTATTACCTAGCCCATAATGTCAACAGTGCTGAGGCTGAGAAACCTTGGAAGAATAGTAGTAGACATGAAATCTCAGAACACCTGACATTTCTGGGAATGAAGCTGTCAGGCTACAGTTACAGTTAAGGACAGGGTCTCTATCAGGGAGGTGGGGCTGTGTTAGGATTCTGTAGAAGTTAGGGATGCAGGTAATTGATGGACTGAGTCATAGGATGTGCTGGAGAACAGCTGTGTATTCATTAGCATGTATGCTTAGGGTCCTTGTTGTCCCACATTTCCACTAGTTGGGAATGTCCATATCTTCTATTCTATAGTTTTTTCTCCAATACCTAAAGATATTGAACTTCTGTGTATTAGCTTGCTTTGTGTTTCTATAAAGGAATTCCTGAAGCTATGTCATTTATATATTTAAGAAGAGGTTTATTTGACTCACGGTTCTGCAGGCTATACAAGAAGCATGGTACCAGTCTCTCCTTCTGGTGACTCCTCAGGAAGTTTCACTCATGATGGAAGAAAAAGGGGAGTTGGGAGTAGCACAAGGAAGAAGACAAGGGGAGGGAGCCAGGTGTTTTTTTTATTATATTTTGAGGCAGTGTCTCACTTCATTGCCCAGGCTGGAGTGCAGTGGTGTAATTATGGCTCACTGCAGCCTCAACCTCCTGGGTTCATGCAGTCCTCCCACCTCAGCCTCCTGAGTACCTGGGCCCACAGGTGTGCACCATCATGCCTGGCTAAGTTTTTTTTAATTTTTTTAATTTAATTTAATTTAATTTTTTTTTTTTGTAGAGACAGGATCCCACTGTTGCCCGAGTTGTCTCTGAACTCCTGGTCTAAGTAGTCCTTCCACTTTGGCCTCCTACAGTGCTAGGATTAAAAGTGTGAGCCACTGAGCACAGTGCAGACTTCTTTTTTTTAACTATCAGATTTCATAGAAATTAATAGAGCAAGAATTCATGTGTTATTTCAAAGACAGCATCAAGCCATTTATGTGCTTGATGTACCCCCTGCTCCATTTCCAAAGGCTGGCCTGAATATATTCATCAAAGCTATTTGAGAAAGCCCTGCAGGAAAGGACACTGTCAAGAGAGTTAGGAAACAACCACTTTGCATGCATCTGGTTTACATATGCAATCGTTAATTTTTGTATCTGGAACTGAGGTTCAAATTCAGCTTTTCCCTACAAAAGTGAGTTTTACACATGCATAAATGACATATCGATATTTAATATGTTTTTAAAAATTAGCTGCCATTCATCAATGGATCCCAGCAACGGATCAAGAAATGTTGTTGTGTTTATGTGTTTCTCTATTGTTCTTACACGTTTACAGCACTAGTGGGCATTGTCTATTAGCCTCATTGTACACTCAGGCAGGGTAAAGAGACATGCAGCCACAATGGTCTAACATTCCCTTTGCATACGTTCTTCAGTGGCATGATTATTTTACAGGGATTTCCCCTGAAGGCCTGATATATAAAGAATGTTTTTATATGGATTATTTGTTTTTCAGCTTTATTCATCTTTGCAATCAAATGTCAATGACAGGTGCTTTCTTTGAAGTGATTTGGGTCTGATTCTAGCTGCATCTGAATGAGTTGCTGGCTGGAGTATCAGATGCCTATAAATAACTCTCAATTAGAAAGGTACTCTCAATTCAGAAAGGGCCATGTCTCAGGTTGTTTAAGAAATCCTTTCTAAGGACAGAGAAGAGTGAGCAGTCTCTCCTTAAGTGAAGGATACATCATTCAAGCCAAATGAATATTATACACTATACAGCACATATATTTATATGCTCCTGAATGTAATTTATTACCTGACAACAAATGTGTAATTTAAAAATTATTAAAATTGTTCAAATTAAAAAGGAAGCATATAGAAATAAATTTTTAAAAATCTGTTTGCTATATCTGCCATTATGTATATATTATTGTTACTTATCTGCATTATCACCCAAACATTGCACACATCATTCAGTGAATGTATATGAACAATATTAATTTTATGATTCAAAATTGGAACTTTCATTGTAAAACAATGTTTCTAATATGATTTATTATATTCCCATTCATATCTTATATCACCACTCACATATTAATATATGCATGTATATTACCATAATATAATATTATATTAGTCTTTGTTCTTAAATGTAATATTTGCTTTCCAACCTGGAGGAAGAGAGATGGAACTATTCCAAAAAATGTCACCAAGTTCATGTTCTAACTCTGATACTTATTCAAATTTCTTTTAATTTTTTAAATTCATAATATTTAAAAATATACGGAATAGCTTTTTTTTTCTGAGGCAGGGTCTCACTCTGTCACCAAAGCTTGACTGCAATGGCATGATCATGTCTCACTGCAGCCTCCACCTCCCTAGCTGAAGAGATCCTCCCTCCTCAGCCTCTCAAGTAACTGGGGACACAGACATTTGCCACCATGACTGGCTAATTTTTGCATTTTTGTAGAGACAAGATTTTCTATGTTGTCCATGTAGTCTCAAACTCCCCGGCTCAAGGGATCTGCTTGCCTTGGCCTCTAAATATACTGGTATTACCGGTGTGAGCTACCCTCCTGGCCCACTTAATCCTTAATCTGGCATGTGTTTTATACTCTCCTGGCTCCACAGGGCTCTTTGATCTAGGGCCACTATTTATATCATTACCTAGTGCTATTGTGTGAATGTTAATGTCCCTGAAGAGTTCCTATGTCAAAGTCCCCATCCTCAAGGGGATGGTGTTAGGAGGTGTCGCCTTTGGGAAATGATGAGTTCATGAGGGTAAGCATCACAGATGCGACTACTGCCCTTATAGAAGGCACTACAGAGAGCTTCCTCGCCCCTTCTGCCATGTGAGGACACAGTGAGAAGGCTCCATCTATGAACCAGGAAGTAGGTTCGCACCAGACATAGAATCTGCCATTACTTGATCTTGGACTTTCCAGCCTCTACATCTGTGAGCAATAAATGTCTGTTGTTTAAAAGCCACCCTGTGATTATTTCTTAGAGAAGAAACAAACAAAAATGAATGGAAACATACTTTACCACCAAAATCATTAGCAATTTGGAACCCCATGCCAAATAATTGCATTCTTATACATGCTAAAAATCTCACTATATTTAGGGTGGAAAGAAAAAGTCTACTGGAGTTTTCTCACCAGGGAGAACAGAATCAGCCATTTTTTTTAAAGAAGATTCTTAATCTTTTGAGTTTTATTATTTTGGATATGTGGTATAGGAAATAAAATATTCAATATTTTTCATAATGCTTTGATATATCATTTTGATTCATTCTAAAATATTAGTAAAAGTTTATAAATTTCAAAATAATCCAAATCTCTTTACATTCCTGTTTCTGTCTCTGTCTCTCTCTCCCTCTCTCTTTCTCTCTGCCTCTCCCTCTCTTTGTCTCTTTCTCCTTTTTCTTTTTCTGTTTCTGTCTTTCTCCCCCTTTCTTTTTCTCTCTCTGTCTCTCTCTTCTCTCCCTGTCTCTTTCTTCTTTTCTCTCTCTGTCTCTTTCTCTCTCTTTCTGTCTCTGTCCCTTTCTCCCTTTCTTCTCTCTCTGTCTCTGTCTTTCTCTCTCTCTTTCTCTCTCCTTTTCTCTGTCTCTGTCTCTCTTTCCCTCTTTTCCTTTTTCTTTCTCTGTCTTGGTTTACCTGCACACACACACACCACCGCCCCCCCCACCCCGCCACACACACACACACAAGCTCTCAGCCATCTTGAGCTTAGGTTTTTTGTTTGTTTTCTTTTATTATTTCCTTCACTGTGCAACAACTTTCTGCCTCTATAATTCTGTCACATGACCTACAGCAAATTCTTGACTTGGAACATGCATTCTCCTTGACAGAGTTCTTCTCTAACTTAAATTATTCACAGCACATACAGGAATTTTAGAATAATAATTCACATATACGCACACATATAAAGAGAGGGACATAAGTTGCTGTATGTTGTTTATCTCAAACTCGGCTTTTCCCTCCTTAAATTCACTATATACTCATTTTCAGGTTTTCAGTAAAGCAGTCCTTTTCTATAATTTATCACATAAGTTTCCTAGAAACTCTTCATGCCTCACCTAAGAACAATCTAAGACATACAATATAAAGCTAAGAAATTATCTCCATTCTATATACTGGCTGGTTTCTCATTCACACCTCTTGTGTCATCCAAATTTAACACATATTACTTAAAAGATGTTACCATAAGTTCTGGCTACATAAGGCCTCTTCAGATTTTCAACACGTGGAGTTACCAGGGTCTTTGCAAGCCTATGCCTCTATGATTTTACTGTACCTTTGCCATCTATTTTATTTTAGTGTTATCTACTTGAAATATACATGACCAAGCCAATCCACTAGCCTTTAAAAGCAGTCAGTTTAATGGAAAGTGAGAGGGAAAATTAAAGTTAAATTGTTTGTTTTATATTATAGAAAGGACAATAGATATGGGGTAATATCATCATTTTGCTATCAAGTCTCAAAAAGTTCAATTCAAACTCCATTTTTGATACAGAAATTTTGGTACATATTTATGAATCAAGTTGCCATTTAAATGAATTTTCACAGTGGAAACCAAGAATGACTGCTTCCTCTCTCTCTCTCTCTTTTTAAAACAGGGTCTCACTCTATCACCCAAGCTGGAGTGCAGTGGCATGATCATAGCTCATTGCAGCCTCAACCTCTTGGGATTAAGCAATCCTCCATCCTCAACGTCCCAAGTAGCATGGACTACAGGTGTGTGCCACTATGTGTGGCTAATTTTTTATTTTTATTTTTTGTAGAGATACGGTCTCACTATGTTGACTAATAGATACGGATGGCCCAATCATTATGGAATGATCTTAAATGGGAACACATATGGGGAGAAAAGTGTGGATCTAATGAGGAAATTAGCATGTGAGTGGATAGAAAAGTGTCAGTGTTTGATAATACAGAAAAAGGTAACAAACCTAGAAGGGATTTGAAAGGTCACACAGATTTTGTGGAACCACAGACTAAACGAGGTGAAAACAATAATGACAGCTTTTGCTTGTTCACTGCTATAGGAGTGAGGCTAAGCAGAATTTCTGTGGGTTTTGACAAAGGCCATGCATATGAGGCCATCCTCATGAATTGTGTCATACTCAGTGGCCCTGGCAAAATGATAGGGCTTATACAATGAAGAGGCAAACTCATGATATTAGCATGCAGTGAAAGAAGGCAGAGTGATCTGAGGTCCCCAGATCTCACCAGGAGGGGCACAGGTGGGCATTCAGAGATCAGACAATGAAATCATAAGTTGAGGAGATTTGTTCTGGACATGACAGGATGAACTGAGTCTAGGGGTCATGACAGGCTGAGTCCTGCTTCCCCAGAACACCCAACCTCCAACACCGAACATTGGTTATCATCAGTGTCAGTAAGGGATTGACTCTTTGTGAATCAGTCTTGATCCTAGAAATCCAGGGAATTTCAATGAACAGAAAACTGAATCCTAACAGAATATAGGTGGCATACAAGCCAAGAAAAATTCCTTTGTGATTTTTCTAATCCACTTAGGGTAAAAAGTGTTTCATCATTACAAGACAATCCATGATTATAACTCAACACATAATCATTTTTATGAATGTTCTCATAGGTCCCTGTTCAATCCAAGCATTTATGATTAACTGATTTAATTAGAGTATTGTTCTCAATGCAGGTGTGCATGAATTGAACAGAGAGCAATCTGGTGACTTAATTGAAAGTTTTCCCCTTAAATAGAGTCATGGTCATTGATGAGTTCCTCTGGATTCAAATAATCTAGAAAAAGATTTCCCTTCACAGTCTGGAATTCCCACTTTAAAATAAAATTACAATGGCTTTAATGGTTTAGCTTTATTGTTCTTGATTTTACAAAGGTATGCCTTTTACAAATAACTTTAAGAGTTGGATAATCATTTTTTTTTCTTATTTAGTTGGACATTGTTATAGTAGGTAGTCAACTACATTTTACTGTCTAATAAAAACCAATCATTATATTTCTGCTTTATGTAATTTTGACATTGTCAATTCATGTGACCTACTCTCATTACTTTTGAAATAATAATACAAAAAAACTGAGAAGATAAGTGAGAAGTAAAGTCATCTTGGATAAAACTTCCAAATCATTTGACAAAGCTATAGAGCAATATTTCTTATCTCCATTTTAAAATATACTAACAGTTTTTTTTACTAAATGGACAATAACTGTGTATATATTTTAAAACAACTGTTTAGAAGCAACAATCACTAATAAAAATGTATTTAGCTATAAAGTAGAAGCATGTGAGATTACAGAACTGTTTACAAAACAAATATTTTGGTAACAGTGCCATGTTTTGGTTACTGTAGCCTCATAGTATAGTTTGGAGTCAAGTAGTATGATACCTCCAGCTTTGATCTTTTCGCTTAGGATTCTCTTGTCTATGTGGCCTCTTTCTTGATTCCATATGAAATTTAAAGTAGTTGTTTTTTCTAATTCTATGGAGTAAGTCAATAGTAGTTTGATGAGAATAGCAATGAATGTATAAATTACTCTGGGCAGTATGGCCATTTTTATGATACTTATTCTTCCTGTCCACAAGCACGGAATGTTTTTCCATTTGTTTGTGTCCTCTCTTCTTTCCTTTAGCAGCAGTTTGTAGCTCTCCTTGAAGAGGTCCTTCACATCCCTTTTTAAGTTGGAGTCCTAGGTATTTTATTCTCTTTGTAGCAATTGTGAATGGGAGTTCACTCAGGATTTGGATCTCTGATTGTCTCTTATTGGTGTACAGGAATGCTTGTGATTTTTGCACATTCACTTTGTGTCCTGATACTTTGCTGAAGTTGTTTATCAGTTTGAGGAGATTTTGGGCTGAGATGATGGGGTTTTCTAAATATATAATCATGTTTTCTGCAGAGACAATTTGACTTCCTTGCTTCCTATTTTAATACCCTTTATTTCTTTCTCTTGCCTGACTGCACTGGCCAGAACATCCAATACTATGTTGAATAGGAGTGGTGAGAGAGGGCATCCTTGTCTTGCACGGGTTTTCAAAGGAAATGCTTCCAGTTTTTGTCCATTCACTATGATATTGTACCAAAACAGATATATAGATCAGTGGACAGAACACAGGCCTCAGAAATAACACCTTACATCTACAAC
Source organism: Homo sapiens (assembly GCF_000001405.40). NCBI lineage: Eukaryota > Metazoa > Chordata > Mammalia > Primates > Hominidae > Homo > Homo sapiens. The sequence continues at coordinate 16,590,415 of NC_000024.10, forward strand.
CATCTGATCTTTGAAAAACCTGACCAAAACAAGAAATGGGGAAAGGATTCTCTATTTAATAAATATGTTTGGAAAACTGGCTAGCCATATGCAGAAAACTGAAACCAGTCCCCTTCCTTACACCTTATACAAAAATTAACTCAAGAGGGATTAAAGACTTAAACATAACACCTAAAAACTAGGACACAGGCATGTGTAACAACTTCATGACTAAAACGCCAAAAGAAATGAAAACAAAATTGACAGCAGGGATCTAATTAAACTAAAGAGCCTCTGCACAGCAAAAGAAGCTATAATGAGAGTGAACTCATTGCAGAATGGGAAGAAATTTCTGCAATCTATCCGTCTGTCAAAGGGCTATATCCAGAATCTACAAAAAACTGAAACACCTTTACAAGAAAAAAAAACAACCCCATCAAAAAGTATGCGAAGGATATAAATAGACAGTTCTCAAAAGAAGACATTTTTGCAGCCACCAAACATCTGAAAAAAAGATCATCATCACTCATCATTAGAGAAATGCAAATCAAAACCCCATTGGGATACCATCTCATGGCAGTTAGAATGGCGATCATTAAAAAGTCATGAAACAACAGATACTTGAGAGGACGTGGAGAAATAGGAACACTTTTACACTATTGGAGGGAGTGTGAATTAGTTCAACCATTGTGGAAGACAGTGTGGCGATTCCTCAAAGATCTAGAACCATAAACACCATTTGACTCAGCAATCCCATTAATGGGTATTTACCCATGAATTACAAATCATTCTGCTATAAAGACCCCTGCACACATATGTTTACTGAGGTACTATTTACATGGCAAAGACTTGGAACAAACTCAAATGTCCATCAATGATATGCTGAAAACCATCATTCTCAGCAAACTAACACAAGAACAGAAAATCAAACACCACATGTGCTCACTCATAAGTGGGAGTTGAACAATGAGAAAACATACTCACAGGGAGGGGAATATCACACAATAGGGTCTGTCAGCAGTAGGGGCCTAGGAGAAGGATAGCGTTAGGAGAAATTCCTAATGTAGATGATGTGTTGTTGGGTGCAGCAAACCATCATGGTACGCGTATACCTAGGTAACAAAACTGTACATTCTGAACATGTATCCCATAACTTAAAGTATGATTTAAAAAACCAACCAAACAAACAAAAAACAGATATTTTTTGAAATATTATAAATTCAGGAAAATGGTTACATGCTAACATGAATCACAAGTAGAAAGACATTCAGTGAGAAGATTCCTAATGTTACATGATGTTGTACTTACGTGTCACCAAATTATTTAATGGAATCTATGGTAGTCAGTAGAAATAGTTAAGCTAGTATATTGCTATTAAAATGTTGATATCAGTGAATATACATGCATACATTCACATACATGCATTAGGGAAATACATTATGCAAAACTATTTAGAGACATAAAAATGACTGTATTATTCTTTTCTCATATTGCTATAAAGAACTACCTTGACTGGGTAGTTTCTGGAAAAAAGAGGTTTAACTGACCCACAGTTTCACAGGCTACACAGGAAGCATCATTGTGGAGTTCTCAGGAAACTTACAGTCATGATAGAAGGTGTAGAGGAGCAAGCACCTTCTCTGCAACATGGCAGGAGAGAGAGAGAGAGAGAAGAGGAAGGTGCCACACACTTTTTAAACAACCAGATCTCCTGAGAACTCTATCATGACACACCACTAGGGATATATTCCTAAATCATTGGAAACCACACTCATGGTCCAATCTCCTCCCAAAAGACTCCACCTCTAACATTGAGAATTATAATTCAGCATGATATTTTAGTGTGGACACAGATAAACCACATCAGTGACTTGGCAGATTTTTTTCACTCTGATATTCAAGATGTTTGCCATCAAGGTAGCTAATGCCAGGTGTAATTATTACCAGAATTGTTTTCCTTAAAGAACTATTGAATTTTTTTTGTTAATTTATTATTATTATACTTTAAGTTTTATGGTACATGTGCATTTAAATGATGTAGTTGTGTCAAACTATAGACCAGAAATACATGTTTCTTTCAAATCAAAAAGTTTAGACATCATTTAAAGACACCATATTCTTGCAACCTGGGTCATTGGGTAAAATGTGATTTTACTAAAATACTTTTTTTTGGCCTTTTGGGCTATATATCAAGTGAAATAAAAGTGCTTTCTTAAAATAGAACAGCTTCACTCTTGGTTAAAACAAACATCTTGTTTATGTCGTAACTGTTTTGTCCATTATTTTTGCTTATTGTTTCATCGATTATTTGTCAATTGTTTTATTTAACTATTCTTCAGATGAGTAATATAATTAATATTAGAGTCTAAATTGTCTCATTATTAAAAAGGAAACATGATCTTAAAACTCTATCAGTCTTAATTAGACTTAATAGAACAAATTCATACCACATAATAACCTAAGTTATCTCTGCTTTCCAATGTTAGAGAATTTTAAAATGTAATTTGCAAGGAGGTAATGTATTATTTGTGCTACCATGGGAAACGTACTGCTAGCTTTCTGGTAAAATTGCAAATACAACACATTAAATAGATATAATATCAACAGTTCATAATTGTTAAGGACAAAGTGATGATTTAACTTCACTTTGGTTTTTAGGTTTGAATGTCAGATACAAAAACATTTTGGCCTGTGAATTTGAATTTGCTCAACTTTTGATATTTTGGGGGAATTTGAATAAATATTTCCATGAAAGTTTCAAGTAAAGTGCCACGAATCTTTGCACACCAATCACTGCCTTGTCAGGGTGCTGTGATACAGCAAGATTTATTTATTTATTTATTTATTTATTTATTATTGATACAGCAGTGCTGCTCCACTGGCTGTGTTCTTGAAAGTGAAGGCTGGTTATTCCATTCTGACACAAACTGATAAATAACACTTATGCGTTTTGCCATGGAACTTCTTCAAGAAGATAGATATGATCTCTGCATCAGCTCAAACTTACCAGCCCAAGGGAAGTTGAGACATATCTATGTTCCTGCAGAACTTGAGTCTGGTTGAAGTTCAGACACACCTGGATGAAAGTGAAATGCACTAGGATAGTGCAATAGGTGCATCATGAACTGGTAATCAACAGCCTTACCATCACCATATGTGGGGCATGTGATTATGTATGTACACTTGAATTTGGCCTTTTTAAAAAATCTGTAGACTGTGTGTGAGGGAGGAGATGTTCTCCATTTCCCTGAATCCTTAGCATTTCTCCCAAAGTAGAGAGTGGAAATCCTGGGCTCAATCAGTTCTCTTACCTCAGCCTCCCCAGTAGCTAGGACTACATACTAATCTTTAAAAAATATTTTAAAATTAGGCACACTTGGCTAATGTTTAAATATTTTTTGTAGAGACAGTGTTTCACTACATTGCCTGGACTGGCCTAGAACTCCTGGGCTCAAGTTATCTTCCCACCTTGGCATTCCACAGTCCTTGGATTACAGGTATAAGTCACTGTACCCAGCCAATATCTTAATTATAAAAAGCTAATTGCAGCTTTCTAAAAAGTGAGACAGTCATCAAGGTGATGCAATATACTAATTTTTGTATATATGTTGGTCAGTGTTTATTTTCAAAGCAATGGAATGAAAGGAAAATGGTGGCATTATCAATTAGGCATTTTTAAGGGGTAGCTTACTGATTACTTCCATTAGATTCACCTGATAGCTTTTATATATACAGTTTATTAGCTCCACTTTAGATCTGCTGTACCTGAAATACTGAAGAATGAATGGTTCACATAGGCCTGCATGCTTAAGAAGCATGATATACATGCCAAGTTTAGAGAGATGTAAATCTTAAGCAGTCACGGGTAGCATTGGAAATCAATGCCCAAAGTTCTGCATGACCTCCTTGTGTCCAGAATCAGCTCCCAAATGTGGGAAAGTGGTAGAAAACAACGTGTTGACTCTTGTGAGGGAGGTTATATCTCCTGAAGATTTGAAACTTCAAGACTCCAGCCAAGGAGACTGGAGATAAAAATTATTCCTCTAAACCAGGAAGGGAAAACAGAGTAGCAAGCAAATGTAAGGTCTTGGAAAATACAGATGAAAGGGCAGTATTTTATGGGAAGTTTCTCTAGAGGGAGTTGTGATTTGCATCAGCCAGGCACACAAAGTTGGAAAAGATCATGTCAACATGAACTTAAACTTGAAGTTAAGCAGAATTACCAGGGACTTTATGGAATTTAGGATAAAGAAGGATGGGTTAAAAAGTCTGTAATCAGATGCAAGACCACTAAGGACCATTCTTACTCCTGTTGCAGGGTGGGTGTGATACATACATGGGAAGATGGCAGTGGGAATATGGAGGGTTCCACCTCATGTTTCAGATCTGTAGTGAAGAGTTTCCTGTTTAATCTATCAAAATTGTGCATGACAAAAATCAGTGAGTCTTGATGGTGGGCACCTATAGTCTCAGCTACTTGGGAGGCTAAGGTGAGAATATTGCTAGATTCCAGGAGGTCAAGGTTGCAGTGAGCCAATATCATGTCATTGCAGTCCAACATGAGCAACAGAGAAAGACCCTTTCTCAAAAAAAAAAAGGGGGGGTAGAGGGGTTCCCAAAAAACATTTTTTTTCTTAATGGGCAAAGAAAAACTGAGTTAAGATCTTGCTCCTATAGAAGAGGTAGGCTTCAAAATTTACTTTACTTGGCAGCTTTTTCCCGGTAGGAAAGACAGCTTTATGAGGCAAAAAGGTCATTTACATAAAAATAAACCTGGGGCCAGCCACGGTGGCTCACACCTGTAATCCTTACAGGTGAAGCCAGCTGGACTTCCTGGGTCAAGTGGGGACTGGGAGAACTTTTATGTCTAGCTAAAGGATTGTAAAGGCATCAATCAACACTCCATAAACATGCACCAATCAGCACTCTGTTTCTGGCTAAAGGATTGTAAATGCACCAATCAGCTTGCTGTAAAAATGCACCATTTAGCACTGTTTAGCTAAAGGATTGTAAATGCAGCAATCAGCACTCTGTAAAAATGCACCAATCAGCACTCTATGTTTAGCTAAAGGATTGTAAACGCACCAATCAGCACTCTGTATAATAGACCAGTCAGTGCTCTGTAAAATGGACCAATCAGCAGGCTGTGGGCGGGGCCAAATAAGGGAATAAAAGCTGGCCAGCGGAGCCAGCAGCAGCAGCCTGCTGTGGTCCACTTCCATTCTGTGGGAGCTTTGTACTTTCACTCTTCACAATAAATCTTGCTGCTGCTCACTCTTTGGGTCTGCACTACTTTTATGAGCTGTAACACTCACCGCCAGGGTCTGCGGCTTCATTCCTGAAGTCAGTGAGACCACGAACCCACCGGGAGGAACCAGCAATGCCAGACATGCCACCTTGAAGACTTGCTCCTCCCTGTCTCTGCCATTATTGTGAGGCCTCTCCAGCCATGTGGAACTGTGAGTCCATAAATCTCTTTCCTGTATGTGTATGTGTGTGTGTATGTGTGTATATATATATATATGAAACCATGATAAGTCAGTGAGACCAGGAACCCACTGGGAGGAAGAAACTCCAGACACATCTCAACAGCTGAAGGAACAAACTCCAGACACACCATCTTTAAGAGCTATAGCACTCACAACGAAAGTCCATGGCTTCATTCTTGAAGTCAGCAAGACCAAGAACCCATCTGAAGGAACCAACTCTGGACACAATCCCAGTGCTTTGGAAGGCCCAGGCAGGTGGATCACCTGAGGTCAGAAGTTCAATACCAGCCTGGTCAACATGGTGAAACCCTGTCTTTACTAAATATACAAAAATTAGCCAGGCATGATGGCGGGGACCTATAATCCCAGCTACTCAGGAGGCTGAGGCAGAATTGCTTGAATCCACGAGGCGGAGGTTGCAGTGAGCCCAGATTGTGACATTGCGATTCAACCTGGGCAACAAGAGCAAAACTTCGTCTCAAAAAACAAACAAACTAAAAACCCGTCAACAATATCCTTGAATATGAAAGAGGACAGAGTTTTTTATTTGAAAGACATAACCTGGTACTCTATTGAGAAAAATAACTCTGTAACTTTACCATGAAACAACAAAAAAAAATTTGATTCAATTGCACTACTTAGCATCTCTTGCAATTATAAAAGCATCACTATTAAGATATTGTGTCTTTATCACATGATGTACTTTCTTTGACGTGTCTGTGGCTATTGCAGACTTAACACTGACATTTTATATTGTAAATTGTGCTTTAGTATAGTAGCATAGTTGTAGCAATGCAATGAAATATAATTTTTTTAATGGACTTTTCCCAAAAGTCCATTTAAGTGTACTTTTTCTCAAAAAAGAAAGTGGGGAGAGGGGTGTCGAAAAGGATTGTTTTTTTCTTAATGGGCAGGGAAAGATGGGCTTAAGTTCTTGCTCCCGTAGAAGAGGTAGAGGAATAAGGAATAGAAAAGAAGCTTCAAAATTTATCTTATATGGCAGGTTTTTCTGGGTAGGAAAGAGAGCTTCATGATACACACTGGTCATTTACTCAAAAATAACAGGCTGGGCACCGTGGCTCACGCCTGTAATCCCAGCACTTGTGGAGGGTGAGGCATGTGGATCACGAGGTCAGGAGATCCAGACTATTCTGGATAACATGGTGAAACCTCGTCTCTACTAAAAATACAAAATATGTGTGTGTGTATGTATATATATATACACACACAGATATACACATATATATACACACATATGCACCCATACATATATACACACATGCATACATAGATATACACAAATACATACATATACATATATACACACACGCACATATATATGTATATATCCGGGCGTGGTGTGGGCACCTGTAAGTCCCAGCTACTCGGGAGGCTGAGGCAGGAGAATGGCTGAGGCAGGAGAATGGCTAAGGCAGGAGAATGGAGTGAACAAGGGAGATGAAGCTTGCAGTGAGCCGATATCGTGCCACTACACTCCAGCCTGGGTGACAGAGCGAGACTCCGTCTCAAAAAAAAAATAAAAATAGAAAGAAAATAACGAACCCATCAAATAGTATCCTTCCATATGAAAGAGGATTATACATACAGAGTCTTTGATTCAAAAGAAATCACCTGGTATTGAGATAAATAACTCTGTACTTTTACCGTGAAAAACAAAACAAAACAAAATGTTGCAATTGTACTATTTAGCATCTCTTGCAGTTACAAAACAATCACTATTTTGTGTCTTTATCACATGATGGACTGTCTTTGAAGTGTTTATGGCTATCGCAGAATTCACACTTACTTGTTATATTGTAAATTGTGCTTTGGGATAGTAGTATACTTGTAGCAATGCAATGAAATATAATGGTTTTTTGTTTTTGTTTTGTTTTGTTTGAGACAGAATCTCCCTCTCTCACCCAGGCTGGACTGCAATGGCACCATCTTGGCTCACTGCAACCTCCAACTCCAGGCTTCAAGGGATTCTCCTGCCTCAGCTTCTCAAGTCACTGAGATTACAGGCACGTGCCACCATGACGCTAGTTTTTGTTGTTGTTGTTGTTATTTTTAGTAGAGATGGGGTTTCACCATGCTGGCGAGGCTGGTCTCGAACTCCTGACCTCAAGAGATCTTCCCCTCTCACCCTCCCAAAGTGCTGGGATTACAGGCGTGAGCCGTCGTGCCTGCCCAAAATGTAATTTTTTTTTAAATGGACTTTTGTCTTTGTGGGTTTTTTTCTCTTTTTTTAAATTATATTTTAAGTTTTAGAGTACATGTGCACAATGTGCAGGTTAGTTACGTATGTATACATGTGCCATGCTGGTGTGCTGCATCCAGTCACTCGTCATTTAGCATTAGGTATATCTCCTAATGCTATCCCTCCCCCCTCCCCCCACCCTACAATAGGCCTCCGTGTGTGATGTTCCCCTTCCTGTGTCCCTGTGTTCTCATTGTTCAATTCCCAGTTATGAGTGAGAACATGCGGTGTTTGGTATTTTGTCCTTGCGATAGTTTGCTGAGAATGATGGTTTCCAGCTTCATCCATGTCCCTACAAAGGACATGAACTCATAATTTTTTATGGCTGCATAGCATTCTATGGTATATGTGTGTCACATTTTCTTAATCCAGTTTATCATTTTTGGAAATTTGGGTTGGTTCCAAGTCTTTGCTATTGTGAATAGTGCCGCAATAAACATACGTGTGCATGTGTCTTTGTAGCAGCATACTTTATAATACTTTGGATATTTACCCAGTAATGGGAGCGCTGGGTCAAATGGTATTTCTACTTCTAGATCCCTGAGGAATCGCCACACTGACTTCCGAAATGGTTGAACTAGTTTACAGTCCCACCAACAGTGTAAAAGTGTTCCTATTTCTCCACATCCTCCCCAGCATCTGTTGTTTACTGACTTTTTAATGATCGCCATTCTAACTGGTGTGAGATGGTATCTCATTGTGGTTTTGATTTGCATTTCTGCGATGGCCATTCTTTTTCTTTGCAGAAAACTGTTTCTTTGTAAGAAAAATATTAATATGTACAAATCATCTTGTCAGAGTCCTCTCTGTGAGCTTCAAATAAAATAAAGCAATCTTTCTCTGTTGTTTTCTTTGACCTAAAAATATGCAAGGAGATAGAATTATCATCCTAAGTACCTTGTATCCTGTAAAGGAATGATATGTAGGACAATACTAGTTGTTTTTTAAAAATAGTGGAATGTGATGATTCATAATCTGGGAATTCATGATCTATTTCGGAGTTTGTTGAGGATAACTATAAATGCAATAAACAAGATGAAAATGAGAGGAATCAACACCTAATATTAACAAGATGCACTGATATTGCTAGAGCATTTGCAATCATATATATGATGAATATAAATGTCATAGACATATATACATATATATTCGTAATATATGTGACTTCCAAAGGGTCTAGCAATAATATGTATACAAATGTATACATTTCTATGACACATGCATTTGTCTGTTTCACCTGTAAAAGTATATGAATATACACACATATATATCTATGTATTAATTTATGGACATGTATATTCATTTATATTTATGTATAATTATATAGTAAGATATAATTTTATTTAGGCAACATATTCTATATTTATATATATAATTGCATACAATAAAATTATACATATTAGAGACAATTAAAATTATATTAAAATATAAATTATATATTTGATAAATATAATACAGATATTATATATTTACAGAAATACATATGTAATTCTGTTATAAAATCCTATATAAGTAATTTTATTACTTATATAAATTAAGTATAAATATATTTTATATGTAAGTATAAATATATAATTATTTACATTTCTGGTGTCAAACACCTGAGCTCAAGTGAAGCTCACCTCCCACTTTAGCCTTCCAAACTGCTAGGATTACAGGCCTGAGCCACAGCATCCAGCCTGGAGGTTCTGTACTGCTGCATGTATTTTACCCTACCATTTTTTCACAAAGACATTCAGTAGGGTTCATCTCTTTGGGATCAATGTTCAGGTGCTACTTAGATTCAGCCAATATGAGAGTAGAAGCCCAGCCTACATCTTAAGTCAAAATTGCACATCCTAGCAAAAGTTATAGTGTGTGTTAGGTGCCTGGTCAGTCACATGGTGGAACTTTTTTGGATCATTCATTGGTAGTGACAAGCCTGGTGATTGGAGAATCAGCTAAATGACTATCTGGACACACATATCCAATAACATCCTCTTTTCTATGATCAATGAAGACATTTACCATAGGAATGAAGGAGACCAAATTACCATTTTCTACATTCATTCATAAACTCACAATGCAAACTCCATGGAATAGTGTCTCTTCTTTTGCTCTTAAAAATTTCTATCTTCAAATCCCAACTTCTTGACTGTGTCTGACTTCTGGCTACATACATTAGGTGAAATTGTATTAGTATGTCAATGTTCCATTTGCATCCTGGTTCACCACTTTCTCATTTTATGACTTTGATCATAACCACTCTAAAATAGCATGTAACAGCATTAGTCTTCTAAATTTTTTTCCAGAATACTAAGTAGACAATAATTTTAAAATGCACACAGTCACTTGAAAAAATAATAGAAATTACAAATAGTATATATATATTTATATATATACACACATATACATACATATATCAATGATATGATTCATATCATATATGAATACATACATATATGAATCAAAGATACATATATTTCATATTTCATATATAGTAGTACACATACATGTCCAAAAATATACAGGTCAATGGGAGAATTTCAGGTGCGATAAACTCAAGAGCACATTATCTGTAAGTGTAATTTATCAACAATTTGACTCTTTAAGTTACAAAAAAGAATGAGTCTGCCCTCTGCTGTGAACTAACTAGAAGCAAAAAGTTTATAGATATTAAAAAATAAACCTATATGGGCCTGGCGCAGTGGCTCAAGCCTGTAATCCCAGCACTTTGGGAGGCCGAGGCGGGCAGATCACGAGGTCAGGAGATTGAGACCACGGTGAAACCCTGTCTCTACTAAAAATACAAAAAATTAGCCGGGCGTGGTGGCGGGTGCCTATAGTCCCAGCTACTCGGAGAGGCTGAGGCAGGAGAATGGTGTGGACCCGGGAGGCGGAGCTTGCAGTGAGCCGAGATCGCGCCATTGCACTCCAGCCTGGGTGACAGAGCGAGACTCCGTCTCAAAAAAACAAACAACAAGAAAAAAAGAATAAACCTATGTAAACCATGTAAATTTGTGTAATTATAACAGATTTAAATATTTAATGTTTAAAATATTGACATATTTTTAATGACCTGGTTTTAGAACAGATAGGCACATTCACATGAGCACCGAGAAGAAAAGACCAAAGAAAATACACAACACTGATTTATTCCACCACAAGCTAGTGGAATATTTGTAGACTGCACCATCCAGTCTCATTGGCCATCACTGGGTTGAAGTCTTATCCAAACCTCGTCATGGTGGGGAAGTCAAAGATTTATGCACCTGGCCCGCCAGGTTGTCCTGCATTCACCAACAGGATGCATCTTACCTTCTTGGAAAATAAACTGGTAATTCCCAAATTGCATAACCATTTGTACTTGAAGACATTCCAAGCTTAACGATGAGAGTTTGGTGACAAACTCTTAGTGCGGGTTGCCACTATGACAGCTGAAGCAGAATAAACTTGAAATTGTCTGAAAATATGGCACAGAAAAAGATTTCAGAAGAATTCTTTAAAAGTGTAATATACATCCACTGGCTGAAGAGATTAAGCCCTTTCTCTGGGCTAAAATATACATGAAAAATACCTCTCTCGTGCATTTGAGTAGATCAGGGAAGCACATTTATACGTCTTCCCAGATCACAAAACTCTATATTCCCAAAGTAACATAATCATTAAACTCTAGAGTCACATACACTGTGAGTCATCAGTAAGTCAGGGTAGAGTATAAAAATTCCTTCAAATGAGGAATTCTTATTCCTGTCAACCATATGACTTCACACAGGGCTTTACAACTTGTGTTATATCTCCCTGCATCTGTAAAATGGTTGCATTTATAACTCAAAATTCAATGAAGGAAGGTATTAAAAATCTGGAGAGGTTTTCAAAAATAACATCTAAGCAGTGCAGTACCTGCAAGGAATTAACATTCTTCTTCTGCTGGACCATACAGAAAGAACTTCATGGATATTCAAGGGTATAGAGTTCTATATCCTTATATTGAATAACCTCAGATCATTGTTTCTAAAATGCCTTTTCTGCCTTTCCACATAACTCAGTTGACACATATCCATTATATGCTTTTTTATTTAATTTTTTTTACTCTTAAGGAGTTTTTCTATACTTTTTTTTTGGCTTAGGTCCTAAGTGTGGCCACATAGAGAAAGTAAATTATTAATAACTCAGAGGCTTTCAATTACATTCTTGTCTTGGTTTGTAGCTGACTGCATTAGGAATTATTTATAGAAAATCAGATCTTGAACAAAGTGAAATGTTGCTACTGAGACATGTGTCACACATTCCAGTCATTGCTACTGGAAAATGATTATATACTTCATTGTATTCTCAGTCAATATTTTCAAAATGTAGCTTTGCATCAAAGATGAAAGAATTACTCAAGCTATCAAATATTGAACTTTTACTAAAACACACAAAGTAGAACATGCAAATAAATTTGGCTGAAGATAAACATAAGACACATTTTTTACAATATATGTCATTGCTAAATGCAGAGAAAAACAATTTTAAAAGTGCACAAAGATTCAAAGCTTCAAGGAAAACAACTCTGAAGATCTAAGATTTCTTGAATGCTCTCTAGTATTCACTTACATTGCTGAAAATCCCCAGAGTTTCTGAGTAATAAAACTTAAACTTCTCTTAGAAAGTCTCTTTTAAGCCTTTGTTAGATTGGAAACAGGTGTATATGACTGTTAAAAATTATATTCTGTGGATAGAGAGTCCATTTGGTTTGTAACTACCATCGACTTTATTCGTGTAATTTTACTTGATTCAAACACTTAACATGGTCAAAGAGGACTATTTAAGTGGATTTATTTTGTGCACCACTTGCAGATTTGCAGATGAGTTTGTAGATATTTTTTCAGTTATACTAAAAAAGCTGCAATACTTCAAATTTGTAATTCTGGAACAAGATGACATAGATGCACTTCTGCCTGTTTCCATTTTAAGTACAGACATAAAACCTGCATATTAATATAAAGCTAGTATAAGAGGTCCCTGACAGGTGAAGAGAAGAAAAAAGACCTGAGAACCTGAGGAAAATCATGGGAATGAGTTCTCTGGGTTTTCTGTTATCCAGCATATACCACAGATGCACTGTGGCTTCCGCTCCACCCCCATTAGCAAAGACCAAGCTTCAAGCATAAACTTCCAACATTGCCCATCTGTAATATCCAGGTGGATACCAGGCCAGACTAGCTGGTCTGGACTTTGATTTTACCAGGCAGAACCAAGACAACAATAATGACTGATTTTTTTGTATCAACTTGACTGAGTCACAGGGCATGGAGATATTTGGGAAATCATTATTCTGAATATGTCTGCAAGATGGGTACTTGGATGAGATTCCCATCTGAATTCTTTTTTTATTCTTTCAATTATGTATTTATTTATTTATTATTTGAGACAGAGTCTCACTCTTGTCTCCCAAGCTGGAGTGCAATGGGGTGATCTTGGCTCATTGCAACCTCCATTTTGTGGGTTCAAGCGATTCTCCTGCCTCAGCCTCCAGAATAGGTGGGATCACAGGTGCCTGCCACCAAGCCCAGCTAATTTTTGTAGTTTTAGTAGAGATGGGGTTTCACCATGTTGCCCAGGCTAGTCTCAAACTCCTGAGCTGAGATCATCCAACCTGTCCCAAAGTCCTGGGATTACAGGTGTGAGCCACTGCACCTGGCTTCCCATTTGAATTCATACACTGCAAAAAGTGGATTGACCCCTCCTGTTGGTGGGTCCTCTACAATCTATGAAAGCCTGGAATAGGAAACAAAGATGGAGTAAGAGGAAACCTCTCCTGCCTGATTGAGCTGAAACATCAGGATTCTCCTGTCTTTAAACTGGCACCTACATCATGGGCTTTCCTGGGTCTTGAGTCTCCAGTGTGAATCCCACACTGTCAGCTCTCCTGGGTCTTGGATTTTCTGACTCAGATTGGAATTCACACTCAAAGCTCTTCTGGGTCTCAGGTCTTCTGACTCAGACTGGAATTCACACCATTAGCTCTCCTGGCCTTACGCCTTCAGACTCAGATCGGACTTCACATGATCAGGACTCCTGGGTCTCAGGTCTTCAGACTCAGACTGGAAGTCATACCCTCAGTTATCCTGCATCTCGGGCCTTCAGACTCAGACTAGAACTCATGCCATCAACTCTCTTGAGTCTCAGGCCTTCACACTCAGACTGGACTTCACATCATCAGCTTTCCTGGGCCTTGGGCCTTCAGACCCAGATTAGAACTTACACCATCAGCTCTCATTGGCCTCAGGCCTTCAGACTCAGACTTGAACTCACACCATTTGCTCTTCTGGGTCTTGGGCCTTCAGACTCAGATAGGAGCTCACACCATCAGCTGTCCTGGGTCTCTGGCCTTTAGTCTCAGACTAGAACTTAGACCACCAGCTCTCCTGAATCTCCCATTGCTGCCTCCATATGTTAGGAACTCTCATATTCAATTTCTGAGCCAGTTTCTCTTTATAAATCTCTTTGAGCTGGGTGCCATGGTTTACGCCTCTAATTCCAACACATTGGGAGTCCAAGTGTGTGGATCACAAGGTCAGCAGTTCAAGACCAGCCTGGCCAACATGGTGAAACCCCATCTCTGCTAAAAATACAAAAAATTAGCCAGGTGTTGTGGCACGAGCCTGTAATCCCATCTTCTTTGGAGGCTGAGGAGAATAACTGCTTGAATCCAGGAGGCAGAGGTTGCAGTGCACCAAGATCGTGCCACAGCACTCAAGCCTGGGTGACACAGCAAGACTCTGTCTAAAAATAAATAAGTAAATACATAAATAAATCTATTTGAATCTATCTATGTGTCTATCTATCTTCTATGGATGCTTTCTCAGAGAACACTGGCTAATACAAACTGTCTCTCCAACCCCACTAGAGTGGTGTCAAAAGACACCCAGTGGAGTTTTAGGGTGAGAAGTTTACCTGTTTCCCATTGTGGTGTCATTGCAGTCATTATGAGGCATCTGTTTACCCTCCTTGCAATCCCACACTGGACTTACCAACATGGATCACAGAGATTATAGGGAAAATGTGGACTTCCACCCCCTCTTCCCTGTAGTGAGGTGGCACTCCACTTATCCTGTGGGCATAATCTTAGAAGAGGTCTCCACAAAAAAAAATAATAATTACACAATGTGCCAAATCTCAAACATAATCCTAAATGGCCAGGATACAACTGAGAATCACTGTCCAATCACTGTCCATGCTGAAACATAACATTCCTTCAATGAGTAATTAAAAACTATTGAGGCAGATGAACAGATAGAAAGTTTCAGATAATTAATAGAAGACATAGAGAAGAACAAAAATTTGTTAGCACTAACAAATATTGTAACTGAATAAAAGATTACCAGATAGGCTTAAGAGCAGAATGGATAGAACAGAGGAAAGATAAGTGAATATGAAGATATGATAGAAATTGTGGCTGGGAGCATTGGCTCATGTTTGTAATCTCTGCACTTTGGGAGGGTGCCACCTTGTAGCAGGTGGATCACAAAGTCAAGAGATCGAGACCATTCTGGCCAACATGGTGAAACCCTGTCTCTACTAAAAATACAAAAATTAGCTGGGTGTGGTAGCACGCACCTGTGGTCCCAACTACTTGGGAGGCTGAGGCAGGATAATCGCTTGAACCCGGGAGGTAGAGGTTGCAGTGAGCCAAGATTGTACCACTGCACTCCAGCCTGGTGAGAGAGTAAGACTCTGTATCAAAAAGAAAAAAAGAAAAAAAAAAAGAAATTGTTTTAACCTAATTTAAATAGCAGAAAATAATAGATAGAAAATTATGTATAGTGTTACAGTGACCTAACTTCATGTGACTGGAATCCCAGAAGGAAAGGGGAAATCATTTGTGCTAAAAAAAAAAAAAAAACTGAAAAAGTTTCCTAATTTAGCAAAAGTAACAAATACACAAATTGAACAAACTGAAATCAAACCCATAATAAACAGAAAGACATTCACACCCATTATTCCTTATTTAATTAAAACATTATCTAGTAAAACTTCTAGGTAATATTGACCTACACATGTGAATGGTGAATGAGTATAATATAATATAAATTCATGCATTATAAGGGGAGTATATGCGGTGCGGGGTGAATAATACAACTTCCAGCATGAGAATGTCAGGGCAAGGAACTCAGTGAAATAATAAAGCAAGTAGACTTCAAACAACCCCAATTAAAAAAAAAAAACAGAAACAAAAAAATTAAGATATTTAGAAATTCACAGTATAAGAGAAGAGAAAAAAAGTCCAACTCTTTAAGGATAATACTCAATGTAAAGGAAAGCAGTGTGAATGCTATCTAATTAAAGATAAAGACTGTTGAGCAGAATTTAAACATTTTTAAATCAGTTTTTCACTTTACAAAATAGACAAATCATGAAGACATAAATATATAAACAAAAAATCATGATTTCTGGGGGACACAAACATTTTATGCACAACACTATCATAATTGCCATAAAAGGTAACCTAATCAAAGAGGTAATCTTATTACATTTGGCAGTCTACAGGTCGGAGAAAGTCAAAAGTCCCGCTCACACTGGGAGGAAATTAAAGAAAAGTGTGAAGACCAAGAGTTAGGTTCATGGAGGCCACACTGGAGTCTGTTCACCACAAATAATAATTCAATTATTCTGTCTATCACCTATCTATCTAATCATCTTTGTATCTATCTATCTATCTATCTATCTATCTATCTTCCATCATCCATCCATTTCTTATTTTTCTACCTTTCCATCCATAGCTATCTATCTATCCATCTATTTATCTACCTACCTACCTATCCACCTGCCATCTCTATTTATCTTGCATATACTTATCCATTTATTTATTCATCCATCTCTTTCTTTCTCTCCATCCATATCTATCTATCTATCTATCTATCTATCTATCTATCTATCTATCTATCTATCTAATCTATCATCTATCAATCCACCCACTATCTCCATTTATCTTGCATGTACTTATTCATTTATCTATCCTTCCATCTCTATCTTTCTCTCTCTCTATTTCTCTGTCTCTCTCTCTGTCTATCTATCTATCTGTTGACCTATTCATCTCTATTTTTCTATTCAGGTATTTATCTATTCATTCAGCTATGCATTTATCTCTATCTTTCTATCTATGTATTTATCTATGTCTATTTATCATGTATTTATTTATCTATCCCTCGTCGATGTAATTTTAAAAACAACTACATAAGCCAGAAAATCATAACTGTATTTAGATCAGTAGATTTTTAATATGTGTTCATTTTTAATGTTAAAAACATATTATGGTCCTTCTTTTAGAATATTTTGACTTTATTGAAAATAACATATTTATGTTTATTTAATAAACATTTTGTGTAGTGTGTTGTCTTTAGAAATAAGGTGGCATTATTGATTCTGTCTTTTCAGATATTGTTAAAATCCTAATCACAAATCATTTGTTTGGGGATATAGCCAGCTGTATGTCATAACAGTGAGAGGAAAATGCATACAGGGCTCATAAAATGCTTCTAAAAAGCCTTTAAAAGCTTTTATAGTTATAATGTGTACAAGTTGGTTGAAAGAAAGCCAATATTCTAAAAAAGTGGTCTCCAGCATTTATGGCACCGGGGTCAAGTTTCTGGGAAGACAATTTTTTCCTGGACTAGGAGTTGGGGGAGATGTTTATGGGATGATTCGAGTGTATTACCTTTATTCTGCACTTTATTTTTATTATTATTCCATTGTAATACAATGAAATAATTATTCAGCTCTCCATAATGTAGCATCCATGGGAAACCTGAGCTTGTTTTCGGCAACTAGGCAGTCCCATCTGGGGGTGATAGGAGACAGTGAGAAATCATCAGGCATTAGATTCTCATAACGAGCACACAGCACATGATGGGGTTTGAACTTTTATGGGAATCGAATGACTCTGCTGATCTGACAGGAGGTGGAAGTTAGGCAGTAATAATTGGAATGGGGAGGGCTGTAAATACAGATGAAGCTTTGCTTACTCATCCACCTCTCACCTGCTGCTGTGACACCTGATTTTTTGTTTTTGTTGTTTGTTTGTTTGTTTGTTTTTGTTTTGAGACAGATTCTCGCTTGGTTGCCTATGCTGGAGTAAAGTGCCATGATCTTTGCTCATTGCAACCTCTGCCTCCTGAGTTCAAGTGATTCTCCTACTTCAGGTTCTCAAACCAATGAGATTACAGGCACCTGCCACCACACCTGGCTAATTTTTGTATTTTTAGTAAGGATGGGGTATTACCATGTTGGCTAGGCAGTCTTGAACTCCTGACCTAAAGTGATTTGCTTCCTTAGCCTCCCAAAGTGCTGAGATTACAGGTGTGAGTAACTACCTGGCCGTGGCCTGCTTTTTAACAGACCACAGACTGATACCAGTCCATGACCTAGGGGTTGGGGACGCCTGCTCTAATGGAATCACCAGAAAATATTAAACAAAAGTCCATAAGTTAGCCATAGTTTTATGATTCAAAAGGTTTGTGGCCACAATATTAATAAAATGAGCAAAATATTAATGATGAGGAGGAAAACCCTATTATATAATCAGGAAAATGATTCACAGGTTATCACATGATTTTCATGAAGATAAAGCAACTACACTTGAAACTTCAAGTTAGACCATTCCATTTCAAAAACATGCCTAGACTTCTGATATGTTCAAGCATTCCCCATATCTCCACTACCTCAGCCAGCTGTTAGCTCAGAGATTAACACCACAAACAGTAAAACTATTGTGTACAAATGTCTACATGTCCTGAGAGCAATTTCTAGCACTTCCACTTCTGTGGCCAGCATGTAAATGCCAAATTGTGATGCAATCCTATTTTAACAGCATAGTCTTCTTAAACACCTGTGTGTGAAATTTCTGTGTATGTGTAATTAGGATCTGTAAAGGGAGCTAGAAGAGGCCAATTTAATAAAAATGACAAATTGAAAGAAGTAACTAAAGAGGAAGACACAACTATGCTGTAGGGCTCCTACAAACTTTTTACTAGTCCCTGCTTGAGAAATCCTGAAGGACTCGTTTATAGCCTCCTTTCTTAATGCATTAGCAGCCACTTTAGCTTCTGACAGTAGAAATTGAAAGAATCTCCACAGAATCACTTCATTTTCCTCATTCTCTGTGTCTGGTTTGGCTTCATTTAGAGACTATTAACAAATATCATGTTCCTCTTTTATGCCCTCTCACTGCAGAAACTAATGAAGCAGATTAGTTACTCTGGGAACACTGATATTGGCTCAGACAAAGCTCAGTGCCGTCGACGAATGCAGCACAAAGTTAATTTGGGTCAGTGTTAGAAATATACATGGCAGTTTTGGAAACTTAGGCATTCATCATGACCATTGGAGCCATAGGTAATATAATTTAAATGAAGCAAATGTGGCTGCTTTGCTTATTCGTTAGCAGGGTAGCTAGGTAGATCATTTAATATTGCATTATTTTTGAAATACACAATGAGGGCTTAGACCTAGAAAACTGGAAATCTATCTGCAGGAATGAATACAATCAGAATGTATGGCACCACAAAACTCATATATGTAGCCAGTCTGTGAATACCTTAATTTGCTTGGTACCAGTCTATAAACTACATAAAAATAAAAAATAAAAAGAACAATAAACACAGTTTGAAACATTTAACCTTGAAGAATCATCTTTGGAAAATGCTCTAGAAAATCCACAGTATAATATGAACTCAATGATTTGTAAGCACTTGTAAGGGCTCCAGCACACATGCGACATTGTCTTTCATCATATTTTCTGTGAATCTTGACAACTTCACAGTGATTCCCTGATAGCAACACTTTTCTGCTAGAAGAATGCCCTTGAAAGATATGACAGCAAGTATGCCTGTAACAACTGCCCAGGACAGACCATATTGCTCACGGTGGGAGTGGACAGTTAGAAGATAACAGACTAGAAAATCATATTTAACAGTTCTATGTAAAGATTAGAAACATCATCGTCTAAGTAGAGGGGGGTCCCTGGACATGCCACTAGCAACTATCATCTCCAGAATTTTTTCACAATCTCTTATGGTATCTGTGTCCATTACACTTTATTATGATTTGACTTACATATCTCAAAATTTATATGCTGAAGCCCTGCCCACCCCCACTTCCCAGTATCTTAGAATATGACCATATTTTTAAATAAAGTTATTACAGATTTACTTAAGTTAGCATTAGGTCATATTAGAATAAAATGGATCCTTAATCCAGTGTGACCAGTGTCTTTATGAAAAGGAAACGTTTGAACTCATGGGGAGAAGATCAAGTAAGACAGAAGCAGAGATTGGATTTATGCCACCAAGAAACTACCAGAAACTAAGAAAAAGGCTGGATCAGTTATTGACCTCACACTTTCAGCAAGAGCACATTCCTAGTCTCACATTTCTGGCCCCCAAAAACTTTATGGCAATAAATTTATTTTGCTTAAGCCATTCAAAGGGTGACATGGTGCTATGGCAATTCTAACACATGCAGCCCTTTTTTTGTTGATTGTTTAGGTGCAATAATTAGAATACACATTTACTACCTTAGGTAGCAAGACATTTTCTTATCCAATATTAGAAAGTTGAGCATATTTCCTGGGATATCAGAAAGTCAGGTCTTAAAGCTTATGCAGCCGGAAAAAGAAATTAAGCAACATTTTGTGAGCTTTTATAGGGCAAATGGCAGGTTTCCTACCACCTTTTAGTCTTGCCTTTGGAAAATAGTAATTCACTTCTGAAACCAAATCTCCCTCTATACTGTCAAGTTTCACCAGAAATTGGGTCATCTATTGCACACCCAACATGCAAGGGAGTGAGGACACCATCTGACTTCTACATTGTGAGTCAGCTCAGACCTGGAGTAATTCATAATCCAGGCAGACCGTTTTGATTGGAAGGCCACAGAGAACAAAGATCCACAAACATGTCTGAAATTTATAACATTAAAGATATTATTTTGTGATTACTTCATCTTTTTGTCTCATATACATAGAAAATCAATGCTGTACCATCATAGTTTCAGCCACTGGGAATCCAAGATGAACAAGACAGTTGCATTTCTGTTCTTCGTGGAGCTTATATTCTAGTAAGGAAAATTATTTTAAGACATTAAAATATGTTCTCACTCACAAGTAGGAGCTAAGCTGTGAGGGTGCAAAGCCATAAGAATGACCCAATGGACTTTGGGGACTCAGGGAGAAAGGGTGGGAAGGGGGTGAGGTAAAAAAGACAACATATTGGGTTCAGTATATACTGCTCCAGTGATGGGTATACAAAAATCTCACAAATCACTGTTAAAGAACTTCCTCATGTAGTCAAATACCACCAGTTACCCAAAAGCTTATGGAATTTTTTTAAATAAAATATATTAAAATAGAATTACAGTTATGACTAATGCTTTCAAGGATAAGTACAACTGGTGTCTATGTGCAGAGTTATGTTAAGTTGTTGGTCACACAGAGGATGGGTGATTTGAAGGAAAAGCCCACAGGTAGAGTTATGTGAGTTCACAGCTAGTGCAGAACACATTGTACAGGGAAAAAGGAAAATTGAAATCAAGGTCTGCTCTGCAAGCTCTGCCCTGGTACATTGTTGTGTCTGCCCCAACTGAGGTACGCTGTTTCCTAATAAGCACTATGCCTTGCATTGACTAAGGGGAGTACTGTGTGCAGGTTGTGCTGAGGCTATACAAAGAAGAAAAGGTGAAAAGGAGAGACAGAAAGAATGCTGTTTACATTGAGAGCAAAAAGATGAAGAGATTCACCCTGAGGTCTAATTCTGATTTTCCAGTCTGTTCACTCAAATTTTCTCTGCACCCTGTATGAGTACATATGGAACTTATGATGGTGATCAGATGTACTCTTTTTCTTCTTTTTTTTTTTTTTTTTTTCAGACAGAGTCATGCTCCGTTACCCAGGCTGGAGTGCAATGGCGCGATCTCAGCTCACTGAAACCTCTGCCTCCCGGATTCAAGCTATTCTCCTGCTTCACCCTCCCAAATGGCTGGGTTACAGGCACTAACTGACACCAGGTAATTTTGTATTTTTAGTAGAGTCAGGGTTTTGCCACGTTAGCCAATGTGGTCTCAAACTCCTGACCTCAAGTGATACACCTGCCTTGGCCTCCCAAAGTGCTGAAATTACAGGTATGATCTACCACACCCAGCTAGGGTGTTCATTTTTGTACTTGGCCAGACAGGTTCTCTTTTACCCTGCATAACCTGTAGCCATTCTATTTTTCCACACTTTTGCTATTTGTTTGATTTTTTTCTCAAAGCATTTTACGATTGTTTTGCCCAATTTAGAAATGAAATAATTATAGTGGAATTGGATGGAATCACACATACACACATTCATACACGTGCATACTTTTAGCTATAGATTTTTAATCAAAAGTTACCTTTTTATATGTTTAGATACTATTCATGACTCTTGATGACTATATTATTTTCTTACTATGAATGATTAGTGTGTTTCTATTTTCCCCTTAATTATAGGACTACAAAAATATTGTTTTAAAGGTAATTATTTATAGCCAGCTAGTTTTCCAAATGTTAATATTAATGCTAGCTTCTACTTTTTCCTGTTACTCAGTTTTTCATGTATATGATTATATCAACAGAAAAAAACAGAAATAACTATCTTTTTATTTATATAGTTTATGTTACTAAACTTGTTCTTTAATCTACTAGCTAAAATCTCAAAGGTCATGTTATATAACAAGGTTGAAAGTAAGTATTCTCTTCTTTGTTCCTTTCACTAAAATTTCTTTCAGTGTTTACCATTTAAGATAGTTGCTGTTGTTATAGGCATAATTCTGTCCCCTTATCATTCAGAGGTGTTTTAAATGTGTTTTCAGATTTTTATTTTGTTTTTTTTTTTCGAGACAGGATCTGGTCTATCACTCAGGATGGAGTGCAATAGCATGATCTCTGCTTACTGCAGCCTTGACCTGACAGGCTCAAGGGATTTTCTCACCTCAGCCTCCAGAGTAGCTGGGACTATAGGCAGACCACTACATCTGGCTAATTCCTTTGCATATTTTGTAGAGACAGGGTTTTTGCCACATTTTCCAAGCAATGTCTAGCCTGTTTCCCTTTCCTTGTTCATAAAGAGGCACTCTACTTAACATGTGATTGCTGATTAATTAAGATAATGCCATTAATTAATTTGAATACATAATTAGATTAACAATAATAATAAAAGTATCTACCCATGGAAAATAAAAATAGAAACACAGAGTGGAAACTGTGTGATTTATGGAGTGAGTACACATTTTGTATATTATCAGTACAAGTTTAAATAATGTCTACTGAGTTTTTTCTCTTTTTTTTTTTTGTTGTTGTTGGTTAACTTAGTTGAGAGGACTCAATTCATGTTTCTTTGATCAATTTAAGTTTGTCCTGAAAATAGGGTGGTGTGTCTACCTGATTAACAGATGAAATGAAGTCAATCTATGTTCACGTCATTTGGAACTGTAATTGGTTTATTTAACTGGCTCCTGTAAACCAGCACAGAATCAGCCCAGATTCTTCTGCCACTACTCCAGAGAGGTATAGGTCTCCTGGGAATTTGAATAATTAAAACTACTCAAGGGGTTTAAATTCCTCACTACACAGAGACATTCAACTACAATAAGTTTCATGAAATTGAAGTTATTTTTCTTTACAGAGTCCCCATCTCAGTCAAAGATGTTAACAGCTTCAGTTTGAATGTGAAAAGGAAAACTGAGCTCCAGCATTCTCAAGAAAGAAATATAAATCCATCTTTTTATCTTATTTCCTCTCAAAAGCAAGTATATGGATTTTTTTAAGCAGGACCCTTGTGTCACATTTAAATAATGATTTTAATCATTACACAGAAGTGACAGGAGTTAAATAAATGCCCCTCGTCTTATCCTCAGTTTGTACTTGCATAATTTTTCTGTGTTTTATTTAGTTGCTTTTAAAGGCAAATTTACCAAATGCTCCTAAATCAAATTTACTACCCACTGTTATGTGGGCAATTTTCTTAGCCATTACTAGAGCTGCTTTTGTTAACCTGTTGGTGCCAAGCACTGAGCTAAATCTTTCTCATATAGCCCTTATCACTAGCTCATGTTGCCTATGAGGAAATTGGGGTTCTTAGCATTAAAAAGACTGAACAATGTTCATAATTGTACACACTAGTGCTAGAATGGAACACATTGTCTGCCCAAAATGTACTTGATATCTGAACCACTACTCAGTGCTTTTCCCAAGATTATGGATCCTTCCAAATCAAGAAGTCACAGAATTGTCTTATTTTCTTCATATATAAACTATTGTACCATTAGTGCATTATTCCTAAGTCATTTGAGTTGAGATAAACTCCAGTGTCCCTGACATTCTTGAACTTGTTCAGTCAAGCTCAAAATAGCCCAATGGATAACTCAAAAACCAAGATTAAAGGAATACTCAGACTAAGGGAGTAAAACTACTTTTTTGCCTTATTTCATCACTCTATATGCTCATTTCTGGATTTGGTTAAGTGGCCATAGTATTAAACATTTCTTTTAAAACATTTTAATTTTTTATATATTTTTATCTTTTTATGTCACTTTGAATAATAAGTATGCACTCATTGCTAAATTCTAAGCTCTTTTATTTAAATAACAAATGTAAAATGAGGCCCAGCATATATATTATAATATATAAGACATATATATCTTTATTTATATTTATATATATATATCTTTTTTCTTTTTTTCTCCCCTGCCACTAGAACAATTCTGCTTCAGCAACAAATTAAAATATTAAGCTTACATGTAGAAAAAGCTCTTAATGACAGTAGCAGTGGACTTAAGTTGTGATCAGATAAATTTGCTTGGCTGTGTACTGTTGTGTTGCGAAATTGAATGTGTTAGATATGCTTACCACAGCCAAAGGAGGGGTTTGCCCATAACTGCATACTGAATGTTGTGTGTCTATCCCTAACAATTCTCACAATATTACTCTCCTTGAAAAGGCATGGTGGGTGTGGCTTTTATTAATTGTGCTTTTAATTTTCCTGTGTTTACCCTGTATCTGTAATCTACATCCATTATGCCTTCCCCATATATCTGTAAGGGTATTTTCCTACAATTGAGTATCAGATTGGGGCTAAATGTGGAGGAGAAGTTAAATATTAAATTTCAATTCAATTGAAAATGGACAAAAACAATGGTCACCAAGTCCTGGAACAGGTTGTGTGAACTCCTTAAGGTGTTCATTCAGCACTGTTACAGAGAAATGTTTATTTCAATCTATTCCTATATGTCAGTTATTGAAAAACAATAGAAAATTGCAAAATAACAAGTTGACCTTTTTGTGTGCAATGAGTTCAGTCATGAAGGGACCTTGTGAATGGGCCTCATGCCAAACAACCCGTTAAAGAGCTAGGGTCCTAGACTGCACTGAAGCTTCATGTGAGCTCTCCTGGTCTGTGCATGAATGAGTGGCTGACTCTGGAGACCAAGCTGTTGCTTCCCAGTGTAGTCATGAATCCTCCATAGTCTGGTGAGTGTAGTATTCGATTCTGAAGCCCAGGTTGTTGCGTCCCAGTCTGGTGGTGAATCCTCCATACTATGGTGAGTGTGGTGTCCAACTCTGGAGCCCAGGCTGTTGCTTCCCAGGCTGGTGATGAATCCTCCATTGTCTGTGAGTGTGTATATATATCTCCATTATATATCTATATTATATATAGATATAGATATTATATATTATACACACAGCCAAACCATATCAGTCAGGAAACGTGATTCTCTTTATCTTCTGCCTCTAAGCTGGGGAAGAGACATAAACACTGAGATTTCCCCAGAGCTACAGTGGGCAACCCAGGAATGCCAAGTCAGTCTTACACTATAGGCAGCACTGAATTGGCAGAGGAACCCACATCTTCAGACAACTGAAAGAAAACACAGCCGCAGCTGGAAGAAAACACAGGGGAGTCACACAGCTGAGCCAGAGTCTACCAAAGTATCCATAAGCCTAACTGTCACATGCTGGATCACCACATAAAGCTTTAACACCAAAAATACCTCACTAATATAAGCCCATGTGAAACCAGAGACAAGGAGTCAGCTTCAGAAATGACCCTACACAAAGCCTGAGACTGGTGAAAACAAGGAGAAAAGAAGTCAATTGAGTGTACTCAATCTATACTGCAGTTAAAGAACACACATGCAGAGATGACAAAGAACCAACATAAGGAATGTGGTAACTCAAGTGGCTAGTGTTGGATGTCCTCCAAATGACTAGACAAGTTCTCCAACAAGAGTTCTTAACCACACAGAACTGGCTGGCATGACAGAAATGTAATTCAGAATGTGGATAGGAACAAAGATCATTGAGATTCATGAGGATGACAAAACCCAATATAAGGAAAATAATCACAATAACTGATATAGGAGCTGGGCCAACCATGATGGTGCATGCCTGTAATTCCAGCACTTTGGGAGCCTGAGGCAGATGGATCATTTCAGGTCAGAAGTTTGAGACCAGCCTGGCCAACATGTGAAACCCGATCTCCACTAAAAATAATACAAAAATTGGCCAGGTATGGTGGCAGGAGCCTGTGATCTCTGTAATCGCAGCTACTTGGCAGGCTGAGGCAGAATTGTTTGAGGCCAGGAGGTGGAGGTTTCAGTGAGTCAAAATTGCATCACTGCACTCTATCCTGGGTGAGAGAACAAGACTCTGTCTCACCAGAAAAAAAAAAAAAAAACAGAGAGAGAGAGAGAGAGAGATGCATATAGATACAGTAGCTGAAGGACAAAATAGCCAGTACAAAAACTTATGTAACAGGTCTGAATAACACAATACAAGAATTTCACAATGCAGTCACAAGTAGTAACAGCAGAATAAACCAAGCTGAGAAAAGAATCTCGAAACTGGAAGATCAGTTCTCTGAAATAAGACAGTCAGACAAATAAATAAATAAAAATAAAAAGGAATGAACAAAACATCTGAGAAGTAGGGGATTATGTAAAGAGGCCAAATCTATGAATCACTGGTGTATTTGAAAGGAAGGAGGTGAAAGCAAACAAGTTGGAAAATATATTTCAGGATATTATCCATGAAAATTTTCCCAAATTTGCTGGAGAGGCCAACAGTCAAACTCAGAAAATACAGAGAACTCGTGCAAGATTCTACACAAGAAGATCGTTCTCAAGTCACATTCAAAATCTTTAACAAGTAGTCTGTTTCTGCAAAGGCATTCTTCTAATCTAAAGGGATACAAGGCATGAACAACAGTAAGGCCATTCTAGTGACTATCAACAGAAGAATACTTCTAGTTTTTGTTTCCTTTGAAAACTGGCAGTCCTGGTTTGAGCAATGTGGCTTCTATTTTTTCTTTTGGAGTTCATATTATCTCCTTCTCATCTCCCTACAGGTAATTGCCAATTAAAGATTACCCCCCACATATGCTTGCATTTACAATGCCAATAAATTATATAAAAAATAATTAGCTGTGTGTGGTGGTGCATGCCTGTAATCCCAGCTACTTGGGAGACTGAGGTAGAAGAATTACTTGAACCAGGGAGACAGAGGTTGCAGTGAGCCAAAATTGAACCAATACACTCCAGCCTGGGCAACAGAGTGAGATCTTGTCTCAGATAAATAAACAAATAAACAATGGCATGATAGCAGCTCCAGAAAGCAAATGTGGATTGCCAATCATATCTGATTTTAGTATGCAAAGATTTCTAAAGTAATGCTACACCTATTACTGTGTAATAAATTTATCTCTTTTAATTTCATACCATAAAATTGTAGACAGGCTTTCATGTGCATGTACAGAAAAGTTTAATGTCTATATTGATTAGTCCAATTTAAATATCAATAAAGATTGCCACATTGGGTTGCAACTACATCTGATGTTTTGGAAGCCTGAAAAGGCAGTCCAGTTAAGGCAATAAGTGGCTTAGATATCTTGTTAAGACTTTTGTGTTCAACATGCCTCCCAAATTGTGCTTTCTTTTGCCATTGGTAAAATGTGAAAAAAAACTTCTGTACCTATACACATGATATTTTATAATTTTCATGAATCCAAATTATTGAGGTACAGCACCTCTTATTTGTACCTAAAAGAGAAAGAATTTTTATAAGGAACATAATATCTAGACACAGACAAATTGACCAGTTTGTGAGAAGTCGGAATGTTAAAGGTGCAAAAATGAATTAGCTTTTCTCCAGCCACACCCACCTCTAACTGGATCTAGTTAAATAATTCTTTTTCTTTTCACTACAATATTTCCAAGATTAATTTTAATGATTAATAAGTTGAAAATGCCACAGTATTGGAATTACGTTTGTCCTGGGCATATTAGGATCCCTAAGATGTTAGCATTGATGCCAATATTAAGTTCTTACTTAATTCATATCAAGTGAAAACAGAGCAAGTGTGTATGGAACATGAAAAACAAAAATAATGTCAAACAATTCTTCAAGTTGGGGTTGAGAAATAGCAGAAGTCTTGATAGATGTTGACTGGAAGTCTATTGTGAGACTTGGAGTCACTGGATATAGTGATAGATGTGGGCCTGCTATTTCATAGGCATTAGTTTGAAAAGCAGATATTTTTCTTCATTAATATACTTGGCTTTGTCTCCCTCACAGATACAAAACCTCAAAAACTTCTCAGGGCTGGGAGAAGCCAACCCTCCCACCCCATGGCAGACCATTCTACCACGGGAGTCTGCAAGTTTGAGATTGACACTGAGGGCAAAAATGCTGTTATGAGACTTTGCTTCCTTAAAGCAAGAAAAATGTAAATATACATTGCAATAAAGAAAATCCAATCTATTTCTACTAGATCTTGTAAATTTGACCGCATGTAGCTAACCAGTCAGTAGTGTGTCAAGTGAGGTCACAGACCATGGCAAAGGAAGTTGGAATTGAGGATGATGGATTCAAGAGCAGGAGCCAGACTACATCCCACTACTAATTTATCCAGTGTTGTATATGTCAAGATCAAGATGGGAAAAATCCTGACAAATTATTGGATACAGGTAACAATCAGAATTGTTGTCCCAGACCTGTCATAAAGAGGTTTTAATATGGTAGGGGCACAGCAAGATGTATGCCGAAGTCAAAGCTTAAGTCCACATATAGCAGAAAAGTTGAGTCTGAGATTGAGTATATAAGCACCTAATCAAAATAGGCTGGAAGAGAATAATGAGGAGCATGGATGTTAAGAACAGTAACAGAATTTGAAAGAATTGCTAACCCCAGGACAAGAGCTGCCTACTCTCTTCTCTGTTCTCATCTTTTTTTAAATAATTCTTTCCCATCCCATAAAGACCTGACCTGACTGGCTAAGTCTGGTGACACATACCTGTACTCCCAGCACTTCAGGAGTCCAAGGCAGGTGGAGCAAGGGGGTCAGGAGTTGAAGACCAGCTTGGCCAACATGGGGAAACACCATCTCTGCTAAAAAACACAAAAATTAGCCAGGCATGGTACCTGTAATCTGAGCTACTTGGCCAGCTGAGGCAGGGAAATCACTTGAACTCAGGAGGTGGAGGTTGCAGTGAGCCAATATCATGCCACTGCCCTCCAGCCTGGGTGACAGAGTAAGACCCTGTCTCAAAAACAAAACAACAACAACAACAACAAATAGAAAAGAAAAAAAAAGACGTTGCTTTCTGGCAAAACTCATATACAATAAACCTTAGTCTAAACTCAATGTACACTTTTAAGTTTGTGTGTTGAAGGAGGAATATATTCAACTCCAAAATCCCTCGATTTATGAATGTGGATTTATTTAGAAGTAGGTCTGACCGATGCAGTCAAGCTAAGATGGGGTCACATTAGAGATGGTAGACCCCTAATCCAGTGGTTAACAGTCTTATAAAGAGAAGCAGTTTTAGATAAGACACACAGAGGGAAGATGGTCATGGGAAGCTGGGGTCACAGATTGGAGTGATCCATCTATGAGTCAAAGAACCCCAAGGACTGCCAGCAGTCACCAAGAGCTAGGAGACAGGCACAAAACACATTTTCCCATTCAACTTCCAGAAGGAACTAACCCTACCAATGTCTTCAATTCAGACTTCTGGCCTCCAGGATGGTCAGAGGATATAAGTGTTGCTTTCAGCCACTTATATTGCAATACTTTGTTAGAACAGCCTAGGAAGGGAATACACCATCCTATTGAATTTAACCTCCCTCTCCCTGCCGCAATAGCTTCCAGGTTTCCATCTGAGACTGGAGATGCTGTGGTTTGCTCTTTCTCCTCTGTCTGTCTTCTATGTTCCCCTGTACAAAGAAGGAACAATATCTTTCTCAGGAAATATTTAGATTATGAATGAAAATTATGTGGCCAGAGCCCTAAAGCTGGCTTTCTGATGGTGCACACGGCTGGGAACTCTGCCGGCCTCCTTCTTGTGCAGTTTGGCAAGGGTACCTTCCTAAAAAATACTGTCCTTTCTCACCCATCCTCCCCATATATGGAGGGTAAGATTATAGCATAGGTGGTAGAACTGAGTTGGGTGTATCATAACCATCTCTGAAAGGTCGTTTGCTGAAAGGTTGAATGGATATACATTTTTGAATTTCTTTTTCTTTATAAAAAATCAAAATTTCACGGGGTTCTTGGATCGTTCACGAGAAGGAATGCAAGGCATGAGGAATGCAGTGGCATGAGCTCAGCTCACTGCTAACTCCTTCTGGACTCAAGCAATCCTCCTGCCTCAGTCTCCCAAGTAGCTGGGATTGCAGGTGTCCACCACCATACCAGGCTAATTTTTGTATGTTTTTTTAGCATTTGTGTATTTTTAGCGGAGATGGGGTTCTCTATTAAAGAGCTGTTTGAGCTGTTCTGGAACTCCTGAACTCAAGTAAGTTGAGTCCTGCTTCAGCCTCCCAAAGTGCATGAGCCAGTGTGCAAATGCTTAATGGATATTTTTCAACACTGAAGTATAAACACTCTTTGTTTCCAACTATGAGATTTGTGTAGCGTGTTTGAGAACAACAGCAAGAAATCCACTATACTGCCTATTCTTCTAGCATTTGAAATTCATGTAATATTTCCTCTAGGTGTCTTTCATAAATTGATTCTGAAAGAATTAAAATAGTGAATGAATTAAAGCCTTTGTTACTGTGCTGCCTTTTTAAAGGTGGGCTAGCTTTTAAAATTAAATATGTATTTATTTATAGAGGACACTAAATTATAATAGCAGAAATTTTAAAAGAATTAAAAGAAAAAATAAAGCAATCCATATTTCCATCCACAGTGTAAATAACTGTTGTCCTTTGATATTCAAAATTTTCTTGTGCTTTTTATGTTTTACATATTTTAGTCATTAACAGATTAATATAAATGCAGATATGCAGACATATATGCCCTTTTCTAAAGATAATTTTGCCACTTATTCTTTTCATAATTTATTAACTTTTTTTACAGTCTTAGAGAACCTTACAGAGTGAATTTTAAAACAATATTGAAAAATGATGATAAGAAAGGACATCTATATATTTTACCTGAATTTAATAAATATTGCTATAGCATTTTACTCTGTATAATTTCTCATTTTCTTATGTCTTTATTTTTTTTTATTACACTTTAAGTTCTGAGGTACTTGTGCACAATGTGCAGGTTTTTTACATATGTATACATGTGCCATGTTGGTGTGCTGCACCCATTAACTCGTCCTTTACATTAGGTATATCTCCTAATGCTATCCCTCCCCCCTCCCCCTACCCCACAACAAGCCTCTGTGTGTGATGTTCCCCTTACTGTGTCCATGTGTTCTCATTGTTCAATTCCCACCTATGAGTGAGAACATGTGGTGTTTGGTTTTTTGTCCTTTTGATAGTTTGCTGAGAATGATGGTTTCCAGCTTTATCCATATCCCTGCAAAGTATTCCATGGCTGCATAGTATTCCATGGTGTATATGTGCCACATTTTCTTAATCCATTCTTGGACATTTGGGTTGGTTCCAAGTCTTTGCTATTGTGAATAGTGCCACAATAAACATAAGTGTGCATGTGTCTTTATAGCAGCATGATTTGTATTCCTTTGGGTATATACCCAGTAATGGCATGTCTGGGTCAAATGGTATTTCTAGTTCTAGATTCCTGAGGAATCGCCACACTGTCTTCCACAATGGTTGAACTAGTTTACAGTCCCACCAACAGTGTAAAAGTGTTCCTATTTCTCCACATCCTCTCCAGCACCTGTTGTTTCCTGACTTTTAATGATCACCAATCTAACTGGTGTGAGATGGTATCTCATTATGGTTTTGATTTGCATTTCTCTGATGGCCAGTGATGTTGAGCATTTATTCATGTGTCTGTTGGCTGCATAAATGTCTTCTTTTGAGAAGTGTCTGTTCATATCCTTTGCCCACTTTTTGATGGGGTTGTTTGTTCTTTTCTTGTAAATTTGTTGGAGTTCTTTGTAGATTCTGGATATTAGTCCTTTGTCAGATAAGCAGATTGCAAAAATTTTCTCCCATTTGGTAGGTTGCCTGTTCACTCTCATGGTAGTTTCTTTTGCTGTGCAGAAACTCTTTAGTTTAATTAGATCCCATTTGTCAATTTTGGCTTTTGTTTCCATTGCTTTTGGTATTTTAGACATGAAATACTTGCCCATGCCTAGTCAACATAGTGTTGGAAGTTCTGGCCAGGGCAATTAGGGAGGAGAAAGAAATAAAGGGTATTCAATTAGGAAAAGAGGAAGTCAAATTGTCCCTGTTTGCAGATGACATGATTGTATATCTAGAAAACCCCATCGTCTCAGTCCAAAATCTCCTTAAGCTGATAAGCAACTTCAGCAAAGTCTCTGTATACAGAATCAATGTGCAAAAATCACAAACATTCTTATACATCAATAACAGACAAACAGAGATCCAAATCATGAGTGAACTCCCATTCACGATTGCTTCAAAGACAATAAAATACCTAGGAATCCAACTTACAAGGGAGATGAAGGACCTCTTCAAGGAGAACTACAAACCACTGCTCAATGAAATAAAAGAGGATACAAACAAATGGAAGAACATTCCATGCTCATGGGTAGGAAGAATCAATATTGTGAAAATGGCCATACTGCCCAAGGTAATTTATAGATTCAATGCCATCCCCATCAGTCGACCAATGACTTTACCCACAGAATTGGAAAAAACTACTTTAAGGTTTATATGGAAACTAAAAAGAGCCCGCATTGCCAAGTCAATCCTAAGCCAAAAGAACAAAGCTAGAGGCATCATGCTACCTGACTTCAAACTATATTACAAGGCTATGGTAACCAAAACAGCATGATACTGGTACCAAAACAGAGATGTAGATCAATGGAACAGAACAGATCCCTCAGAAATAATACTGCACATCTACAACTATCTGATCTTTGACAAACCTGAAAAAAACAAGAAATGGGGAAAGGATTCCCTATTTAACAAATGGTGCTGGGAAAACTGGTTAACCATATGTAGAAAGCTGAAACTTGATCCCTTCCTTACACCTTATACAAAAATTAATTCAAGATGGATTAAAGACTTAAATATTAGACCTAAAACCATAAAAACCCTAGAAGAAAACCTAGGCAATACCATTCAGGACATAGGCATGGGCAATTTCTCATTTTCAACTTGACAGAGAGTTTTAAATTTTCATCTTCAATTTGATCAGTTGCTTTATTAGCTTTTTTTTCTCTCTCTTTTTTTTTTTTTTTTTTTTTTTTGAGACGGAGTCTCGCTCTGTCGCCCAGGCTGGAGTGCAGTGGCGCGACCTCGGCTCACTGCAAGCTCCGCCTCCCGGGTTCATGCCATTCTCCTGCCTCAGCCTCCCGAGTAGCCGGGACCACAGGCGCCCGCCACCACGCCCGGCTAATTTTTTGTATTTTTAGTAGAGGCGGGGTTTCACCGCGTTAGCCAGGATGGTCTCGATCTCCTGACCTCATGATCCGCCCGCCTCTGCCTCCCAAAGTGCTGGGATTACAGGCGTGAGCCACCGCGCCCGGCCTTTTTCTCTCTTTTTTTGTTTGTTTGTTCGTTTGTTCATTTTTAAGACAGAATATGGTTCTGTCACTCAAGCTGGAGTGTACTGGTATGATCATGATTCACTGCAGTCTCAACCTTACACACTCCAGGGATTCTCCTGTTTCACCCTCCTGAGTAGCTAAGACTGCTACTGGGACTATAGGACTACCTGGTACTACAGGAGTATGCCACCATGCTCAGGTAATCTTTGTATTTTTGGGTAGTGACAGAGTTTCCCTATGTTGCCCCTGCTGTTCTCTAATTCCTGGGATCAAGTGATTCTTCTAACTGGACCTCCCAAAGTGTTCAGATGAAAAATATGAGCCACCATGCCCAGCCAGTTTCTAAAGTTATAAGCATGTGTTGTTCTTTCTTCACAATTGTGTGGATAAAATAATTTATTTAAATAAAATGTATCAATTTCCAATAATATCTTCTATTTGGAAAATATTGTATTGCTTTATCAGCATATTGTTAATTGTCATTTATTAAAGTGTATTCAGAAATGTAGATAAATTATTGATCTGTAGTTCTTGTATTGCTATCTTGATTTGGATTATAAATAATTTATCATGATTTAATTAAATGGATCAGGGAACTCTCTTTAAGTAGAATTAAAGAGAGAATTAAAATCTGGTTGTGTGCACTTGTTTTGTAAAGGTATCATTTATAATTTAGCTTTAATACTCTACTTCTGAAACACTTTGCAATGAAAATCAATAAAAATGTATTGGAAATCTTTTATGTTAATAGGTGTAATCCTCTTTCTACATTATGTCAAAACTCTTCTTTATTTGTGCTTATTTTTTTCCTTCTATTTCTAGCACTGTGCTACTTTGTCCACTTTCTCCTCATTCCTCAGTCTGTATTAAGATAAATGATTTCCCTGATTGTTTTCAAAGAATCAGCATTTGTACTTATACACCATTACTTTGATTTCTTATTTTCTATACAACGTTTTGTCATTCTTACTTGAAATGGTACTGCTTTCACACAACCTTATTTTAAAGTTTTTAAGGTGATCATATCATACCTCATATTCAAAAATTGTCTTCAATAAGATGCCATTCTGAAAATTTGCATCTGTATAATCTCTTTTTAGCACATATTTGACCATGTATTTTAGCATTCAGAGCAAATTAAGCATCTTTGTATCCTAACACTCAGAGGAATTTACTGTAAGGACTTTGATTCAATGAATATTTACAGAAATCTTGTTTAATTTATAAGCAATTGAGATCTTAACTGTCTTTTATTGCTATATTCTATTTCATAATTTAAGCTTAATAAATATATTTTATTTGCATTTAATAATTTTATAATCTTTCTTTTCTTTTTTTTGAGATAGAGTCTTCCTCTTGTCACCAAGGCTGGGGTGCAGTGGCGTGATCTCTGCACACTGCCACCTCCACCTTCTGGGTTCAAGCAATTCTCCTGCCTCAGCCTCCTGAGCAGCTGTGATTATAGGTTCGTGCCACCATGCCCAGGTAACTTTTTGTATTTTTAGCACAGATTGGGTTTCATCATGTTAGCCAGGATGATCTTGATCTCCTGATCTCATGATCCCCCTGCCTAAGCCTCCCAAAGTGCTGAGATTACATTCATGAGCCACCGTGCCTGGCAAATAATTTTATAATCTTTCATATAAACTTCTTTCACACATATTCTATACATGTAAAATAAATATTTAGACATTTCTGAATGGTATTTCATTTTAATAGAAGCTTATTCTTGCTTCTTTTCACACATCATCATTATAATCGGGGGCAGGATTTGAAAATCATGCAGTTGAAGAACAAATATTTGTTGCTCTTAACGAAAATGTCATAGGTGAACTTGGCAAGGGTTATTAAATGCAGTTACATTTACACCAACAGAAATATGAACAAAATTCCCACAGAGATGGATCACTGAGGGTTTATGGAAAAAGTCGCATTTGAGATGAAACTTAAATTTTGCAATGTCATTAGAACAAAATATTTCACTATAATGGGAAGAAATTTTAAGAATAAAGAATGCCTTCCATTTGTCAATACCAGTGGAATATATCATATCTACAAACAATATGCATGTTTAAACTGAAGTGTAATGGCTTCTGCCTTTTTTTTTTTCTTTTTCTTTTTTTTTTTTTTTTTTTAGTCAGAGTTTTGCTCTGTCACCCAGGCTGGGATGCAGTGGCACAATGTCAGATCACTACAACCTCCACCTCTTTCACGCAAACAATTCCCATGCCTCAGCCTCCTAAGTAGCTGGAATTACAGGCATGCAGAACCACACCCGGCTAACTTTTGTATTTTTAGTAGAGAAAGAATTGCACCAGGCTGGTCTTGAACTCCTGACCTGAAGTGATCTGCCCACCTCAGCCTCCCAAACTGCTGGAATTATAGGTGTGAGCCACTGCACCTGGTCAGGACTTCTGCTTTTGTGTAAGTCTGAATAGCAGACACTAGATTTTACTTATAACTAAAGAAAACAAATCAGATTATATATTTTTACTTTAAAAATATTTTATGTAATATATAATATATTTTTATTTTAAAAATATTTTATGTAATATATAAAATATTTTTATGTATTTAAACATGTCTTTTATACAGATAAAATATATCAAATATTATGCATATGTCCATACCTTTTAAAATATATATATATTAAATATATGCAATGTTTTGTATAACAACTATACATCAATTACACTGAAAATAAATGAATAGTTACAAAAGGAATATAAAATATAAATATTACATGTATTAATAGAATACATATAAAGTATAAAAATATATTGTAATAAGCTATTATTTGAAATGAGTACATATATATATATATATATGTATATATATATATATATATATGTATATGTATATAAAACAAAAGCAACACTTTTAATGACAGTCAGCAAAAGGCAATGAGAGATGGGCAAAACAAGGAATTGAACCCCACAGCTTTCCAGGCTCGTAAACAGAGAGTTTCCAGGGTACTGCACATGGAAGTGGATTTCAGAAAAAGCCCAGTGAAACTCTGTGAATTGAGAAGACAAAGTTCAGAATCAGAGAATCAGAGTCAGAGAATCAGAACCAGAGAAAAATATGGCATCCTTTGCAGGAGAGAGCCTTGAAGAAGAGAAGGAAATCTAGAGACCTACCATGGATGCCCCTCAGTATTCAGCAGGACAGTGTATTGCGAAACTCCCTGAGGGCAGGAAAGAACCACCTGAATTAGTCAGAGAGGGGAGTTGTTTGTGTTTAGCCACATCTGGGAATAGTGGCAGTCCTCACCAGCTAGACTAGTTTAACAGTTCACAAGTCAATGGGATTGGGTAAAGTACGCAGAAAGGTCTAGCATCTTTATTAGTGGATAGTTTAGCCTAGATTAAATGTTGCTCTGGTACCACCTAATACGCATTAATGAAAAAGGACCAAACTGTTTTCAATATACCTAACTGAACCCCAGAATAAAGCTCAGGACTATTTACTGGGACACACACACATGAAAATATTAGATCATCTTGTTGGATGATCTTGAGCATCCAACAAGATCAAATCTAAAATGCCTGGTGTCCAAATAAAGTTTAACTAATATGTAAAGTAATGAGAACATAGAGTGTCAGAAATAAGAATACTATATCTAGAACATTGTCTTGAGTGGGAATCATGCCTCCTGGGAACACTGGCAACAATTCAACTCAGTAAAGTCACAGTGAAAATCAATGAGTAGAATGCTCTCAACAGCTGCATCCATCCATTTCAGAGAAGTGTTACTTATATATTTTTCTTTTAATTTTCTTGTAGGGTGCACAGTTTAACATCTTTATTCTAATAGGTACATGCTACAGTGCATAATAAAAACATAAATGAAAAGACCATTGGATAAGCTGAAAACTAAATGAAAATGTATATAAATGTAGGAAAAAGGCATGTCAGAAATGATGCTCCCTCAGCTCTCCAAAATCATCAGGAACAAGTCTAAATTGTCACTATCAAGGGAAATGTAAACCAAATGACAGAATCTCCAATAAGCTATTTTGATTTTTTTAAAGTAATTGGGCTTTTGAAAAGAAAATTCATTGTTGTAGTAACTTCAAAAATAATTATAATTCCATCTGTGCTAAAACATGCAATGACCTTTCAAATTGGCAACAAAAATTTATTCTCCTGTTTTACTTTTTAATTAGAAAACAAATTGCAAACTTAGTAATATGAAGATATAATCAGATTCAGATTATGCTACTAAAAGTTTTGAGTGATGGTGAAGTGTATTGATTTTTTTCAGAACTGCCTCTTAAATTCAAAGTTTCTGCTCATTAAAGTTACATGAGTGAAGACAAGTAAAAATAACTGCAGTTAAGAAAAAGAGCCTTCAAGACAGCCTGTGGTCATTATGTTATTTCAATATCCAGAGAATAAAGTGGAAACTTAGCTTGCCTGGCTGTGCCTTCGAGACTCCTGCTCCTCTTCATGCAAAAACCTGTAAAAAAATAGAACACAGATAAATAAAAACAGATTAAAAACAAAGTAGTATCTTAAGTGTTAGTTTTGCAAAGAATTCTGCTGAATTTTGGATGAATGTGTTTCTTGGAAATTACCAAGTTTTCAGTACAAATGTATTGCTACTATGTCATCTTTGGAAGAGTAACAAAGATTACGGGAAGAAAGTGAAGATTTAGTGTGATATTCCAGGAGTCTACTTGCACAACCAAGTATAAGAAAACAAGGACTTCCTTGAACCAAATTGGATCAGGAGACGGTGAATGTTTATTTTTGTGTAATGGCAAAGGATCCCCCAATGACATAATTAGCAAGAATTGTCAACAAATATGCTTTCATCTTTTAATGTGTTATATATATTATATATATATATAATATATATAATATATATATAATATATATAGTAGTGTATATATATACACTACTATATATAGCCAGTTCTGGTTGTTTGGTTTTCTGGCTTCATCCCTCCTCAGGCCAACTTTTCTACACTCCTTTCTATGACACTGACACAAGATGTCAGTAAACTACATTTCCCAGATGTCTTTGCCAGCTGTCTTCCTGGTAGATTCTGCCTCAATGGCAGAGGAACCAGAAGACAGGAGGAGAGATTATTGTATGGAAGAGTTGTCATGCCAGTGCTTGGCAGTCTTTTGTAGTAGCTGGAATGTGAATTTGGGCAGGCAATTGTGGACTCTGTAGCAGCCCAGTGAAATGCTTGCCTCATCATTGCAAAACCTCTTCAGCAGCTCCAGAAGCTGCCGATGAGACATCTTTGTCATTGCAGGAGCAAAGTTAGAGCTTGGGAATTCAGCCCAGAGTTGACAGAAGCTTCCTTATTTGGAAGATATCATAACATTCCTTACTTACAACATTTCCTTTCTGTGTTTTCCCTGGCATTTGTAACATTAATTTTTATTTTTTGAGACAGGGTCTCACTCTGTTGCCCAGACTGGAGTGTAGTGGTGCAATCATGGCTCATGGCAGCCTTGACCTCCCATGCTCAAGAGATCTTTCCAACTCACCCTTACGAGTAGCTGGGACCATATGCACACATAACCATGCCCAACTAATTTTTTATTTTGTGTAGAGACAACGTCTACCTATGTTGTCCAGGCTGGTATGGAACTCCTGGGCTCAAATGATCCTCCTGACACAGCCTTCCAAAATCCTGGGATTACAGGCTTTAGTCACTGTGCCCAACCTAACATTGATGTTTTAAACCAAGCTCCTATATTAAAATCCTCAGTTTGAAACACCTGGCATTTTTTTTAAACTTTCTAGTTAATAAGGCACTTTCATGAAGCTTTATGTGTCTAAAATGGGTATCCACATAATAATAATTTGTATGAGTTTAAAGACAAAAATAAAGGCAGCAAGGTGTGGAATATGAGAGGTTCCTTCAATCTTAACTATGTGTATGAGTAGGACTCCTGTTATGAAAATGTCAAACAAAGAACATAGAAGTTATAAAGTAAATGAAGACATCTACAGAAACTTTTGGTTCTTAATGGAGGATTTAAATCTAAATGTATTATGAACGCTTTATTCTTATAAGTCCATGATGAAAATATAAAGCAATGCTGTGTGTGTCAGCCATGTGTCTGGGATTATGTTTCATTCATATTTTATATGCGTAACTCAACATCTTAAACTACGCATATATCTGTAATCCCAGTACTTTGGGAGGCTGACGTGGGCAGATCACGAGGTCAGGAGATCGAGACCATCCCAGTTAACATGGTGAAACTCTGTCTCTACTAATACACAAAAAATTAGCTGGGCATGGTGGCAGTCACCTATAGTCCCAGTTACTTGGGAGGCTGAGGCAGGAGAATGGCATGAACCCAGGAGGCCGAGTTTGCAGTGAACAGAGATCGCACAACTGCACTCCAGCCTGGGTGACAGAGTGAGACTCTGTCTCAAAAAAAAAAAAAAAAAAAAAAAAAAAAAAAAAAAAAACTACACAGATATTTTAAAAGTACATTGATTGTGGACATGACACTTAACTGAATAGAAATGTCATGAAATTTTGACCTGTGAACAATGACACAAAGGTAGCAATATAAAGCCTGAAGAAACAGCAAGAAGTGAATGAACTAGAATTATGGAATATGTTTAGAACACATCCAGGGGCTCAGATTGGTTGGAAATATTGAATAATATCTTGAAAGGTCTGACATCAACAGTTAATAAATGGCATACTTCTATTCTCTCTACAAAATGTTTTATAACTTAATACTCTGAATCTGGGTAATTAAAAATTAAGATGAGTTTACTTGATGGACAAAGTAAGAAGGAGAAAAAATTTAACAAAAATGATTCAATAAGAAAAGCATCAATTTTGGACTTGCCTGTCCTAACTTATTATATTAAATTAAGAAAAATATTGAATTGAAAACTGGGAATTTAAAATTTGTAATTTTTAAAAGACTT
Organism: Homo sapiens; assembly: GCF_000001405.40. Classification (NCBI taxonomy): domain Eukaryota; kingdom Metazoa; phylum Chordata; class Mammalia; order Primates; family Hominidae; genus Homo; species Homo sapiens. Next base: position 16,631,037 of record NC_000024.10, read on the forward strand.
TATTCTGTCTCTGCCAGAAATGGGTGAAGTTGATAAAAAGTAGTAAGAATCAACAAGATATAAATTATGCTAACTCTTATAGTCTATGTGCTACTGTCATCCTGTAGAACTGTTTACATACCTGAATTCAACTATAAGAATAGTATCTGCTTTTCTTAAGCATTCATAGAACATTTCTCAAAAATCAGCCTTTTGATTTGTTTTGTATAAGTTGCCTGATCAAAGACAGTAAACTCAGTTTAATTTGAATTTAAGCTAACAAACAAATTATAGTAAATCTATGCCCAGAATATTGCATTAGGCATACTTATACTAAGAAACTATTTGCTGTTTAACTGAAATTCAAATTTAATTAGGAATCTTGTATTTTTATTTGTTAAATCTATTAACTCTAATTCTGGAGGAAATCTTAAAAACAAAAAACAAGCAAACAAACAAAAACATAAAAAATGGTCAAAACACCATTTCCTCTGATGGTGAAGTAATGGAATTAGAAATAAATAAGAAAATCTACAAACTACTTATGTTTAAATATTAGTAAAATTTTACATAGCCCACTTGTTAAACAACTTAACAGGATAAATCACCTATCTATGTATCTATCTATCTATCTATTCATCCATCTAATCTATCCATTCTATCTATCTATCTATCTATCTATCTATCTATCTATCTATCTATCTACCTACCTACCTATCTATCTATAGATCTATCTATCTATCTTAAATTTGGAAATTCTCCTCAGCATAACATTTTAATGATGATTCCTAGGATACAAGTGATGTGCTGAAAGTATCAATGTGTATCAGAAAACCAACATCTCTGCTTAGGTCTCTGTTTAGCTCTTCAGAACCCACTCTGTCCAGAGTTTAACTGTATAATGTCTAGAACTGATATATATATAAAAAAAAAGTTGACTATTTTGGTCCTGAAACATCTTTATTTTATACTGTGAGCATTAAGGCAGTTAACTGATATTTTCCAGGGAACACTGTCCCACAAATCCATAGATTCCAAGTTAATTTACTTGAGTAATTCTACTCTACTTTGTTGATATTTTCTGCTGAAAACATTGTGAAAATAAAAATGTTCCCACTGGCAATCAGAAGGCTTGACATTTGCTATAATTTTTTATATGTAATTCAACTTCTATTATTTTTTCTTTTTTTATTATTTCTTTCTTTATTTCCTTTATTATTTCTTCATTTCATTTTTCTTTTCTCTTTTTTCATTCTTGGTAAAGCAAAAGTGTGTATTTCATGTTAGTTACTAATTTTATTATGTTCCAGTAATAAACAAGAGTTGAGAGAAGAGTAGGGAGAACTTTATTTTTCTAATTCTAGTTTTATAAAGTTTTTTTAAATAACAGAAACATTTTTGTCAAAGTAGGTTTTCAATTTGTTAAAGTGATTATTTTAAAAGATAATTTTTAACTTATTTCCTTTATACTTTTTTAAAATATGGTCTTATTAAAACAGTATCCACTTTTTGATACCTATGTAACAAATTCTCTGTTTTCTTTTTTCTCAACCTAAAGATTAACAATAAATATAAAATAACTGGTAAACAATATTAAAATGTATTAATATTATATAAAAATAGGCAAAATAATTTGTGGTAAATTCTTCAGTGATTTTTAGTACAAACTTTTTTTGTTGCTGTTGTTTTATTGCAGAGAGAGAGTCTTGCTATATTTCCTGCAACTGATCTCCAACTGCTGGCCTCAAACCATCCTCCTGCCTTAGCCTCCCAAAGTGCTGGAAATTACAGGTGTGAGCCACTGCAGCCATTCATTTTCTTTTTTTTTTTAATCAAGAACAAAAACAGGAAACACAAATGCATTTTTCTGAGAATATGTTACAAGGCTGTTACCTCAAACTGATATAACATATAAAAATGTAAAGAACATTAGGATAGGGACAATCAATTTGAAAATTTTCATAAAACAAGCTGTCTTGCAAAAAATATAATTTACCACACATAGCTTCCGGTTCAGTTAGAGTTTTGGAGGTTTTAAAGACCCAGGACATTCGGTGGCAGATGAAAGTACCATAAGTTTTTCTCATTCTAGGTGGCCCTCCGCCCTGCCTGGGCTCTTTCACGCATCTGGGAATCAGCTTTCAATCACTCAGCAACCAGTCTTGGCTGGGATGCTTGAGACCATTCAGTTGTTTCTCTTATCTTTTATTTTCAATCAGTCTTGCCCGAGATTTCTATATGCTTAACCAAAGAGAGACAGACAAATTAACCCCAAATCAACAGAGCCATTTCACATCTCTGTTGCATCATATCTGCTAATCTCACCATGGTCAAGTCAAGGGACATGTGGCAGCCTTGCATCCATAAAGCCAACGTCCTATCAAATTCAAAACAAGAGCACTAATGAGGGAAAATACGCAGACAGATTCTCCTCATTGGCATAGAAACAAACATACTGCAAAGTTGAGCAAATAAAGTCAAGTAATAATGGCAATAGCGCCAATGAAACAAATTTGCAAACATTATACAACATTGCAAAAATCAGCAGACTCAATGTATCCCATTGACAAATTAAAATAGAAAAGCCTTTTTTCAAGAGATATAGGAAATTTGTTGATACATTGTGAACATTGTACTAAGCAATGAGCTTATACATTTTAAAGAAAATTTCTTGATAAAAGAAATACAACATAATATTAATGGAAATATTGGTATTAATGGCAAAATATTAGAAACATTCCCCTGAGATCCATAACAAGACAAATGTCTCAAAGATGAGTTTTTGTTGTTTTTGGTTTTGTTTGTTTGTTTGAGACAGAGTCTTGCTCTATCACCCAGGCTGGAGTGCAGTGGCGGGATCTCGGCTCACTTCAAGCTCCGCCTCCCGGGTTCACACCATTCTCCTGCCTCAGCCTCCTGAGTACCTGTGACGGCAGGCGCCCGCCACCAGGCCTGGCTAATTTTTTGTATTTTTAGTAGAGACGGAGTTTCACTATGTTAGTCAGGATGGTCTCTATCTCCTGACCTCATTATCCTCCCGCTTCGGCCTCCCAAAGTGCTGGGATTACAGGCGTGAGCCACCGTGCCCGGGCAATAATTTTAACAATAAATTGGAAGTTCTATAAGTACAGAATAGAAGAGAAAAGGAAAGGAAAAGTTATTATTGGCAGATGATGCAGGTGATATAATTTTCCATAGATATATTCGTGAATAAAATAACAATTTTATAAAGGATGCTCAATTAAAGATCAGTGCACACATATTTGTGGCATTAATTTACACCATTAATTGTCAAATATAAATGTTACGATTATTTATTTGGAAATCCCAACTGCGATTGCACTACATCTGTAAGTTCTTAGTGATAAATGGATTTAAAAAATGAACAAGAACTTTATATGCAGAAGAACAAATGTTTAAAGAGCAACATAACAGAAAATCAAAATAAATTGAGATATTTCAGTATTTAATACAGGTTGGGATCAAAAGTGTAAACATGTAACTTTTCCCTCAAATTAGTTTAGAAGTTGAAAATTGTCCAAGACATTGATTTAAAAAATATATTTTAAGTATATTTGCTTGAACTAACAAACTTCTCCCCAAAATGTGTATGGAAATATATCAAGCCAAGAACAAGAGCATTTTGAAATACAGTGAAGAATAGTTGTTAACAGCTTTTCTTCTTTGATACTAAGATTAATACAATGGCCACTGTGGAATCTAGGAAGGGTAAATAAAATACATCTCTTAAATTACAGTGCTTAGATGCAGATAGATGGAACATGGAGATTTTTATATTACAAATGTTGCATGATAAGCAGCCATCAAAAGAACATATCACATGCACAGTTAATAATGATAAAATGACAACTTGTGTAACATTTGCTTTTGGGTACACTCGACAGCTATTCATATCAATGGCTTAATCAGATGGCACTTTATTTTTGTTGTATAGATATAAAGGTATGCAAAAAGAAGTGCTCAAGAAAGTCATTCTGTACCAAAATTTTGCAGTTTTCTTCTTCATTATTATGAAACCCAGAATTGCACGTTTCTGGTTCCAAGAAGCTCTGTGTAAATAATATTCTTTTTTTTTTTTTGAGACGGAGTCTCGCTCTGTCGCCCAGGCTGGAGTGCAGTGGCGCGATCTCGGCTCACTGCAAGCTTCGCCTCCCGGGTTCACGCCATTCTCCTGCCTCAGCCTCCCGAGTAGCTGGGACTACAGGCGCCCGCTACCACGCCCGGCTAATTTTTTTGTATTTTTAGTAGAGACGGGGTTTCACCGTGTTAGCCAGGATGGTCTCGATCTCCTGACCTCGGGATCCGCCCGCCTCGGCCTCCCAAAGTGCTGGGATTACAGGCGTGAGCCACCGCGCCCGGCCAATAATATTCTTACTACACCTAGGAAGGAGAGAAGCAGGTCACATATCTGAAGGATCATTCTGGTAGGAGTGAAGTAGTTTTATTCAAGCTGACTTGAACCCTCATTGTATTTTTCAGAAATGCATCTCATAGCTATATCTAGATGTTAAGAGATTTTGCAGAGGAGTGTATATTGTGCTATAAGTGTTGATTATCCTGAACAAATCAAAGAACTGTTCATATGCAAACATATATGGATGGAAATGAATAGATACTGCGGTATTAAATAGCAATATTGTCACAGTTGTCAATACAGTAGATAAAGACAAATAGAAATCTCCATGACTCACAAATTAATTGAACTCCAGATAAAGTTAAAACCTTGATGTGAAAAGAAAATCCTTCAAACATTCAAATAAAACACTGCATAATATCCTTATGATATTGATGTAGAAAAAATGTGTTACAGTTACACTAAATACTAGAGCATTTTCTATGAATGAATACATTGGAAATATGACTATAGAAAAGACAAAGCACTGTGATTACTTGGAAAAACATACAAACTCTGGAATTAAGGCATTGGGCTTTTCTCAGCCTTTGGTTGCTGAGCATTTTACAACCATTTTCACTTGCCCTGGAAAAAATTGATAATTTCTTAGGGTGAGTTATTGTAGCAGGATGAGCCTTGGACAAAACCTCACAGACACCAAGGGAGTGAAGGAAGTAGCTTTAATCAGCTGGAAGCATTGGCAGACTAAGGTCTCAAAATCTGAGCTTCTCGAGTGCACAATTTCTGTCCCTTTAAGGGCCCACAGCACTAAATATTTTACATGGAAAGGCCATGATTGATTGAGCAATCTACGGAGTATGTGACAGGGGCTTCATGCCCCAATATTCAGAGTGAAACAGAACAGAATGGGAAGTTTTACAATATCCTTCCATACAATGTCTGGAATCTATGCATAACATTAGTTGCTAGGTCATGGGTTGAATTTTAACTATCAGGCCAAGGTCAGGCGGCCCAGGCCTCGTTTTGGGTCTGGTTTTCGGTCTGATGCCTGGAGCCACGCTGCCTGCCTTTAGTTTCACTTCCTTGTTCCTTCTTAAAACTGGTACTGAGTATAACACAATATAGAAAAATATGGGGGGGTCTCTTTCTCTCTTCTCTCATTTCCTCCCTTTGAAACACTCACTCATTTTATAAGAAATCCCACTTTCATTTTCACTACTTACATCTTCCTGTGCAAAAGATTTATAGTGATTCATATAATATATTTGTGCTGAAGCATTCTGGTGAACTCAGGTAGTGATGAAGCTTTTTACATTTGAAGAATTACAACTAGCAAACAAGGGAGCAGTAAGCAGGTTCCTATTACTATTATTATTCCTATTATAAGAGTTTTAAATCCTCCTGTTGCTGGGAACCAATTTCCAAACATGGCCTCAGGATTAAATCCATGCCACACTTGCATGGGTACATGCGCCAGTTTTGTTATATCTTTAACTATGTCTTCAACTACTTGCCCCGATCATCTATGTGTAGACAGTAATTAGTACGATTAAATTTTCCACAAACTCCTCCTTCAGCTGCTAGCAAGTAGTCAAGAACTAGTCTATTTTGATAGATAGCATTTCTCATCTGAGTCTATTGCCATACAAGAACAGTCAAGGCTGGACCGGTTTTATCAGTAATAATTTCTAAAACAGCTTGCCACCATATGATTCAGTGGAGCTTGTAGATGGGGGTCCGATATCCCCAAAATCCATCTTGTGTCCAAGTGGCAGGCCCATAGTATTGTATAATTCTTTCAGGGGGCCATTCATCATCTTTCCAGTTATGTATGGCTATGCTTCATTTTTTGCGGGAAGCATAGACGGGAAAGCCTAGGAGTCCACCTGTTTTTATGGGCAGTAAGAAGAAAGATGGTTTAATAGTGCCAATTACACAGCTACCTGTCCACTGATCAGGTAGCTTAGCATAGACTCTATGTCCACATATCCAGTATAACCCGGTGGGGGCAGTCTAGTCCTGGTGGAATTCTGGGGTGGGCCCAAACAGTCTGCAATTTTGGAAATTTACTGAATGGATTTTTTTTCTGTGTAATTGGAACTGCACCATGTAACTGGTTTTGTGGTACCATTATAGTTTTTGTCCAAGACAACTAAGCCATCCTACAGGAGGCGTGAATTCTTTTCCTTCTCTAGTTATGCAATGTTGTCCAATAATTGAGGCTTTTAGAACCCAGAAATTGTCAGGTGGTTCTTTTGGGCTGGGAATTCATCAGGAACTGGGTCTGTAGGAACTAATCATTAGGCTTCCCATGGTCATCGATCTCCTGTTACAGTTCCTCCACAAACATAACATGAAGTTACTTTTAGAGACTGGGCTACATGCTTGGCTAATTGCAAAAACAAATTTCTAGTTTTTCCTGGAATTTCAGGCACTGGTACATTTAGTTCATCATAGAAAGTCTGAAATACTGGCTCTGGAGAGCGTTTTTGAGTCTCTTCTTTTATTAAAATGTTTACCTTAGGGTCTAGTCCTTTTCCATCAATGCCTAGAGATACGTTTTCTCCTTTTTTCCATTTTGGGTCTGAGGGGTTTGTGATTACTAATTCTAAAGGATTGCTGCTTCCAATCATGCAGGAGGGGCTTCCTTTCCCTTTTTGGAGCCAAACAGGATCTGTTTCATCTTTTTTTCCAAGTAGCCCAAATGACACAAGAGCAGTACCCACATTCTTTTCCACACAATACTAATTCATGACAAATGTATTTATTTTCAGTCATGTAGCTATTTTTCCTAATTAAAAGAGCAATATCCTGCTCCTAACTTGTTGCTATTAATGACAGCACAAGGATCAAATTTTAAGATTATGCATTTGGCACCCCTTTTTATTCTGTTTTGGCTAATACTTTACTTGTATCATTTATGAGTCCCCACCAGTCTTCAGTCCTTAATCTTATTTCAAAAACTGTGGAAATGGAACGTTCAGAGGGGTGATAGCACACATCAGGCTCATCACTTCCTGGATTACAGACTTTGTACTGAGTGTTACTATACAAACACATTCCTTTTGGAATTTCTAGGCATTCATAATAACTATAGAACAAAAAGATTGTCTTAACTTACTGTCCTACCTCAGTGACCTGATGTATGCACTGAAAGCATTCCTCTGTGTGGGAAGAAGCAGTGGAAGCTTTTACCACACAAATCCATGTTAAAAGGAAAATAAGTCCCATGACAATTTTCCTCATGCTTTGGCCATGCGTAGACCAGTCCGGTTCTGGGTGTGACTGGAGCAGGGCTTGTCGTCCCCCTCAGGGTTGCTTTGCAGGGGTTGTCTAGGCTTGGTTTGGCCTCCCAGGTTCCAGTGGCTGTGGGCTTTATGCAGCTATGGTGAATCTAGTCTGGAATTCCTTCTATCTTCACAGCTGTGGGAGTGGTCTGGATAATGGTATGGGGTCCCTTCCACCATGGCCACAAAGGAGCTATATTCCAGTCCTTGATCCACACATGGTCACCTGGAGAAAAAGGGTGAACTGGGGAGAATAAGCTGACTGGGCACTTCTCATTTATCCATGTTAAGATTGACAGGGTAATTTTCCCTGAGACCTGTAGCTGTTGCTGCAATTCAATTTCACCCAACTCTTGCAGAGTACCTGGAAGTCCTCACAGTATAGGAGAAGGCCTGTGATATAATATTTCATAAGGGGAGTATCCTATTTTCATAGAGGAGATGCAACTAATTTTAAACAATACTATAGGAAGGGACTGCATCCATTTTAATCCTGTCTCTTGACATACTTTCCCTAACCTATTTTTAATAGTCTGATTAATTCACTCCACCTTTCCGGAACTCTGAGGTCAGTAGGCAGCATGTAACTTCCAAGTGATTCCCAATATCTTTGCCGTCTCTGTACTACATCAGCCTCAAATGCCGGCCTATTATCTGAGCCGATCCGTAGAGGCAGTCCAAACCTAGGGATGAGGTCTCAAAGAAGCACACGGGTTACTACACAAGCTTTTTCAGTTCATGTTGGATAAGCCTCTACCCACCCAGAATAAGTACACATTAGAACCAGTAAATACTTGTTACCTCCACATTTGGGCATCTTTGTGAAGTCCACTTGAAGATCTTCAAAAGGAGCTGCTCTATAGGCTTGTATGCCAGGAGGAACAGAGGGGCCTTGCTTTGCATTATGCTGTCATCAGGTAACCCATCACTGTGCTACTGTCTTAGCAAGAGCTGGCAAGTGTGAGATATAGAAATACCAGCTTAACAGCTTTTCAAGTGAGTCTTGGCCTGAATGGGTAGTTTCATGTACAGCCAGCGTGACTGTGGCTCCTAGCAGCTGTGGTACAGCTATTCTCCCATCTAGTAACTTTATCCATCCTTTTTGTATTGCTTGTCCTCCCTCTGCCTGAAGAAAGTCTTTTTCCTCTTTAGAATAAGTAGACACCAGATCAGGTGTTTGAGGGAGCAGGAAGGCTGTGACTGATGCCCAGTAAGGAGTAGACGCTGCTTTTCGTGCCTCTGTGACTGCTCGGGAGTTTCCCTGGCTTACTGAGGTAGAAGCTTGCTGATGTCCCTTGCAGTGCATGACTGCCACCTTTTGGGCTTTCCCACTGCCTCTAATAATTGCATAATTTTTTGTTGATATTTTATGTCTTTTCCTCCAGAATTTAACAGGGCTTTTTCTTTATATAATGCTCCATGTACTTGAAGGGTTAGAAAGGCATATTGAGAGTCAGGATAAATGTTTACAGTCTTACCTTCACTGAGTTCTAGAGCCCAAGTTTAAGCAATGAGTTCTGCTTTCTAGGCTGAAGTGCCCTGAGCGATGGCTTGGCTTCAATAACATTATTCAAGGTTACCACCACATATCCGGCACATCTTTCTCCTCGTGGATTGATGAAGCTGCTCCCGTCCACGTATAACTCCCAGTCCACTGATGCCCATGGCTGGTATCAAAGATTGGATCTGCTAGAATGGACTCAGTCCAACACCTCCACACAGCTATGTTCAACAGGGCTATCCAATACTGGGAGAAAGGTGGCAGGATTTAGGGTGTTACAGACTTCAATGGTTACGTAGGGGTTTTCACATAGCAAGCTCTGGTACTTGATTAATCTAGCATTTATTAGCCAATGGTGTCCTTTGGTATTCATTAAAATTACCACCGCATGAGGGGCCTTTATACTTAAGTTTTGTCCAAGGATTAGCTTTTCTGCTTCTTGTGCTAACAGGGCTTTAGCTGCCAGGGCTCTCAGACATGGAGGCCTGCCTTTTGAAACTCCGTCTAGCTGTTTTGAGAGGTAGGCCACTGGTCTTGGCCAGGGCCCCAGAGTTTGGATTAAAACTCTAACTGCCATTTTTTCTCTTTCTGACACAGAGTATAAAGGGCTTTGTCAAATATTGTAGTCCTGGAGCTAGGACTGAGATAAGTTTTTCTTTTAACTTACAAAAGGCTTGCTGTTGTTGAGGCCCCCATTTAAAGGGCTCTCAGTCACCCCACTTTGTAATCCCATACAATGGTTGGCTAGCACTGCAAAGTTTGGAATCCATAATCTGCAAAACCCCACAGCTCCTAGAAATTCCCTTACTTGCCTTCTGGTTTCAGGTTCTGGTAAGCTGCAGATGACCTGCTTTCTTTCTGACCCCAGGCTGCACTCCCCTTTCTGAACAGTGAATCCCAGGTAGTGTACCTGCTGTCTGCAGGTCTGAGCTTTCTTCTTGGACACCTTATACCCACAGTCCTCCAGGTGCAGGGCATCCATCCCTTTTGCACAACCGACTGACATGGAGAGTCCTAGCAGAAGGTCATTCACGTACTGGAGCAAGACACAGCCTAGGTCTTTAGCAGGAAACTTCTGGGGGTCTTGAGCCACCACATCCCTGAAGATGGTGGGGGAATTTTTCAACCCCTGGGAAAGCCAAGTCCAAGTGTACTGAGTGGTGACACCTGACCCTGGATCTTCCCACTAAAAGGCAAACAGCTTTTGGCTCTCAGGAGCTAGTCTGATGCTAAAGAAGGCATCTTTCAAGTCCAGGCAAGGAAACCTGCTGTCCTCAGCCAGGAGCAATCCTAACAGTGCGTAAGGGTTAGGAACTGTTGGGTGCAGTCACTGTAGCTTGGTTGATCAACCCTGTACAAGTCGATAGTCCTTGGTCCCTGGCTTGGGGACAGGTAGGAGGGGGGTGTTCCATGGAGACTGGCAAGGAACTATAATCCCAAAAGCTTTTAGGGGTCTGAGATGAACCTGTATTCCTTCAAGAGCTTCCCTGGAAACTGGATACAGCTTTTGTCTGATTGGCTGGGCCCCAGGCTTAACTTCTATGAGTACGGGGGCTTGACTGATCACTAGCCCCAGAGGATTGTCCTCCGCCCATACTTGGGGCCATCAATTAGCTAGAGCCGGTTTTGTCTCCTCACCTGGCTCAGTTAGAAAAAGTCTCCATTCTTCTTCTCAGGGGACTGTAAGGGCCCTGAAAATGCCTGTTCCCAGTAACTTCAGCTGTAAAGAGCCCTGGTTTGTAAAGGAAGTGGTGGCTCTCATCTTGCTAAGCAAGTCTCTCCCTAACAAAGGCAAGGGGCAATCAGGTGTATACAGAAACTGATGAGTCACCTTATGTCTTGCCACCGAAGAGGTCCCTGGTAGGCAGAAAACCTGCCTGGTGGAGACTCCTGTTGCTCCGATTGTATCAATGGTTTTCTTAGATAAGGGGGTGACTGGGGAGGTCACTACTGAGTGTTCAGCCAAGTATTGATCAATCACTTAGTGTCCTTGCCCCCTATTGTCATCATGACCATGAGCTCCTTGGGGGCACTTGAGCCCAGTCCCCTTCAGTCTAGTAGCCCTTTGGCCAAATTGAACAGAGTCCCTTTGTCTTTATCTGTAGTTTTTTGCTCCCATCACCTTGCTTCTCTTTTAGTTGGGGACATTTATCTTTTCAATGTCCTATTCTTTACAGTAGGCACACTTGTTATGCTGCAGACATGAGTGATTGGACTGGCATTTCTCCTGGGACCTCACTTTCCCTGCCCTTTTTGGGGGATCCCTCTAACTGCCACAGCCAGCAAGTCAGCATTCTGCCTGGCCTGGCATTCGCCCTCCTTACGGCTTTCTTGGCAGATTGTTGCATCTCTATTTACAAATACCTGATTAGTTATCTCCAGTAACTTTGAAGTATGCAAAACTAGCCTGTTTTTGCAATTTCCTCTGGATATCTTCTGCGCTTTGACTAACTAAGGCCATTTTAATCATAAGCTGATTTTCAGGACTATCCGGATTGCAAGGAGTGTACATACGACAGGCCTCACACAGTCTTTCATAAAATTGGGCTTGGTGTTCCTCTTTTCCTTGGCTAACTTCAGAAACTTTATTTACACTGGTGGCCTTTTGAGCTTCTTTTTCAGCCCTTCAATTAATGCCTCCTGGTATCATCTTAGCCTCTGCATATCTGGTCTTTCATTCAGATCCCATTGAGGGTCCATTCCTGACAGCTGAATTCTTATGTATTCCTGGGGATTTTGGTAATTGGCTGAGACGTGCTCCTCTAGCCATTTAGTTGCCACCTGGAGCACCCTTCACCTTTCATCTGTGTTAAAGAGGTACATGAGTAGCTGGTGGCAATCAGCCCAAGTAGGATTATGAGTCTGTATAATCATTTGGAGCAAGTCAATTAACGCTTGAGGCTTTTCAGTGTTAAGATGGAGTATTATTTTTCCAATGAAGAGGTCAGCAGAGGTGAAAGGGTGATATACGAAGGCACACCTCTCCACCATGTATCCATCCTCATCTACCCCAGTGTATTGCTGTTCTCTCAGGGGCATTTAGATTCTATTCTTGGGCCATAAATGGGCAGGCAAAGGAGGAGTTTCTCCTGCAGCTTCACTTCCTTTCTTGTCTACTCTGAGTGGCCTAGGGGCTGTGGGCTGAGGAGTAGGGGTCTCTTTGCTGTAAGGCAGGGGGCACTGTTTGTGCCATCTCCTGCCACAAGTCTTCAGGCTCTGGGTCAGACAAAACTTTAGGGGATGGCTTTCCTCTTCAGGTGGAACGAGAACCTTCCTTAACTAACTGTCCCTCTGCTACTAGTACTGCTGCTGCCTGTCCCCTTAACCACTGCAGGGGATCTAAAACTAGCTGTAACCAGAAATCTATATATGGGAACTGATCTTGGTGTCCTGTCTTGCCAGTTACTTTTGCCATACCTTTGAAACAAGAGACCTGTCCAGGCTTCTTTCTGATGGCCAGCATACCTCTAATTCTGGCCAATCTATTTCACACAAAGTTCTAAGTTTTCCTGGAGTCATAGCGACTCCATAGTCTCCCTTGAATCCTTTCTTGAAATTCTTTAACATAGTTCCCAACAGGGTGGGCTTACTTTGCACCTGGCCCAGGTTTTCTCAAGACAAAATACCACGCCCACACCACACACTCACCACATAACAAAGAACAGGTAAAGAGGGCACGCACACACCTTTATCATTCATACCAAACCAAAATCAGAGTATTAGCCCAAGTCAAAACCAAAACCAAGTATCAAGCAATTCAGGTAAAGTCAAAACCAGAACAATAGTGTCAATACAGACACACTGTGGGTGATCAGGCCATGCTTCCACTCAAATAGAGTGGGCAAGTTTCAAAGACTAGTCTTACCAAGTTTCAGATGTCTGCACTCCAAGTGCCAGTTCCTCCCTTGTGTTCAGCCACTGCGTTGATCCTCCATGTGGGCCTGGCACATGCTGCTCTGGCAAGGCATTCCACCAGGGCAATTGCCTACCTGGGATCACTCTTTGGATCACGTCACTAAGGCAGGCCAGAGTCTCCCACAGGGATGCTCCATAGAGCAGGCCTAAGCTGCCTAAGGGGATGCCTCAGCCGTCCGTCAGTTACCTCGCTTCCTGATCAGGGAAACAAGAAATGTAGCAGGATGAGCTGCAGACAAAACCTCACAGACACTGAGGGAGTGGAGGAAGTGGCTTTAGTCAGCTGGAAGCATCAGCAGACTAACATCTCAAAATCCGAGCTTCTTGAGTGCACAAATTCTGTCCCTTTTAAGGGCTCACAATACTAAAGATTTTACATGAAAGTGTCATGATTGATTGAGCCATCTAGGGAGTATGTGACAGGGGTTTCATGCACCGGTTGTCAGAGTGAAACAGAACAGAAAGGGAAGTTTCACAATGTCCTTCCATACAATGTCTGGAATGTACGGATAACATCGGTTGCTAGGTCATGGGTTGAATTTTAACTATCAAGCTAATGTCAGGCAGGCTCAGGCCTGGTTTTGGGTCTGGTGCCTGGCACTGGGCTGCTTGCCTTTAGTTTCACTTCCTTGTTTCTTCTTAAAACAGGTACTGAGTATAAAACAATACATAACAATGTGGGAGGATCTCTTTCATTCTTCTCTCATTATCATGAAATATGCTGTGTGAGACTATTTTTAATGCATTGATTTATATGTTTCCCTCTTTTGCCTTTTTGTAACTGTTTACAAAATCATACCTGATTAAATTACATGTATTTGATGGTTTTTTTTTTTTTTTTTTTGAGACAGTCTCGCTCTGTCTCCAAAGTTGGAGTGTAGTGGCAGGATCTTGGCTCATTGCAAGCTCTCCCTCCAGGGTTCATGCCATTCTCCTGCCTCAGCCTCCCTAGTAGCTGGGACTATAGGTGCCTGCCACCACATCCAGCTAATTTTGCTAATTTTTTGTATTTTTAATAGAGATAGGGTTTAACCATGTTAGCCAGGATGGTCTCGATCTCCTGACCTCATGATCCACCTGCCTAGGCCTCCCAAAGTGCTGGGATTACAGGCATGAGCTGCTGTGCCCAGCTTTGACTGATTTTTTAAAATATACCAAGCAGTGGGTCATGACAGTAAAAAAGTCACCTGTTATGCTCAAATTAATCTGATTAAGGAAACATAGCATAATCTTTGTCAAGAATCATTTCATTTTTCCCTTTCAGTGATTCAGTATAAATACTTCAGATGAGAATCAATATTTATAATTTTCAGAGTACTGCCTATAAAATAGTGAAAAGCAATTTGTCAATGTGATTACATATTAGGTGGTAACATTTAGACCCTGTCAAGTCTGAACATTGAATAATTTGAAGGATTTCTACAAAAGGAAATATAATACTTTAGAAAGAGATTGGCTTTTGGCTCTATATCATAAATTGGTCCATTTTGTAGAATTACGTATTTATAATAACATCTAGTCAGAGCATGGAGGAAAGGAAGCATTCTTGATTACACTGTCACACATTTTTATGACTACTGCACTCAGATAGTAGCAGCAGAAAATGGATGTTTATCTCATTTATCTTTGCTTTCTCAATATGTCACCATTCCCAGTAAATCACTTTTGAATGAAATCTTGCAAAATTATGTTACATACTACTCTGGCTTAGTGAATAGAATCTAAAGCTTCGATATTTATTTCAGGTTCTGAATTGGTCAAATATTCTATGGGATGGAGTGAAATATGTCCAGGGCAGGATCACTTTGGATATTAACTTTCTACACTAAACTACTTTTTATTAAATGGTTGGTTTTAGAATGCTTAATTTATCAAAACATACCCATTTTAAATGTGTAACAAACAAAGCTTTCATGTGTAGTATTTTGACCTAGAAGAAAATTTTTTTCTAGTGCTTCTTTACTACTGATTTTATTTATTTTATTTTTTTGATACAGTGTTTTACTCTGCCACCCAGGCTGGGATATGACGGTGCAATCTTGGCACACTGCAGCCTTTGCCTCCCCAGCTCACGCAACCACAACCCTTCCACCTCAACCTCCTAAGTTGCTGGGACTACAGTCATGCACCACCACACTTGACTAGTTTTTGTGTTTTGTGTAGAGGTGAGATTTTGCCATGCTGCCCAGGCTGGTCTCGAACTCCTGGATTCAAGCAATCTCCCTCCTTGGCCTCCCAAAGTGTTAGTATTACAGCCATGAGCCACTGCAATGGACAACATAAATCCAGTTTTTACCATACGTTAGCTAATGCTAGAAGAGAATAAAACTTTTACATTGCATATTGAATAAGAATTGTGAAAAGAAGAATGCAGTTTTTAAAAATGATTTTCAAGGTAGTTTCCAGTGGAAGATTTAATATACTTAAATGATAACTAATCCATTTGAAGACAGCATTGGCTTGGGCAATTCAGGTTAAGAGAATGACAAGTCCTCTTTAGAAATGTCCAACCTGTCAACACATTAGTATGTGTTCCGGGGAAAGTATTTTCCATGAGAATCTCATTAAGCTTCAAGAAAACTTGTCATAAACAGTGAATAAAAGAACAGTTCAAACATAATCTGTCAAACAAGAATTCTTTGAGTCATCACAAATTATTTTTGGGTAAGAGATACAATGAATGCTTCAAAAAATCAAGGGATATTGAAATGTTTCATAGTGAAAAACCTCTCTCCTACTTGTGAATCCATATCCTGTATCCTATGCCTTGAACCAGCTGCACTGTCAGCTGGTGTCTGGAGATTTTTCTTTTACTTTTTCTTTTCTTTTCTTTTCTTTTTTCTTTTCTTTTCTTTTCTTTTCTGTTCTTTTCCCTCCCTCCCTCCTTCCCTCCCTCACTCCCTCCCTCCCTTCCTCTCTCTTCCTTTCTTTCTTTCTCTTTCTCTTTCTCTTTCTCTTTCTTTCTTTCTTTCTTCTCTTTTTTTTTTTTTGACAGAAACTTGTTCTGTCACTCAGGCTAAAGTACAGTGGCATGATCTCAGTTCATTGCAACCTCTGCCTCTCAGGATCAAGCAATTCTACTGCCTCAGCCTCCAAAGTAGTTGGGATTATAGGCACATGCCACCATGCCCAGCTAATTTTTGTATTTTTAGTAGAGACAGGGTTTCACCATGTTGGCCAGGCAGGTCTTGAACTCCTGACCTCAAGTGATCCTCCTGCTTCCCAAAGTTCTGAGATTATATACATGAGCCTCTGCACCCTGCCTCGTTTCTGGACATTGACTCTTTATCCTTTTCTGTCTGGATCCTGGCCCATCTTTGAGAAACTTCCCCAACCCTCTGTTTTCTGCTTAAGTTTGACCAGTAGATACCAGAAGATTGGGCAGAGTATGAAATTGAGTCATCCATTCCCGGAAGCTGTTTTCTGGGCTTTTATGCAAAGCTAAAATCCCTCTTTTCAAATTTTTTTGACAGCCACAGCCTATGTTCAGAATTTAATAACTGTTTCATGCATTGGCCCCATAGGGGTACCAGGTCTTCCTGCTGTAACTAATCCAGTTTCCCACTCCTCATTTCCTCACATGTATGCACCATGTCCTTTTATCAAGCCATCCTCAATTATCCTTACATGAGAGTGCCATCTGTTTCCCTTAAACCTCAACTCAGACAAGTAGAGCTAAATATATTAATGTCTTATGAATCCATCCCAAAAATTCTCGGTGAAATTTCAAGCAAATACAAATGCCCATGTTCATTTTCCACATTCCACACAAGACATGTCGTATACATTTATTCTGTCCTCTACTTACTAATCCTTTGTTATTTTACTTAGCAGTATATTCTGACCATCTTATCATGACGCTACATAGTAATTCCTAAATACCATATTTTTAGAGCAACAATTTCCTTCATACATATGGAAAATAATTTATGTGTGTATCCAATTATCTATTTAAAAATGCAACTACAAATAACTTTGTGCTTATGTTTCATAAAAGTGTGTATGTATCAGTAGGATAATTTTCTAGTGTAAGATTTCTGGGTCAAGTATAGGCACACTTGTAATATTCTTAGATATTTACCAATTGACCTTGTTAGGAATTGAATCGTAGCTAATTTTGTAGCTCATTATAATCACACACACTTCAGAGCTTACAACAGAGGGTTAAGTAAAAATTTAAGATTGCAAAACTGACAGTTAAAAAATGATCTTAGTGTGCTTTTAAATAATTTCTCTTTTAATTGATTATTAGTGTACTTTTAATTAATTTCTCTCTCTCTCTCTCTCTCTCTCTCTCTCTCTCTCTCTCTCTCTCTCTCTCTCTATTAGTCTTTTGGAGATTAGTCCTTTGCAAAGTGATTGGTAAACATTTTCCAAGATGATTGGTTTGGTTATGTGTCCTTTGCTATAAAAAGCATTACAAAAATGCTTAGTCAAATTTATTGAAACTTGTATAGCTATTAGATTTTGAGTTTTATTTAAAAGGATTTTCCACTCCAAAATTCAAAAGGATGAAAATCACCTGTTTTCTTCTCATGATCTGTGATGTTATTTTTATCACATTGCTTGTAAGCTAAATTCCCATGTATATTTGTCTCTTTATGGGGTTTCTTTTTTTTTCTACTGGTTGTCAGTCTTCTCAAATGATGCAATACCGTATGTTTTAATTTAGAGGCTTTATAAAAATAGTTTACTTTCTGCCATTTCTCATCTCTACTCATTACTCTTGTCTTCACAATTTTTGAACTGTTATTTTGGACAGATCATGTCACAAGAAACTAGTTTTGCAAATATGATGGTTTAATCAATATATTGTCTTATTTCCCATCTTTTCAATCTCTTTCTCAATAAAAATGCTTTCCCTTAATACCTAAGTGGTTGATTGTCACACACAAAAAAACAAGCAAACCAACAAAAACAAACAAGCAAAACCCATCATCCCTGTTCCATGTGTTTGCCATTGGGTTTCTTAAAGCACTTGGAAGAATTTCCCATTTTCTTCTCTCCTCTTGCTTATGTATTTTCTCCTAGCTTTCATCTCATCCACTCCAATGAAGTAGCTCCAACAGTAGTAACCAGCAATTGCTTTTCCTCTTAATCTATTGGACACATTTGCATACCTTACCCACATCTCCACATCATGTGAGGTTACTAAACACAAGTGCTTACTTGACATTGGCTTCTTTCTCGACCTCTGTTATAACACCTTCTCATGGTTCCTTGGCTTCTTATTTTTCCACATTCCCCCTCTACAGTCATTTCAAGGCATCTCTGTGCCTTTTGTTACTTTACTAATGAATATTCTATGCTGCTATTTCTGAAAGCTTGTTGTTGGGATAGATTCATGAAAGTCTCTTGGGGAGCTCAGTAAAAACACACTTCTGGGTGCCATTTTGGCAAAATCACCTGGGAATAAGAAGTGTTAACAAGCTCTGGGGGTGGTGGGATGTGAGATAGAATGTGAAAATCTAAAGCTTTGCTCTAGAGAAACATGATAAGCTGTGTATTTTAAATTTGTAGGTTCAGTTGATATCTTCTGTTCTTCATGGTGGGGGATACCAATGATTTAGATAAGTTCTTCTGCAGAATGTAAGCACTTTTATTTTAATGGGAATTCTGTTTAATAGGAAGAACAAATAGCTCTACCCAAGGGCAAACTTGAAATCCACCTTCAGTTAAAAAAATGCTGAACCTAATTTTGGAATGTTATTTTATCACAATATAATTTTAGCCTTAAATCTATATGATTGTGGTATACACAGATATACATTAGCTATAGATATAGAGATAGCTATACAAATATTGATATGCATATATGTGGTCCTATTTATTTGGTTTAGATAATCATTGATAATATATATAGCATATTTATGTAAATATTCTATAATATATTCCAGAATATTTATATAAATATTTTATTTATTTTCAAAATATATACAGTACATGGGTTGTTTTATATAGATAATCATTGAGAATATATGTTTGTATCATATAGATAAGCATTGAGAATTTCCTATTTAAAGAGATATAGATAATTTATACATGTGTGTGTGCGTGTATATACATATGTGTATATATGAGAAGGTATATATGTATTCTCAATGCTTATAGGTATAAAACAAACCCATATATTCTAATATATAATATATATATTATATATATATATTTCTCTTAATGATAAGAGAAATATTCTAAGACAGGGGTTAGGAAACTACAGACAAATTTATCCTGTCTTTGGTTTTGGTAAATAAAATTTTATGAAAACTCAGCCATGCCTATTTACTTACTTATTGTCTATCCTGACATTTTCAAAGTAGCAGCAGAATTACATACTGCAACTTCAAGAGAAATCATATCACCAACAAATCTAAAAAATATTTACTCTAAGTCTCTCTACAATAAAAAAAATTATTTGCTGACCATTTGCTATAAACTGCAAATTAAAGCTATCTAGAAAACATTTTTATAACCGATGATACTATATCACACCAAGCATGCTGAATTTCTTAGTAATATAATTATATTATAATTAATTAAAATTTTAAAAGTATGTAATTAATTTAACATGTTATACTTTTTACTCCATTGCTATGTTCTCATTAATAAACTTATTACTTTCATTGAAAACTCACATTAGAGGTATCTTTTGTAAAAATGTGCATTGGTCAATTGTTGGATGCATTTCTTTTAAAATAATTAAGATTTTTATTATAAAAGCCATGTTCATCATTAATTCATTCCTTTGTTTAATATTTGTTAAGGACTATATATCACATAAGGAAGTAGGAGTGAGGTTAGAAAATGTATCAGATGAATTCCTGATCACATGTTCTTTTATAATAGTAAAGGGTGTATACACAGAAAAAGTAATTAGTCAATAAAAATAAGTTGTGTCACTTTCGACAGTAATGACTGCCAGAGAGAAAATAAAATAGAGCCAGCCATGGGAGGACTGACAGGAGAAATGTTGTCTTGTGTGGTATAGTCAGGAGAGTAAGCTACAATCTGTCACCTGAAGGTAGAGAATATTCCATATATGTGAATTTTTTGGATGTGGGGTGAAACAGATTTCTTCTACAAGAAGGAAGAGCAAGTATAAAGTCTTCAAGGATAGGACAAGCTTTTTAAGATTCCAAGAAAAGCGAAAAGCTCTAAGACGGAGCTCACTGAACAAAGAAAGGAGTCGGAAGAGGATCAGAGAGCCAGTCATGTGTCTAGGTGTGGATCGCTTCCCACGACAGTGTAAAAAGTCTACGTTTCATTCTGAGTACAATGAACTCTGTTGAGTTGAAGCCAGAGTGTGGTCTGACTAGGATTACAGGCTCAACAGTCATTCTGGATGCTCTCTGGAGAATGTACTCAAGGAACCAAAAACAGAATGGAGTCATCCACAGGGAGGAAACAGGCAGGATTCAGGATATGTGTCGAGGAGGAGCTTAAGGAAGTGAGAGAATTTGGGAAACATTTTAAGAATTACTCATACTGGCATAATTCAAAACACTTCATTATTAACATTTTTTTGTAAATGTAGCTGGTATTATTTTTACATAGTTTTAATTTACTTTTATATGTGTGTGTGTGTGTATGTATGTATGTATGTATGTATTTTTGAGACAGAGTCTCACTTTGTTTCCCAGGCTGGAGTGCAGTGGTGCAATCTCAGCTCATGGCTACCTCCACCAGCTAGGTTCAAGTGATTCTTCAGCCTCAGCCTTGGGAATTACAGGTGTGCCACTCCATCCAGCTAATTTTTGTATTTTTAGTGGAGATGCCATTTTGCCATGTTGCCTAGGCTGGTCTCAAACTCCTGGCCTCAAGTGATCGGCCCACCTCAGCCTCCCATAGTGTTGTGAATACAGGCATGAGCCACTGGGCCCGGCCCATAGTTCTCTTTTTAAATATATGAGTCATGTTGTTTTATGTAAATGCACGTGTGTGTGTGCATGTGTACATGTGTGTATTCCTTTTATCCATATAACTACATACCCTGCTTTTAGCCACTTTATATTAACAAAATGTTTCTATGTTATTATATATCACCTTAATGGTTAAATATTCTTCCATGAGGTAATCATAGCAAAATTACATATAAAATCCCTTATAATTCAACATTCAAATCTTTTTTCTTTTTTTGGATCACTGACATCTACAACACCCACTAAAAGCATTAAACATCTTTTTAATTTTTTTTCAAAATCTATATCAGTTCTTTGATATATATCAAAAGAATTGAAATCATTTGCTGAGACACGTGAGCATTTAACAGGTTTTTGGTACATATTGCAATATTGTTCTTCATGGTAGTATTTGAGAATTCCCATTTCACCTTCCACAAAGGGAGAAAAACACATTTTGTTCAGGAAAATGCTGTAGAAAAATTAATAATTTCATTGACTTGGAAAAGAAAGTTTAACATATGTAGAGGAAAATTCTGTTGGTGAGTGAAATGCTTTTTTCTACTATGCTGAATTTTTCTATATTTATCTGGGTTCAGATAGGAAGACATTTAAGTAAAAATATATGTATAAATAAGCCTTTAAAGAAATGTATATCTTTAAGCAATAGAAGTTTTAAAATCTGTGAGTAAATCAGTTTTATAGTTATAATTCTTGTTTTTCAATAGTCTTACATAAATTTCTGAATAATATATTTCATTCAGTAGACCCTCTTTTAAATTTAATTTTATAAATAGTTTATCCTCAGTTTGTACATGTTCTATAAATAATTAGTGAGCCAAGTAGGCTTACATTTAGGAAAACTCAGGGCGATTTCTGAAAAGTTGGAAATTTTCTTACTTGCCCTTTCTGCCTTAAACAAACATCAATTCTTTTTTTTAATTGCATGTGTATGTGTGTATTTTTTTAAATAGGGTCTTTCTTTGTCTCCTAGGCCTGGGTAAAGTGAAATGATCACAGCTTACTGCAGCCTCAACATCTTAGACTTAAGCAGTCCTCCCACCTCAGCCTCCTAAGTAGCTAGAACCACAGCTGTGCACCACCACACAAGCCAAGTTTTTTTGTTTTTGAACAAAAACTTGTTTAAAACCAAGTGTTGCCCAGGCTGGTCTTAAACACCAGGACTCAAGAAGAACAACTGTGAAATTTATACATCACCTCTCAACAGAACAAGTGGAGCCAAGAAGAAATTGGAATGAAAGAAAGAAGAAAGTAATTTTCAACCTAGAATTCTGTACCCATTTTAAATACTCTTCAGAAAAAACAGTGAGAAAAGACATTTCTAAAGAAAAAACTCAAGGAACTTAATCAACTGTAGATTTTCACTGAAAGTAATAATTCAGGCAGAAAGAAAACTCTCTTAGAGAATAGTTTTTGAGAGGTGGAGGAAAATTATAGGATAAAAATAGTGGTGTGGTGTGTGCATGTGTGTGTGTGTAAAATTGATACATAATTGTTACATATCATAATATGTCATTGATATATAGCAAGCTAAAATGTATCATGGTATAACATTAGTATATGTATAAAATACACACATTTATATGTGTGTATTCATGAATATTTATGTAATAATACTATTGGCTTTTGGGTTTTAAAATGTAGATATAATTGACAAATAAACAAATTTTGTTGATGTGGTGTCAGATCTTTGCATTATGTGGGAAGAAGTAGTGTATTATTACACAAGTTCTTCTTCTCTATGCCAAACCCAAAATAGCCATTTAAGTTTTGTACAGCATAACTTTGAAGAAGATAGCATGAAAAAATAAATCAATAAAATGCAATTTTTCAAAAGCATCAAGAAATGAAGAAATAAAGGAGTTTGAATTGATGGAGGCTAGGGATAAATTAAATGATAATTAAAAACTAATATATCAATAATTAGTTTTAATATGCATAGATTTAATGCTCTAAATACAAGAAAGCAAATGTTAAACTGTGTGGCTAATTGTAGTTTCCATAGAGGTCCTTAACTACATCTTCCATTCCATATTGTCTCCTACAATATGAATTTCTTACATGTTGATCATGAGATGAAATCAGATTCCATTCCCATGAATCTTGGCGAGTTCTTCAGGTTGGAAGTGAGACTGTTATTTTTGAGTCTGAGTCATGTAGGGAAACTTCCCTACGGTCTGTGGGAATTTTGCACTTGAGACCCTGAACCTACTTATAGGAAGAATATCTATTAATGCTGTAGGGAAAACATGTCAAATGGAGAGGACACAGAAAACAGCTCAGGTTGGATGTTCTCATCTTTAACTCATCTCATGACCAAGCCTTCAGCCCAGCTATCACGTGACCCCTGACACCACACTTCCCAACTGAGGCTGCTATATGACAGTGCACACTGCTGTGCCTGAAGTCCTTATCCACAAATCCCATGAGAATTTGAGGTTATCTGCTACAGAGCCATAATATCTCTAACTGACTGTGGATTAAAGTCAACAAAAACTAACAGATGCTGCTTACCAGAGGCATTCCTAAAATACAAACTAATTCAGACTAAAATAATGAAAAGTAGAATGGATTTTCAGCTCTAAATAATATAACTGACTTTGTCACATTAATATCTGTCAAAGCAGACTGTTCTTCTCATTTATTATGCTTTAGGTTCTTGGGTATATGTGGAGAACTTGCACATTTGTTACATGAGTATACACGCTGCAACCAATGACTCGTCATCTACATTAGGTATTTCTCCTAATGCTATCCCTCCCATAGACCCCCAGCCCCTGACAGGACCTGGTGTGTGATGTTCACCTCCATGTGTCCATATGTTTTCATTGTTCAACTCCCACTTTTGACTGAGAACATGTGGTGTTTAGTTTTCTGTTCTTGTGTTAGTTTGATGAGAATGATGGTTTCCAGCTTCATCCATGTCCCTGCAAAGGACATGAAGTCATCTTTTTTATGGCTGCATAGTATTCCATGGAACATATTTGCCACATTTTCTTTATCCTATCTATCATTAATGGGCATTTGGGTTGGTTCCAAGTCTTTGCTATTGTGAATAGTGCCACAATAAACATATACGTGCATGTGTCTTTACAGTAGAATGATTTATAATCCTTTGGTTATATAAACAGTAATGGGATTGCTGGGACAAATGTTATTTCTAGTTCTAGATCCTTGAGGAATTGCCACTCGGTCTTCCATAATGGTTGAATTAATTGGCAATCCCACCAACAGTGTAAAAGTGTTCTTATTTCTCCACATTCTCTCCTACATCTGCTGTTCCCTTTTCTTTCTTTCTTTTTTTTTTTTTTTTGAGACAGAGTCTCACTCTGTTACCCAGGCTGGAGTGCAGTGGCACAATCTCAGCTCACTGTAAGCTCCGCCTCCCAGGTTCAGGCCATTCTTCTGCCTCAGCCTTCCGAGTAGCTGAGACTACAGGCGTCCACCACCATGCCTGGCTAATTTTTGTATTTTTAGTAGAGACGGGGTTTCACCATGTTAGCCAATATGGTCTTGATCTCCTGGCCTCGTGATCCACCCACCTCAGCCTCCCAAAGTGCTGAGATTGCAGGCATGAGTCACTGCGCCCGGCCTGTTATTTCCTAACTTTTTAATGATTATCATTATAACTGATGTGAGATGGTATCTCACTGGGGTTTTGATTTGCATTTCTTTAACAACCAGTGATAATGAGATTTTTAAAATATGTTTATTGGATGCATAAATGTCTTATTTTGAGAATTGTCTGTTGATATCCTTTGTCCACTTTTTTATGTGGTTGTTTTTTTTCTTGTAAATTTGTTAAAGTTCTTTGTAGATTTTGGATATTAGCCCTTTGCCAGATGGATAGATTGCAAAAAGTTTGTCCTATTCTGTAGGTTGCCTGTTGACTTTAATGATAGTTTATTTTGCTGTGCAGAAGCTCTTTAGTTTACTTAGATCCCATTTGTCAACTTTGGCATTGGTTGCATTGCTTTTGGTGTTTTAGTCATGAAGTCTTTGCTCATGCCTATGTCCTGAATGGTGTTGCCTAGGTTTTCTTCTAGGGTTCTTATAGTTTTAGGTATTATATTTAAGTCTTTAATCCATCTTGAGTTAATTTTTGTATAAGGTGTAAGGAAGATACCCAGTTTCAGCTTTCTGCGTATAGCTAACCAGTAAAGCAGACTTTAAGAGAAATATGAGCTGGGTGCGGTGGCTCATGCCTATAATCCCAGCACTTTGGAAGGCCGACGTGGTTGGATCCCCTGAGCCAGGAGTTTAAGACTAGCCCAGTCAATATGGCAAAACCCTGTCTATAGTAAAAAATACAAAAATTCACCTGGCATGGAGGTGCATGCCTGTAATTCCAGCTACTGGCAAGGCTGAGAGAGGAGAATTGCTTGGATCTGGGAGATGGAGGTTGTAGTGAGCAAGCATCATGCCACTCCACTCCAGCCTGGGCAACAGAGTGAAACTCTTTATCAAAAAATAAATAAATAAATAAAATGAAAGGATTACAGAAAGAGAACAAAATATTCACATATCAAAAAGTAGTAGCTGTTCACAAACATTAAGCACATAGATAGTAGACAGCTACTGACCATACAGGACAATATTGAAAATGGCTATGTGCTGTGGTGTACAGATGTTTATTTATGCCCTTGTTTTCAATTCTTTTGGGTGTATTCTGAAAAATGGAATTGCTGGATTATATCGTAATTATATTTTCTATTTATTGAAAAAGCATCTTACTGTTTTCCACAGTGACTGCACCATTTTTTAAATTCCTACTAGTAATATACAAGGTTCCAATTTCTCCACATCTTTACCAACACTTGTTATTTCCTAAGATTTTTATTTGTTGCTTTTGACAATATCCAATTTAATAGTTATCAAGTAATATCTCATGGTGTTTTCAATTTTTACTTCCCTAATGATTAGTGCTACTGAGCTTCTGTTTATGAGCTCTTTGGTTATTTCCATACCTCCTTGGAGAAATGTCTATGGAAGCTACCTAATTGTCTATCAGTGAATGAGTAGTGCTTGTGATCTATACATACAATAATACATTATTCAGCTTTAAAATGGAAGGGAATTCTGGCACATGCTATAACATGGATAAATCTTAAGGACACCATACAAGGTGAAATATGCCATACTAAAACAAACAAATGGACAAACAGAGAAATACCATAGGATTCTACTTATATGAGATACCCAGAGTAGTAAAATTCATAGAGAAATAAAATACAATGGTGGTACTCAGAGGCTGATGTTGGGAGGAGGATCTAAGGAGTTCTCGTTTAATAGATGCAGTGTTTCAGTTTTACAATATGAAAATTGTTCTGTGAATGGATTCTGTTGATGGTTGCCCAAAATTGTGAAGTTACCAAACATTGCTTAGCTATACATTTACAAATTGCTATAATTATAAATGTTATGCATTTTGTATTTTATCTTTTTTTTTGAGACAGAGTCTGGTCTTTTGCCCAAGCTGGGGCATAATGGCTTGCTGCAACCTCCGACCTTGGGGTTCAAGCAATTCTTCTGTCTTAGCTACCTGGGTAGCCGAGACTGCAGGCAAGTGCCACCATGCCCAGCTAATTTTTGTTATTTTTAGTAGAGATGGGATTTCACCATGGTGGCCAGGCTGGTCTTGCACTCCTGACATCAAATGATCTACCTGTCTTGGCCTCCCAAAGTGCTAGGATTACAGGCATAAGCCACTGTGCCTGGTCTATGTTATCTTAATTTTAAAAATAATTTTACAAAATAGCAACAGCTAATAAAAAGTGATTATAGCTATAAATAGGGAGAGCAGATCTGTAACACATGTAACACAGGACTGCTAGGCAATATATATATAAAGAACATCTACAAACAAATGAGAAGAAGACAGACAATTAATCAAGTACAAATATATACATTTTTTTTAATGAGAGGGTGAGAACCCAAACCTCTTCCAAAGAGAAGATAGAAATGGACAATAGAAGGCCCTCAGCTTGTTGAGTAAACATATATAATATATTAATAATAAATTAATAATAAATTAACAATAGAAAGTAATTAACTAAATACTACATAATTATACTCCACTATATTATATTATAATAATTATTATGTTACATAATTATATTGTAACATTAAATTGTAACATTAAATTCATTATAACAATAATTATATTGTTATAATGAATTTCATTATTATTTTAATCAAATAATTAGCAAAGTAAAAATACATTTATTGAATAATGCCCCAGTGGAATATCATTATAAACTCAACAATGCCACATTGAAAAATAAATAGACAATTCTGAGTATGGAGTCGAATGTGATACAATTCTTATGCATTGCTGTGGAAAATATAAATTTCTGTAAGTCAGGAAAACTGGCTTGGCAATAACTCCTAAACTGAACCTGCCCATTCATTGTGAACCATCAATTCCATGCCAAGATCTATCTATACATTACAGACCATCAAGAACATGTGTTCAAGGTGGCACAATATGTATGTATAGCATCATTATCTTAATAGCCAAATATAAGCAGCCTAAGTGTTAATGAGAATTTGATTCTTTCAATGCACTGGGTTACCATACAGAACTGAAGGAGTGAATCATATCTGCATCATACCAAATAGATGCATTTCATGAACACATTGGTGAGTGCCCTAAGACAAATGGTTAATAATATGTCCTCCAGATGTACTTATATAAATATGAAATACAGCTAAATAGATTCACAATAGTAGAATGAAGGCAGTCTACAGAGTAAGAAGCAGTCATTGTAAGGACACAATTTTTAATGTGCTTTAAATACTCTGTTTTTTAATTGGTGGTAGGAGGTATGTTCACTTTGTAATAATTCACTAACCTACACAGTTTGTATTTGTACATTTGGCTGCAGAAGTTTACTTTAATAAAAAAATGTCCAGGCTAGACACAGTGGCTCAGGCCTGTAATCCTAACACTTTGGGAGGCTGAGGCAGGAGGATTGCTTGAGCCTAGGAGTTGAAGACCAGCTTCAGCAACACAGAAGGATCTCATACCTACAATAAAAGAGAAAAATTTAGCCACATGTGGTGGCATGTGTCTGTAGACCCAGCTCCAGAGGCTGAGACAGAAGGATCACTTGAGCCCAGGAATTTGAGGCTGCATTCAGCTATGATCATGCCTCTGCACTCCAGCCTAGATGGTATAGGAAGACCTTGTGTCTAAAAAAAACAAATTCAAAAAGTAGTGTAGGTAATATTACCCTACACTTAATCCTGCATCACACACATATGCATGTGAATATCTACATATTCTTATGATTCTTATGTGTGTGTATGTATACACAGCATGTTAGCAAGAACAAACCAGCAATCCCAAGAGGACCCACAGACCATCTGAAGGAAGTAGACTGCTCCTGCAGGACCCGGAAGACCTCTCCAAAACTCTGAGTGTCGCAACTGCGGAAGTGAGAAAGGGATGTCGACATGGTTATACATTGAGAAAGAAACTTTTTATGTGTATACACATACACACACTCCTCCATATTTTTAAACATGTTACCATCTGTAGCAAGTATGTGTATATAAGTATGCCTAATCAAGTATGTGCATACAAATTGCCTGATTTATCCAGAAATGCATAGTATGTATTTAAATTACTATAAGCCATAAATATGTATTTATGAATCATAACATAAAATACTATTTGAGTCGGTTTTAATTTATTAATACAGATGTAACAAATTACCACATCTTTACTGTCTTAAATAACACAAATTCATTCTCTTACAGCCCTGGAGTCAGAAAGTATAAAATCAAGGTGTTAAAACGTCTGTGTTTCTTCTCGAGGCTCTAGGGAGACATCTGTTCTCATCTTTTTCAGCTGATAGAGTCTGTCCTTTTTTCTTGGCCCATAATGAATTCTTCGCATTCTTCCAAATCGTTTTTCTGTATTCAAATCATCCACTACAAAACTCTGATTCTCATACCTCCCTTTTATATATTAATACCTTCATGATTATATTGTGCCCACCAGGACAATCCAAGATCATCTTTCCATCTCACAATCCTTTACTTAATTATACCTGGAAATTCCTTTTTATCTTGCAAGCTCGTGAATTTACAGCTTCTGGAAATTTTTGTCAGGATGCAGCTTTGGAAAATCATCATTTAGTCTACTATGTGGCTTATGATTTAGGAGTGGCATTATTATGAAAAATTTTCTTTTTTAATCTCATGTTTACAACAGGGTTTCTATCACAATCATGAAAGACTTCTACAACAATTTATTTTGCTGTAGGAATATAACTGATTTTAGAATAACAGTTTCTTTCTCAACATATAACCATGTCAGCATGTCTTTCCCACCTCCACTTTTGGGGCTCACAATTTTGGCTGTGTCTCCTGGGTCCTGCAGGAGCAGTCTGCTTCCTTCAGAGGGTCTGTGGGTGTTATGGGGATTGCTGGTTTGTTCTTGCTGACATGTCATGTTTTAAATTTTGGAAATCTAGACTCCTTCACAATCATTTAATCTCAGTATATTCTAAAAATTATTATATTAAAACCATATAGTACTCATTTTTCTCTATTCATCCATTTTTCCTTTTTTCCTATACTTTTTATGTTTCCCATGTGATTAAAAAATACTTGGATTAAAATATAAGTTGCTTCTGTCTTTATTATTAAATGAAGTTTTGGTGAAAAGAATACCCTTATATTCTTTCTAATTGAAAATTTGAGATGCACATAGACATATGTGTAATTTGAACTAAACTCGTAATGTTTAATCATTTTTCTAATGTTCACCTTCTTTACCATCACATCTTGTTAACTCTCAGGTGTACCTGGCAGATGGTAAGTCCATATGCTATGGATTAAAAATGTGCTATCATAGCTATTCCTTTTAAACATCAGACATTTTCTGGTGTATTTTTAACTTTTGGGGATTCATGATCAAAGATATAACAAGCAATAGAGTCAACACTAAAAGATATGGCTTCTCCAGCCATGCTAAGATCTCATCTGAAGTTCTCAAGACCCATCTAGAAGTCTTCAGACATTATTTTTGCACTAAAGAGGATTTTACTTTAACGCTCTTAGGCACTTACTGTGAAGCACAGACGTTAGAATCTGAAGACATTGCTTGGGATGAATGAATTCCAGGTGGAGAGAACATCCCTCACTGACTGACACATATGGCTGAGAGGACTCTGAATATTGCTGGCCCTATTCTATTTTTCTTATTCAGAAGGACAGATTTGAATGTATTGATGATTTTGCCATGGAGCACTATTAATCCCAGGCATTAGGAAGGAAAGCCTTCTTTTAGCTTACATGTTTAGTTAACAACTAATTTTACATACCTACTCTCTCTGAGGACATAACCCTTGCCTTTAAGGACAAGTTTTATTTATTTGCTTTATTGCATTTCTCTGATACCTATTCATTCTACCACTGTAGATTGTGTACAAGTCCTCCTTGACTTTTACATTGTAAACCAAATAGAAATTTCCCCATCCTTCTTGGCCCTTTGATCAATGTTTCCACACTACTGTCCACTCCCAGTGATTGCAAATAATTTTTTCCCTTGCCTTCAAAGATCTAACTCTTTCCTGATTTTCCTGACTCTCTGATCTTGGCTTCCCTATCAATGTTGATGTCCACCTGTTCTACCTGTCTCTTAGATGCTGTCTGCCATATTGCAGAATCTTACAGTTACTTCTTTTGGCATTGACGTAGTCTTCTTTTTCTATCTTGGGTATTCACTGGCCATCCTTAAGTTCTT
This sequence comes from Homo sapiens, assembly GCF_000001405.40. Lineage (NCBI taxonomy): Eukaryota > Metazoa > Chordata > Mammalia > Primates > Hominidae > Homo > Homo sapiens. The sequence continues at coordinate 16,661,767 of NC_000024.10, forward strand.
ATGAAAACACCATGGTGCCTCCACCACTGATGGATGTCAGCCCCTCCCTAGAATTCTTTATCACATTGCTACTGATTTTACTGTGTTTATCTTTCAGGTCACAGATGACATGTATTACCAATATTTTCAGAAGAACATCTCCTGACTGTTTGTATGTGAACAACATTTTCATGTCACCATTCACACTCACAATATTTTATATTCCCTTCAGATTATTGGTAAAAGTTGCAAGGTTATTCTTTATTTGTGGACCAGTGTCTGCCACACTACTAGATTATAAGCTTCATGAAAGCAAAGGAATGTATATAGTACTCATCTTTTAACTCCTATGTCATTGCCTACCAATCCCATAGGCTGATGTGCTGATATATACTCTATTTCTCAGAGCCTCGCATGACTCTGGTCATGCAAGTTTTGCTTTTATTTGTAATTATGGGAAATATTAGAGTTCCCATAATTTCTTTTAGTCTGAATTATGATGGAGGAAAACCTCCAAACAGTGAATAAACCATCATGGTGTAGTGCACAATCGAGGCAGAGTTTATAAGTGTTTCACAAATGATGGTATAGTCAGTTCTACCAGTGACAAGAACGATCAGAAAAAGCCTAATTAATGAGACTTAACTAATAAGACTTGATTTAACTTAGCTGAGTTATAGTCCAAGAAAATGCAGTGCTATGGCAACACAGATGGGCACAGAAATCAACCAGAAGATAAGAAAATAGTTAACAAAAGATTCTTATGAGCAAGTCGGCAAGATTTCTGCCTGGGGATCCCAGATGTATGTGTACTAAGATTGCACCATAAGGTTTTGATGAAACATCTTCAGAAGACTGAGTGTCCTTAGATTGCTGACATTTAAAGAAGAAAGAAACGTACTGAAATATATCATTTAGGAAGACCATTCCATCCACCCTGCCAATGATTATTGGCAGAATTCTGCAATGAAATGCATGGTGTCAACTGTAGTTCAAGAGAATTAACATACAACAAAACTAGGGCTTGCATTTATTGTCTACAGCTTCTGTAAAAAATTGCCACAAACTCAGCATCTGAAACAATTCAAATGTTTTATCTTGCAGTTCTGCAGAAGGTTTGGTGATCAAAATTAAGGTGTCAGCAGGACTGCATTTCCTTCTGCAGCCTCTGGGGGAGAAACTGTTTCCTTGACAGTTCCCAAATTTTAGAGGTCATCCACATTCTTTTGGATATGGTTTTATCCATTTTCAATGCCAGTAGTACTACATGTCTTTTTTATAATTCTTCCACAGTTATTTCTCCCCGGTCACAGCTGGAAAATGATCTCTGATTTTACGGACTCATGGATAAAATTGGGCCCACTTAAATAATCCAGGATCATCTCATCATTACAAAACCTACACACTTGATTACATCTTCCAAACTTGTTTTTCCATGTAAGCTGACACATTCAGAGTTTGCAGAGGATGCAGGCATTTTTGGAGAGACATTATCCTGACTATCACAGGGTTTATATCTGATTATTTGGGTCATAACATGTAAGATAAGAAAGTTGTGTAAATTTTATCCAGGATTTTTGTGTGTGTCTTTTTGTTAAATCCATTTCAGATCATGCTTGCATAGTCTTACTAATTGTCTTGAGGAATACATTGTACCTTAATTGAGCAGCACAATGTGTATACATTCAGCTTGCAATGGGCATTCTGAGGACTGGCATATAAAATAAGATAATAAAGAAAAAACACTTTATGTGTAATTTGAGAAAATATGACTATTAATTGCAGGATATACATTTGCAGCGTTACTGGAATGTGTAGTCTCTGGCTTTACAAGTAAATATTAAGTGTAAATGTAAATCAGATCTGATGAAAGAAACAGAAAAATTCTAGCACACAAATTTTAAATGCAATCAACAATCTCAGTCATTTTTTTTTAAAGAATTGGGTTTATGAGTGAGAGAGAGAGAGACAGAGCCAGGGAAGGAAAAATAAATAGATTGAAATTAATACTGACAAACACTTGTAAAAATTATTATATAAAATTGATAATACTCATAGATTCCTTTGAAACAAAACACATTCTGTTAATAATTTAAAAATATGTGACTTAAAAACAAATTATCTTTCTTCAAATACATCTCCTTACATGAACTTGAAAGATGAAAAACATTAAAATACATAGACTAAGTGTTAGTCTCACTAGTGTGAGCTTCTCATGGTAAACTTTAGTTGCAGAAAGATACTCCAACTGTCTTCAATTATTTAAGAAATTTAAGCAATGTGTTTGATTTTTGCAAGAAGACAGGATATCCAGGAGCCCATTGTATTATATTATGTTTCTCTTGTTAAATAGAACAACAAAACCTGTCACTAAATAGTATTTGATAGGAAATGAATTTCAATAAAATGAGATTGTTTTTCCTTATGAGGAATGTTTAATTGAACTCAAATTGGAAAGTATGTTAATGCAGAAATTACACCTGCTACAATTTCAATAATATATATTAAGAGGAAGAGAGAGGAGCAGCTTCAGGTCAGTGGTATCAGTTCTTCCAGGAATCAAATGACTCAGCTCTGCTTTTCCAACATTGTCATCAAGAAGTGTTCCATCATTTAAAACATTGATGATAGCTGATATTTGTCTGATTCTTCTAAAGGAAATTTAATTTTTGTGTTTTTTTCCTGCTTTAAATTAACGATGACGAAGTTCTCACTGTGATCTATATATGTAATTGTCTTCTCCATAATTAATGTATCAGTATGTTAAGAAATCACTTCAGATTTATAGTCTTCTATTAAAGCCTGAGATATACTTGGCATAAAAGAGCTGTTTCTAGTGTTTTTCAACTTACATCATATTGGTACTAAAGATATTAAAAGGAATAGATTATCTCTTCCTAGAGGTGAGCCAGTAGTATAACCACACCTTAAAAAGGTTGCACTTTTGTACCAAAATAGATAGACATATTTTTCCTTTAATGACAGTAATAAACTACTCCTAATAGAAACTCATGAGATATAAAGCAGTATTCATTCTAAGAAACATACACCAAATTCTATACAGTTCTTTATTTTTTCTTTCTTACTTTGTTATGAAATGTGTTTGCCTGTGTGTGTGAGTGTGTGTGTGTCTGAGTGTGTGTCTGTTTGAAGGAGGGACTACTTTACTAACTGTAGCTTGTGCATTTTAGTCCAACATAAACTGTTGCTCAAACACAGAAAGTTTTCATAAGTAGAGCATTAAAATGTAATTACTACAGAGGCAATACCAAGAGACAATAGAACACATCCTTCTCTTCATATCCAGCGAAAGAAGACCTATGTTAAAGGAGGGGTGATTTTGTTTTACTATGGATTAGGTATAAGTTGCATTCACCTGCAGTCACCCTGAAAGGGGTAGGAAAGAATTGAAGAGAAGACAAGTAGATTTAAAGGAAACTGGGAAAGAAGAGATTCTATCAGGGACCAGTAAACTTTTCTTTATAGGAGTAGAATGTAGAATGTAGTTATTTTAGGCTTTCTAGTGTCTGTTGCAGCTACCTAAGTCTATAATTGTAGCACAAATGCAGCCAGAGACAATAGGTAAACCAATGGGTTTGATTGTGCATTTATGAAATTCCGTCTGCAAAAACAAGCATTCAGACAGACATAATCCACCAGCTGTGGTCTGGAGCCCCCTGGTTTATAGCTAAAGTACAAACATGATTCTGTTGCTTTGTTAGACATTCCAAATTCTCAACCTTGTAATTGATTTTTTTTTCTTGTGTTTTTGAGACAGTATCTCACTCCATTGCCCAGACTGGAGCGCACTGGCACAATCAAAGCTGACTGCAAATTCAAGTTCCCAGGCTCAAGAGATTCTCCTGCCTCAGCCTCCTGAGCACGCAGGACAGGCATGAACTACCAACCCAGCTAATGTGATTTTGTATTTTTTGTAGAAACAGAATCTTACTATCTTTCCCAGGCTGGTCTTAAGCTCCTGGGCTCAAGTAATCCACCCACTTTGGTTTCCAAAAATGCTGGTGTTACAGGCATGAGCCACTGCATCCAGCCTGATTATGCATTTTTTAGTAGACTTTATTTTGTCCATGCTTTAAGACAATGCCTATCCTTAGGTGGAGAAGTTTAGTAGTCATGTCTTTGGAGGCTTGCCCCTAGACCACAAGTCTCACAGCTGGTTACACTAGAAGGTTGCTTGTCTGCATAGATTTCCCATGATTTTATTCTTTCTACAGTTCTCAGATGACTGCAAAACTCAGTCAACGTGTCCCATCAAGGAAAGATCTCAGCCTTTACCCCTGATGCCCGATGTCCAGTCTCCCAAAACCAAGATCCTGATTCTCTGTTCCTTAGTTTAGTATTATTTCATTTGCATGCTAAATGACACCATCCATAGGCAGGCTGCATCAGGTGCCTTTCATAGTGATGTCAATTTGTTTTATAGCCAACAGTATTTGAATGTAATCTCACAATTTCCTCTTCATTTCATTGCAAAGTTATTTCATTGCTATCATTAGGCTCAGTTTCTGTAAAGCTAGGAACCTTCAAAGATACTTGCCCTTGCTCATTCTTATACCTTGGCTTGCTGCTTATTTGTCCTTAGACCCAAGCCATAGCCACTTCTCCAGCAAGAGATACTGGTCATTTCCACACTACTTAAACTCTGCTTTTCCATTAGAGAGCCATCACTTTGACCCACATCATCCTCCTAGACCCTGCTGATGCTATTGGAACATTAAAAAAAAAAAAGACTTCAAAATTTCATGATGTCCATGACTACCAACTATTCAGAAGCCTTTTGAAGATTCCTTCTTCCTCTCTTTATTATTATGCCCTCATTTCACACCCAGTGATTCTATTCACAGCCTTCTGTTCTTGCTTCTCATCTTGTGGTATTAACTGGGTTTTACTAGCCTTTGATGTCCAGCTCAAATTTTTTAAAACTTTAAAATTTTTTGTTTTATTTTAGATTTAGGTGGTACATGCATCGCAGTTTTGTTACGTGGTTATATCGTGTAATTATGGGATTTGGGCTTCCGTTAGTGAGCCCATCACCCAAATAGTGAACTCTGTAGCTAATAGGTACTTTTTTTTTCTTTTTTTGAGGCAAAATCTTCCTCTGTCACCCAGGCTGAAGGGCAGCAGTGAGATCTCAGCTCACTGCAACCTTTGCCTCCCAAACTCAAGCAATTCTCATGTTTCAACCACCTGAGTAGCTGCGGCTATAGGTGTGTACCAAACTACCAGCTAATTTTTGTATTTTCCTTTTAGTAGAAATGGGGTTCTGCCATGTTGACAAGGCTGGTCTTGAACTCCTGACCTCAAGTGATCCACCTGTCTTGGACTCCCAAAGTGCTGGGATGATAGGGCTGAGCCACCGCACACAGCCCCCAAGAGGTAATTTTTCAACCCTCACTATCCTCCCATCATGCCCTCTTTTGGAGTCTCCAGTGTTTATTATTCCTCACTGTATGTCCATGTGTACCCAATTTTTAGTTCCCACCTATCGGAGAGAACATGCAATATTTCACCTTCTGTTTCTGAGTCATTTCACTTAGGATAATGGCCTCCAGATCCAGCCATGTTGCAGCAAAACATTATTTAATACTTTTTTATGGCTTAGTAGTATTCCGTAGTGTATACATACCACATTTCCTTATCTGATCATCTGTTGATAGAAACTTAGGTTGAATCCCTATCTTTGCTATTGTGAATAAGGCTGTGATAAACATGAGTTCTGATGTCATTTTGACAAAACAATGTTTTTGAGACCGTCTTGCTCTGTTCCCCAGGCTGGAGTGCAGTGGCATAATATTGGCTTGCCAGGTCACTACAACCTCCACCTCCCAGATTCAGGCTATTCTTGTGCCTCAGCTTCCCAAGTAGCAGGGATTACAGGTGTGTGCCACCACATCTGGCTAATTTTTTGTATTTTTTGTAGACTCAGAGTTTCGCCCTGTTGGCTCAGCTGGTCTTGAACTCCTGACCTCAAGCAATCCGCCTGCCTTGGCCTCTCCGAGTGCTGGAATACAGTTCTGAGCCACCATGCTTGGCCTCAATTTCATTTTATTTGGTTAGAAACACTGTAGTGAGTTTGCTGGGTGGAATGACAGTTCTGCATTTAGCTCTTTGAGAAATCTCTGTACTGTTTTCCATAGGAGCTGAACTAATTTACATTTCCACCAATGTGTTTCCTTTTCTCTACAACCTGTATCCTTGCTAAATCAAATCAAATTTTTATGTAAAATTTTGATGAATATACTTATCTACTCACCAACCCAGCCCAGTCAATGATTTCATCATCAAACCAAACAATGTATTTTAAAATAACGACAGTTACTTCTCTACTTCTTCTTGCTCAAATCCAGCTGAATCTCCCATTTCAGTCCTTTTCACTTCAATGCTGTCCTCTTTTTTTCTCATGAGTAGAAGGTAATTGCAGTCTTTTTTTTTTTTTCTTTTGTTGAGACAGAGTTTTACTCTCGTTGCCCAGGCTGGAGTGCAGTGGTAATATCTTGGTTCACTGCAACCTCCACCTTCCAAATTCAAGTCATTCTCCTGCCTCAGACTCCTGAGTAGCTGGGATTACAGGAGCCTGCTACCACGCTCAGCTATTATTTGTATTTTTAGTAGAGATGGGGTTTCACCATGTTGGCCAGGCTGCTCTTAAACTTCTGAGCTCAGATGATCTGCCTGCCTTGGCCTCCCAAAGTGTTGGGATTATAAGAGTGAGCCACTGCAAACCAGACTTTTTGCTGTTTTTAAAGAGATGGGATCTCACTCTGTCACCCAGGCTGGAATGCAGAAGTGCAATCCAAGCTCACCGCATCCTCAACCTTCTGGGCTTAAAGCCATTCTTCCAGCTCAGTCTCCTGAGTAGCTGGGTCTACAGGCATGTGCCAGCATGCCTGGCTAACTTTTGTATTTTTTATAGAGATAAGGTCTTGTTATTTTGTGCAGGCTGGTCCCAGACTCCTGGCCTCAAGCTATCTTCCTGCCTCAGCCTCCTGAAATGCTGGAATTACAATTTTCTGACTTCTTGAGTATGTTCTTAAAATGAGCTTTAATTATATTTTGAATAATAATAATAATTAGCTGTAATACAAAATGAATTATGTTAATTGCTTCTTTTGTATTCAAAATAAGTATATCTTCTTACCTGGAGCATGAAAGCTGCTTTCAAACTGGTCTTTCTACTTCTCAACACTTAAGTCCGTACATAGCACCCAAGAGGTTCCTAAAAATATTTGACTTCATGTCACTCCTCTGCTGAAATTATCCAGTGTTTCTACCTTCTACTCAGAATTAAGGTCAAAATGCTGAAAATAACATAAGTTACCATGATCAGATAACCCAGTTGCTTATCTGATATCTGACCCTACCAATTTCCTGCTTATGTAATTCAGCTGCTATTATACTGATCTTATTGCTCTTCCAAAAAATTACCAAACATAGTTTTTCTTTTGCAATTTCATTTTCCTGGTACTCTGTTCTCCCAGATGGTTAGTTTATTCTAATTTTTGTGCTATTATCACATCAACAGTAATTCATTTGTCACCCATGATTTTTTTAATTATCTATCATTTATTTTTATTTATTTTTTATTATTATACTTTAACTTAGAGGGTACATATGCAGCCATAAAAAAGGATGAGTTCGTGTCCTATGTAGCGACATGGATGAAGCTGTCACCTACAATTTTTAAAAAGTGAATCCCACACACATTGTATGAAGTTCCGTCTCCTACCACATACTTTCCCATGAGAACTGCCCACATCTAATGAGCTACACACGTTACTCATTTATTTAATGTCCTGTCAGTTTTCCACAACATAATGTAATCTCTGTCAAGGCAGGAATGCTGACATTTTAATCAGTACTGTACCTCAAATAATCTAAAAACTGTCTAGCTTACTGTTAATAATAAAAAAATGCTAAATTAATGAAACAGTATTTTAAATGTTTATTTCAGAATGTTTTCCCTGTGTTCGCCTCCCCAAAACAAACAACGTATTCTTTAACTTTAGGCAATGTGTTGTATGTATTCTTGTTTGGCACAAAATATATTTTGGGTGATGTGGCAAACAGAGTAATACCACTGTACAAAAATAAGTAAGTAAGTAAATACATAAATAAATAAACCCTAGAAACTATGTCCACAACCCAATCCCTGGAACCTATGGATATGTGACTTTACATGGCAGAAGGTGTTTTGCAAATGGAATTTAAGGATTTTGAGGTGGATGGGTTATTATGGAATTACTGGGGTAAGCCCAGTTATTTTTTTATTTTGTTTATTTATTTTGAGAAGTAGTCTTGGTCTGTCATTCAGGCTGGAGTGCAGTGGCACAATCTCAGCTTACTGCAACCTCCAACTCTCAGGCTCAAGTGCTTCTCCTGCCTCAGCCTCTGAAGTAACTGGGATTACAGGCACATACCACCACACTTAGCTAATTTTTGTATTTTTAGTAGAGACAGAGTTTCATCACGTTGGCCAGGCTGGCATGAACTCCTGACCTCAAGTGATCCAAGGCATCAGCCTCCCAAAATGCTGGGATGGATTACAGGCTTAAGCCGCCACATCCAGAGGTTCCCAGTTTAATCATAAGAGTGCTTGAAAGTAGAAAAGTGAGGCAGAAAACAGTGTTCCGAGAGATGGCATTATAAGAAGAACTCCATGTCACTGTATTAGTCTGTTCTCACACTGATAATAAAGACATACCTGAGAATGGGTAATTTATAAATAAAAGAGGTTTAATTTACTCACAGTCCCTCATGGCTGGGGAGGCCTCAGGAAACTTAACCATCATTGTGGAAGGGGAAGCAAACATGTCCTTCTTCACATGGTGGCAGTGAGAAGTGTTGAGCAAAAGGGGGAAAAGCTCCTTATAAAACCATCAAATCTCATGAAAACTCAGTATCACAAGAACAGCAGCATGGGGGTAATCTTCCCTCTTATTCATTTATCTCCCACAAGGTTCCTCCCACAAAATGTGGGGGTTATGAGAACTATAATTCAAGATGAGATTTGGGTGGTTACATGATGAAATCGTATCAGTCCAAGTACTGATTGTGAGAATAGGAAGCTAGGGCCAAGGACCAGAGGGAATCTGGCCTTTGCAGAAGAAGCTAGGGAATCAACTGACTTACACAGACTCTGGAAGAAAACACAGCCCTACTGCATCTAGATTTTAGTCTAGGGAGACCCATGTGGGACTTGGAACCTCAAGAAATGGAAAATAATACATTTATGTCATCTTAAGCTACCCTATTTACAGTAACTTATTACAGCACTCACAGGAAACTAATAGAGATGGTATTTTTTTTAAAGACAGGGTCTTGTTCTGTTGCCCATGCTGGAGTGAAGTGGTGTAATCACATTTCACTGCAGCCTCAAACTCCTGAGCTCAAGTGATCCTCTTACCTCAGCATCCCAAGTAGCTGGGACTACAGATGATTGCCACCATGCCTGGCTAATTTATTTTTATGTTTGTAGAGATTGAGTCTCTACAAACTTTGCGAGGCTCCCACCTTAGCATCCCAAAGAGCTGGGAATACATGAGTGAGCCACTGTGTACGGTTTTATAAATGGTAATTCTATTGTTGCTAATGGTAGGTTTTTCCTAGTTTTCTATTTTACTAAGAGATGTATAAACACACTCAAAAATATCACAGACATGCCTTTTTTGACATGTGAAAATTGGCTAAAATCTCAAATCTCTCACTGTGGTCAAAATGTCAGAAATTGTTTTTCACTTAATCAATAAAATATAAAGACTGTTGATTGTCAGTGAACACATGCTCTGGAAAACCCTGTGGAGCCTTTCACATGAGTGTGTTGGTCCCAAGAATTATGAGGAAACATTGGACAGTCTGTGGAAAGCCTAGACCAGCAGTTGTAGATTTAATTTGGGTTGTTCTTTGGTGTTATGGTTTTTAACAAAATTCATCACTTCAGATGCAAGTGAATTAAGAGAGTCCAATCAATTTTCCTTGGGGACTGGAACAATGTTGGAAATATGGATAAGCTGTAGAGGGAGGCTCCTCTCATTATAAGCCATATTAAAGCACAACCCTCCACACAGTATTACAATATGGAAAAATATGACAAGACCCAGAGTGAAGATAAGAACTTTTAAATTTTAATTTTAATTTTTTGAGATGGAGTCTTACTCTGTCACCCAAACTGGAGTGCAGAGATGCAATCTTGGCTCACTGATATCTATGCACCCTGGGGTGAAGTGATTCTCCAGCCTCAGAATCCTAAATAGCTGGGACTACCAGCATGTGCCACCATGCCTGGCTAATTTTTGTATTTTTAGTAGAGGCAGGGTTTTACCATGTTGGCCAGGGTGGTCTCGAACTCCTGACCTCAAATGATCTGCCTGCCTTAGCTTCCAAAAGTGCTGGGATTACATGTGTGAGCCACCATGCCCATCCAAGACAAGTAGAACTTAAGCCAATTTTGCTCATCCAGCTTTCGAAATTAGAAAATCTCATTGTATCCTTGTGTTATATTCCATGATGCCTCCAAAGAAACAGAAGTAACAGAATATATAGAGATATATAAGAGGAGATTGGAAATTGGCTGACACGATTATGATGGCCAAGAAGTCCCACAATCTACCATCTGTGAACTGGAAGGAAGCCAGTGATGTTGTTTAGCCCAAGTCTGGAGGCCTGCAAACCAGGTGCTCACATGTCTGTGGTCAGGAGAGGATGAATATACTAGCTCAAGAAAAGAAAGCAAATTCACTGTGTCTCCACCTTTTTCTTCTATTCTGGACCTCAGTGAATTAATTCATACCCACCCACATTGGTGACATTGGATCTTCTCTACTCAGTCTACAGATTCCAATATTAATTTCTTCCTGAAATGCACTCATGGAAACACCAAAATAATGTTTCTCCAGCTACCTGGGTCTCCCCTTGCCCAGTCATGTTGACACATAAAATTAACCATTACAACTTCCCTTAGGCACTTTCAGATTTTCCTTGGAACTGTCAATGCCTTCTTTGTAGAAGGAGAGGCCCTAGAAAATTAGCATTTAGTGAAATAAGATGAACATGCCCGAAAGCCTATAAATGTCACAAAATTGAAGGATAATGAAAAAGTATTATGAAATCAAGTTAAAATGTTCACATGAAGTGATAGAGATTGTATAACTTGTTCTAATCTTTTATTTGGATGAACATTTGTCAATCTTAGCATTGTTGATATTTGGGATGTGATAAATCTTTGTGGTGGGGCTGTATTGTGTATTGCAGGATGTTTTGCAGCATCCCTGGATTCAACCTACCAAATGCCAGAAGCACCTAATTTCCCCTATTGTGACACCCAAAAATGCCTCAAGATATTGTGAAATATCCTCTGAGAGACAGATTTTACACCAGTCGAGATGTGCTGTGTTGCATTAAAATCAGAACAACATTTGTGGTCATTTGTTCAAATTACTAGAGACCTTGAATGTGATTCTCTATTTTAACTATGTCTTTTACAATACCAAGTTTCAGGAACATTTACGTATCAAATGAAGTGTGAAGTGTTGTTACCTATTTCAGGAGGATCATAGCTTCTCCTTTTATGTGCCACTATCTTGCAGCCACTCTGACATAGGAGAGCCACTTAAGGATTTTCAAACAGAGAAGACTTTGAAGGGAGAAATGTTCACAAGTATATTTGACCAAAAATTGAGAAGGGAAGGAATAAATAAAGAGAGAAGCAGAAACACAGAGGAAGAAAGAGAAAGAAGGAGAGAGAAGCAGAAAAAAAAAGAGAGGTACAGAGATAGACTTGCTAAATAAATTGAGCTTTTACTTTCTGTTCAATTTGAAGTAGTTTCTTGTTATTGTTCTGGCTCTGGTGTTAGTGGTTAGAACCAATGCAAATACAACCTTGATTAAATGGGGAGAAACAACTGCTGGCAAAACAAACAAACAAAGAACAAAAACAAAAAATGGAAAAGTCTGAGTAATTTTTTGGCTTTTTCTTTAACTTCCACAGACATTTTTTGAATACTTACATTGAGCTATTCTATTGCTGTGTTGTTTATAATATTTTAATGGCATAAATGCTAAACTTAAATTGAGGAAAACACAGTAGAGATGAGTACAAAAATATTGATAGGTAGGAGAAACTCATGTTAAAATATCAGCTAGGTAAAATTGGAAAAGACATGTAATATTCATAGAAATATGTATTGCTAACTTAAAGCAGACTGAGAATCAACGAATCAATCTGTTTTACAATTTGAAATGATGGATTTACTTTAAAAAAAGTAAAATGTACAACTATCAATGAAAATATGTTTGGAATTATGTTGACTTGTTTAGTTATTCTGGAATCTAAAAATGGTACATTAATTTTCTCATCTTATTGTTAAATACATAATTTATAGCTTTTTTTTAACTTGCTGGATAACAACATGTAGATGAATAAAATCAACTTTTAAATTTTATTTGCTGATGCTGAAATGATTGAAATAACATGATTAATGTTTTCTTGTTCAGTTTGTTTTACAAGGTAATAGGCATTGATTGGGCATTGTGTATTCCACAATTTTACGAACATTTTTCACTTTCACATAACTGATTTTTTTATTTTGAGACAGAGTCAGGCTTTGTTACCTAGGCTGGATTGCAGTGATGTGATCTCAGTTTGCTGCAACCTCTGCCTCCTGGGTTCAAACTATTCTCCTTCCTCAGACTCCCAAGTAACTGGGATTACAGGCACATGCCACCATACCTGGCTAATTTTTGTATTTTTAGTAGAGACAGGATTTCTCCATGTTGACCAGGCCAGTCATGAACTCCTGACCTCAAGTGATCCACTCACCTTGGCCTCCCAAAGTGCTTGGATCACAGGCATAAGCCACCACATCCAGCCACATAACTGAATTTTTGCTTATCAATGTTTTGCTATACTGCCTCCAGTATCAGAGTGATATTCTAGCTTAGACATAGGTATTTGCACACATTTCATGAAATACAAGTGAAGCCTTCATTTTTTCTATTTATTTGGACTGGTAATAGTACAAAAATATAATGGATAGTATTTTCATGCCACAGCTATTTCTCCACAAAATAGAAATTATTTTTTAAGTACAATAGAATGTTTTTCCAAATCTCCTAAGAAGGGCCCTTCCCTTGCAATTTTCAAGCTGGGTCTTATGAGAAAATGAATTCATCTGACGGAAAGAAATGAGGATCTTTTACAAAAAAATAAAAGAAAAGGTAAAAATGACTATTTTCTGGAACAAATGGGGACACACAGTATATACATTTTGGTGCTGTGGAATGTTTATACCTGCAAGAATTTTGAAGATTGTCATTATTTTTTCTCTGTAAGAAATTACAGATTAAAAACAAATGTTTTGCTATTATTGATGATGTGTTTTCTCATAAACATCAACTAGCAGCTGGACAATCTGCTAAAGATTTTTTTTCTGACTGAAGCTTTTGCTTATCTTAGTTATTCATATTTAACCTTGAAATATTTGGCAAAGTGAAGAAGTATTTTTAAATGACTAATTTTGTTTTTATACTAAGTGATTCTTATGTGAACAAAGTAAAGTATCATACAACTATACCTACTTGTAACAACATAATTTCAAGCACTTTTTGAAAAAGGCATATCTATGATGCTGGCTGTATAAAATCAAATAAATAGAAACAAGTTTGAAAATAAAAATAAGTATGTAGAACTTAAAATATAAAATTTATCCACCATGGGCATAAAAAAGTCATATTGAACTGGAAGTCTGCATGATTTCAAGTTGCTCATGCTATTAACCAAATGTAATAAAGGGAAAAATGTTACTGTGTTGGGTCCTGGGATGGCTAGTTTTATGCATCCACTTGACTAGGCTTAATACACACACTATCCCATCAAACACTGATGTACGTTTTCCAGTGAAGCTATTTTGTGTGTGTCATTAGCACCTACAATCAGCTGACATTAAGTCAAGCAAATTATCCTAGGTAATGTGAATGGGCCTTATCTAGTCAGTGAAAATAACTTAAAAGGCAACACTAATGTTTCCCTGAGAATGGAGAAAGAGAATGGAGAAATTATGGCTCAAGACCATAGTAGCAACTCCAGCCTAAGAGCTGCCAGCTTGCCCTGCATATATGAGACTTGCCAGCCACAGAAGTCATATCACATACTCCATGAAATTTTATAAGATATATAAATGACAAATAGATCAATGGATGGATGGATGGAGGGTTGGATGGATGGATGGATGGACGAATAGATGGGCACATACATATAATAGATAGATGTTAGATGACAGAGATAGATAGATAGATAGTGATACATGACAGATGACAGATGCTAGATAGGTAGACAGATAAGAGATACATAGATAAATGATAGGTAGATACATAGATACACAGATCAATGAATGGATAGCTGATGACATGGATAGATGATTGATACATACATACATATATACATATATACATGGATGGATAGATGATAAAGAGACAGAATGTTAGATACATACATACATGAATAGATAGATACATATATAGATGGATGACAGATAGAATGATAGATAGATAGATAAATAGATAGATAAAGATGAATTGGATGGATGGATGATAGATGATAGATACATAATAGATACTGGTGATTGACATAAAGATAGAACAGTAGTGAGATATATGGACAACTACATTTCAGGTAAACACATGATAGATAAAAAGAAATAACTAATACATTAGATAGGTACATAGATGAAATATGTAGATGTAGGTAGATTGATAGATTTGTAATCATTTATAGGTAGAGCTAGATAAATTGACAATGATAGATACAAAGATACATAGAAAAATAGAAAAACAGGTAGATAAATAGATTATAGCTAAACAGGTATAGATAGACTGATAGTAAATGATGATGACAGGTACAAAGTTAGGTAAAGAGACACATGGATAAATATACTAGAGCAGGCTAGATGAGAGATAGATGATAGATATGGAGAGATATGGATAGATCTAGATAGATAGATAGATATGGAGAGATAGATACAGATAGATGACATATCCATAGATATATCCTACTGGTTGTGCTTCTCTCGAGAATCCTGTCTTTTTCAGTGATACAGAACAATCTCCACCACTTATTCCAAATGAAGCACAGCTGCTACTATAGAAACTTCTGATTGTGCCACATCTAGTGAAAAACAAATGAAAACTTATGACAACCCAATGCAAGCAGATCCTCCAGGGCTTTTAATTGCTCAGTTATTCCACCTCAGGTCAGCCCACCAGTGGAAGACCCTGAGGGCAAGTATCCATGACAGCAGTAGTGTCACAGTGTAGGGAAGCTACTGCAAATGTTAGTCCTAGAGGTATTGTGCATGTGTTCTTTCTTGTTTGGTGTTTTATCTGTATGCCTGTGTGTGTGCCTTGCCTTATGTATTTTACAGATAGCATGTTGTACTCAATTCTCAACTTACTACTTGAGTTACAACCCATCATAATGGGGTTCAGAAGACAGAAGGAAGATTCAACCTGTGATGGGTGCAAAGCATTGTTGATGATGGCTCCACAAACCTTTTGTGTTCCTCTTACAGTTCACAGGCTGGTCACTCTTCTTTCCACTTGGGCTTTTCTGTATTGCAGAGGCTGGAAAGCTAGTCATTACATCCACCTGCATGCATCCTTTCCAGATAGGGTGCTGGGTGAAATATGGATCTTTTTTTCACTCCTGTTGAGACCAGCTTGGTCAGGGAGACCCTAACCCAGTGGCACTAGAGTAATTAAAGACACACACATATAAATCTATGGTGTGGAGGCTGGGTGCAGAGGCTCACGCCTATAATCCCAGCACTTTGGGAGGTGAGGCAGGCAGATCACAAGGTCAGATCAAGACCATCTTGCTAACACAGTGAAACCCTGTCTCTACTAAAAATATAAAAAATTATCCAAGCCTGCGCAGATGCCTATAGTCCCAGATACTTGGGGGGCTGAGGCAGGAGAATGGCATGAACTGGGGAGGTGAAGCATGCAGTGAACCAAGATTCTGCCACTGCATTTCAAGAGAGCAAGACTCCATCTCAAAGAAATAAAAAAGAAAGAAATTCAGGGTGTGGAGTGGGAAATCGGGGGTCTCACAGCCTTCAGAGCTGACAGCCCTGAACAGAGATGTACCCACATATTTATTCACAGCAAGCCAAATACTAAGATCAGAAAGCGTGTGTAACTCTGTCATGGAGTGATTACAACCAGGCATTATTGCAGCCAAGATTGATAAATATGCCCAATAAGTACAATTGTTCTCATGTCAGCCCTTGTTGAAGGAATACTCACAGCAATGGTGATCACCGCTATCAAAACTATCACTAAATTACTCATTGTGACTGGTTGTCCTGGTTTCCTCAGGTTTTCTTCTGCCATCTGTGACAGTTTCTTTATCTGTCCCCTGGTGGGTGGCTGTGTTCAACGGGTGTTGCTCATGACAGTCGGGGTCCTCTTCAGCATCAGTCTCAACATGGCTGCAACCAGGGGGTCCTCAGGTTCCTCCTGGAATCTCTTCCTCGGCATCTATCTCATGATAAAGTTTCAGGTGTCTTCATGGTATCAAAATTGGCTGTTGATTCGATCCTGGAGAAACAAGCATAACCTCTACCCCAAGTTATTATTTTACCTATTTCTCAACTTTTTCTTATCAGATCTCTCCATCATACCAGTTGTTCTGCTTCTGTCTTTGCAGCTGGTTTCTGTAGATGCTGTTCAGCTGCTAATATTACCTAGCTTTTAGGCAGGCTCAAAAAATTTAAAGTTAATAATGCTAGATTCATCTGTATGGGCTGTCCCATAATCTGTTTCCCTCTTTCTGTTTTTGCAACTGCTGTTGCCATTTGCAACTGCTGTTTCAGGGAGAGATTCATTCTTTACAGTATGTCTTGTCCTTAAGAATTACATGGGATACCAGTAATGTGTTTAATATTCCACACAAAGAAAAATGTAGCCAGAGCTTGGCTAGTATAACCTGGGGCATTGTCTGTTTTAACAGAAGCTGGAATGCCTATCACTGCAAAACACTGAAAACAGTGCTGTTTAACACAGGCGGAAGACTTTCCTGATTAGCATGTAGCACAGACAAAATGAGAAAAAGTTTCCAGACATACATGTACATAAGCTAGTCTCCCAAACAAGGGAACATGTGTGACATACATTTGCCAAAGAGAATTTGGTTCCAATCCTCAAGGATTAACTCCTCCTGTAAAAGATGAGGAATGTACCATTTGGCAAGTTGGGCATTTCTGAATAATAGCTTTAGCTTCTTTCCAGGTAATGCTGTATCTTTGTTTGAGACCAGAGGCATTAACATGGGTTAAATTGTGAAAGTGTCTAGCATTAGATATTGCAGTAGTGACTAGGCAATCAGCCATTTGATTCCCTGCAGTCAAAGGTCCTGGAAAAGGTGTATGAGCCCTAATGTGAGTGATGAGAAAAGTGTGCATTCTACTCCTAACTGCTGTTTGCAACTGGGTAAATAAATACATCAGTTGTTCAGCTGTATGAAATTGTAACTGAGAATTTTCAATTAATTGTGTGGAATGAACCACATATAAAGAATTGGAAATCACATTAATAGGCATATCAAAAGTACTCAATACCTCAATTACAGCTACAAGCTCCACCTTTTGAGCTGAAGTATAGGGTGTCTGGAAAACTTTACTTTTGATCCAGAATAAGAAGCTTTACCATTACTAGATCCATTTGTAAAAAGACTCTCGGCACCTTCAATTGGTTTAAATTTAGTTATTGTAGGGAGAATCAAATTAGTTAATTTCAAAAATTAAAACAGTTTCAATTTAGGAAAATGATTATTGAGAATTGTTCAGTAACCAAGTCCTCTAAAGCCTCCAGTTTCTCTTTACTTAGAGGCCATTGTTCTATCCAAAGTGGTTACTTGTTAACCACTTTGTATAGTTTCTGGAGTCTTAACAATAGCTGCCTTCAAAAATGATATCCTAAACCTTGATGGGAAATTTGTCTTTCCACTTGAAGTGGTTCCCTCAAAACTCAAAATTTTTTTCCTAGTCCCATACCAGAGACATACCCCATTTCATGCAGCATATGTTGACTTTTTGGTCTGTATAATTGCTCTGGAATTAGAACGTGTGCTCCCCATTGTTATAATAAATCTCTTCCCCATAAATTAATATGTACAGAAGTTATAATTGATTGAATAGTCCCAGGTTGTCCATCAGGCCCTTCAAAATGCAAAATATAACTACTTCAATATACTTCAGGGGTTTTACCAACCCCAGCTACATTAAATTGAGCAGATTGAATTGGCCATGTGGACAGCCAGTGCTGTAGAGAAATGATTAAAATGTTCACTCCTGTATCAACCAAACCTTTAAATTTTTTTCCCTGAATAGTTACTTTACTGGTAGAACATTTATCAGTAATTTGATTCACCCAGTAAGCCGCTTTGTCTTGTTTATTTTTGCTTTCAAATCCTCCTGTTCATTTATTTTCACTTTTCTCCATTTCCCTATACGGCACAATCAGGAGCTGTGCTATATGCTCTCCTGGCTCTCCTTTCCAGGCAACAGAAGTAGATATAACAATCTGAATTTCCCCATTGTAATCTGAATCAATGACTCCTGTTTGTACTTGTACCCCTTTTAAATTTAAACTATACCTTCCTAGAAGTAATCCTGTTGTTCCTGCTGGCAAGAGTCCACAGGGTCCTGTTGGAATTTTTTGTGGGGGATCCCAAGGCAGAAGGCTTACAGCTTTTGGGCAGCATAAATCTACTGCAGCCCAAAATGTACTGTGGCATTGTACAGGAGTGAGGGAATGGCCTGATCCAGAAAAGCCCCAGTTATGAATGGGGCCCAGGGCGGGCCCCTCATGGCATTACCCAAAATCAGGTTCCCATCTTTATCAAACTTAGAGGGACGCTGATTAGCCCATTGTTTTCCTTTTTTGCATTTTGGACATAATTCAGGCTCAACAGTTTTCTTTTTTCCCCCATCTGGCAGCCTGATTCACTGATTTTTTCTACATTCTTTTTTAGTATGACCATGCTTACCACAGTTAAAACAAACTCCAGGAAATGGAGTATTTCCTTTAACCACTCTCAGTTCTGCCATTGCCTGGGCTAGCAAAGTAGCCTTATGCAGATTATCTCCAATACTGTCACAGACCTTGATATAATCAACTAAATGTGCTTTCCCTCAAATAGGTGACAGAGCAGTCTGGCAATCAGGATTAGCATTGTTGAAAGCTAGTAACTGCAATGCTATATTCTGAGAAGCCGAATCTGCAATCACATTTTTAAGAGACTCCTGTAACCAAGCTATAAAATCTGCATATGATTCTTTTGGTCTGTGTTTTACAGCACTAAAGTAAGGGTATTGTTCTCCACCTGAAGTGATTTTTTTTCCCAAGTTCTAATGTGCAATCCTTTAAGATATTCTATATAATCATCCTTCATGACCACTTGTGCATCTAAACCGGCCCAGCCGCCCACCCCCAAAAGTTGGTCTGCAGTTATATTAATTTGAGGTTGGGCCTGGGCATTGTGAGCAGTCTGAATGAAAGTTTAATCTGCCCACTGAGGTTTAAATTGTAAGAATTAAGCAACAGTTACACAAGCTTGAGTAAGAGCATCCCAGTCAGTAGGAATCAGCCAACTGGAGACAGCAACATTCCACAACAGTCCCATTACAAAAAGAGAACCTGGTCCATATTGACTAATACCTTGTTTAAAATCTTTGAGTACCTGGTCCATATTGACTAATAGCTTGTTTAAAATCTTTGAGTAATTCAAAAGGGAAAGGCTCAAATGTAGCTATACTATGTTCCTGTTGATCTAGGGGGTGTATTCTAACAGGGAACTGCCAAGCCTCTAAATCCTCTAAATCACCCTCTCAGCTAGCTTGCTGAATTTCTGCCTGAATAGAACTGAGAGTGGTCACTCAAGGCACTGCTCAAACAGCAATTGAGCAACTACATTTCACCCAGTGTCCTCCAGAAAAGGAAGATCTGGAGGGTCAGGCCACTCTTTTTCTTCAAAATAATGAGGAGGTGCAGAAGGGTAGGGATGAACCTCTTCCTCCTTTGCTACTTTAGCTTCAGCTGGCAAACAAAACTGCTCTGTTGCTTCTGTTACTTCATTATACTCTCCTTCCTCCTCATCATTAGTGTGAAAAGGTTTCAAGGTGGAATGAACCAGAGCCCACCCTTGTCCCATTGTTACCCTTGTGTTTCTGAGCTCCCCTTCTTACTCACTACAGGGATTGCTTTAAGAATACTTGGGTGTCCTCCAGCTTAGTACCACATTCTCCTACCGTTACTCTGGTGACCCTTCAACCTGGGTTCAAGTCCCATGTTGGGTGCCTCTTACTGAGACCAGCTCAGTTGTGCAGACCTTAACTCAGTGGCACTAGAGGAATTAAAGAAACACACACAGTAATATAGGGTGTGGAATGGGAAATCAGAGGTCTCACAGCCTTCAGATCTGAGAGCCCTGAACAGAGATTTACCCACATATTTATTGACAGCAAGTCACTCATAGATTTACTAAAAGTATTCCTTATGGGAAATAAAGGGATGGGCCAAAATAAAGGGATGAGCTCTGGCTACTTATCTGCAGCATGAACATGTCCTTAAGGCACAGATCGCTCATGCTATCGTTAGTAGCTTAGGAATGCCTTTAAGCAATTTTCCACCCTGGGTGGGCCATGTGTTCCTTGTTCTCACCCCAGTAAACCCACAACCTTCAGTGTGGGTGTCATGGCCACCATGAACATGTCACAGTGCTGCAGAGATTTTGCTTATGGCCAGTTTTGGGGCCAGTTTATGGCCAGATTTGGGGGCCTGTTCCCAACACACTCCTTCAGGACTTGGAGTATGAAATATGAGTGACACCCTCTCCAAGCATTTTCTGTGGCTTTTGGCCCTTATACAACTTCCAAGCAGTTGGGTCTGCCATACTAAAGTGTGAGACTCCAGTCCCCACCTCAATGGCTGAGAGTTGGCAGCTAAGAAAAGACAGCCACATTGGCTGATCACCTATCCCCAAATCAAAATTTCAGAGGTTTTAGTCATGACTTCTTGACACCTACTTCCTCTAGTCTCTCTGGTTAAGAACTAAACTTCTTGCATTAAATTTTGTGCTGCTAGCCAGATGCAGTGGCTCATGCCTGTAATCCCAGCACTTTGGAAGGCTGAGGCGGGCAGGTCACTTGAGGTCAGAAGTTGAACACCTTCCTGGCCAACATGGTGAAACGTCATCTCTACTAAAAATAATAAAAAAAAAATTATCCTTGCGTGGTGACACACACCTGTAATCCCAGCTACCAGGAAGTCTGAGGCAGGAGAATCACTTGAACTGGGAGGCAGGAGGTACCAGTGAGCTGAGATTGCACCACTCCACTCCAGCCTGGGTGACAAAAGTGAAACTCAGTCATAAATAAGTAGATAAGGGAGGCGGTTCCAAGATGGCCGAATACGAACAGCTCCAGTCTACAGCTCCCAGCATAAGTGATGCATCAGATGGGTGATTTCTGCATTTCCAGCTGCGGTACCAGGTTCATCTCACTGGGGCTTGTTGGACAAGTGGGTGCAGGACAGTGGGTGCAGTGCACTGAGAGTGAGCCAAAGCAGGGCAAGGCATCGCCTCACCTGGGAAGCAAAACAGGTCAGGGAATTCCCTTCCCTAGCCAAGCAAAGCTGTGACAGATGACACCTGGAAAATCAGATCATTCCCACCCTAATACTGCAAGTTTCCAATGGTCTTAGCAAATGGCACACCAGGAGATTATATCCCTTGCCTGGCTCAGAGGGTCCCAAGCTCCCAGAGCCTTGCTCATTGCTAGGACAGCAGTCTGAGATCGAACGGCAAGGTGGCAGTAAGGCTGAGGGAGGGGTGTCCACCTTTGCTGAGGCTTGAGTAAGTAAACAAAGCAGCCAGGAAGCTCAAACTGGGTGGAGCCCACCCCAGCTCAAGGAGGCCTGCCTGCCTCTGTAGACTCCACCTGTGGGAGCAGGGCATAGCCAAACAATAGGCAGCAGAAACCTCTGTAGACTTAAATGTCCCTGTCTGACAGCTTTGAAGAAAGTGGTGGTTCTCCCAGCATGGAGTTTGAGATCTGAGAATGGACAGACTGCCTCCTCAAGTGGTTCCCTGACCCCCCAAGTAGCCTAACTGGGAGGCACCTCCCAGTAGGGGCAGACTGACACCTCACACGGCTGGGTACACTTCTGAAAGGAAACTTCCAGAGAAACAATCAGACAACAACATTTGCTGTTCAGCAATATTCGCTGATCTGCAGCCTCTGCTGCTGATACCCAGGTAAACAGAGTCTGGAGTGGACCTCCAGCAAACTCCAACAGACCTGCAGCTGAGGATCCTGAGTGTTAGAAGGAAAACTAACAAACAGAAAGGACATCCACACCAAAACCCCATCCATACGTAACCATCATCAAAGACCAAAGATAGATAAAAACACAAAGATGGGGAAAAAACAGAACAGAATAATGAAAATTCTAAAAATCAGAGCACCTCTCCTCCTCCAAAGGAATGCAGCTCCTCACCAGCAATGGAACAAAGCTAGACAGAGAATGACTTTGATGAGTTGAGAGAAGAAGGCTTCAGACGATCAAATTTCTCTGAGCTAAAGGAGGCAGTTTGAACCCATTGCAAACAAGTTAAAAATCTTGGAAAAAGATTAGACGAATGGCTTAACTATAATAACCAATGCAGAGAATTCCTTAAAGGACATGATGGAGTGAAAACCATGGCACGAGAACTACGTGATGAATGCACAAGCTTCAGTAGCTGATTCGATCAACTGGAAGAAAGGTATTAGTGATTGAAGATCAAATGAATGAAATGAAGTGAGAAGAGAAGTTTAGAGAAAAAAAAGAATAAAATGAAATGAACAAAGCCTCCAAGAAATATGGGACTATGTGAAAAGACCAAATCTACATCTCACTGGAGCACCTGAAAGTGATGGGGAGAATGAAACCAGTTGGAAAACACTCTGCAGGATATTATCCAGAACTTCCCCAACTTAGCAAGGCAGGCCAACATTCAAATTCAGGAAATACAGAGAACACCACAAAGATACTCCTCGAGAAGAGCAACTCCAAGACACATACTTGTCAGATTCACCAAAGTTGAAATGAAGGAAAAAGTGTTAAGGGCAGCCAGAGGGAAAGGTCGGGTTACCCACAAAGGGAAGCCCAACAGACTAACAGCTGATCTCTCAGCAGAAACTCTACAAGCCAGAAGAGAGTAGGGGCCAATATTCAATGTTATTAAAGAAAAGAATTTTCAACCCAGATTTTCATATCCAGCAAAACTAGGCTTCATAAGTGAAGGAGAAACAAAATACTTTACAGTTTTTGTTGAGAGATTTTTGTCACCATCAGGCCTGCACTACAAGAGCTCCTGAAGGAAGCACTAAACATGGAAAGGAACAACTGGTACCAGCCACTGAAAAAACATGGCAAAATATAAAGACCATCGATGCTAGGAAAAAACTGCATCAACTAACAAGCAAAATAACCAGCTAACAACATAATGACAGGACAAAATTTACACATAACAATCTTAATCTTAAATATAAATGGGCTAAGTGCTCCAATTAAAAGACACAGACTGGCAAATTGGATAAAGAGTCGAGACCCATCAGTGTGCTGTATTCAGGAAACCCACGTCAAGTGCAGAGACACATATAGGCTCAAAATAAAGGGATGGAAGAAGATCTATCAAGCAAATGGAAAACAAAAAAAAAAGGCAGGGGTTGCAATCCTAGTCTCTGATGAAACAGACTTTAAACTAGCAAAGATCAAAAGAGACAAAGAAGGCCATTATATAATAAAGGGATCAATTCAACAAGAAGAGCTAACTATCCTAAATATATATGCACCCAATACAGGATCAACCAGATTCATAAAACATGCCCTTAGAGACCTAGAAAGACTTAGACTCCCACACAATAATTATGGGAGACTTTAACACCCCATTGTCAACATTAGATGGATCAACGAGACAGAAAGTTAACAAGGATATCCAGGAATTGAATTCAGCTCTGCACCAAGCAGACCTAATAGACATCTACAGAACTCTCCACCACAAATCAACAGAATATAAATTCTTCTCAGCACCACATTGCACCTATTGCAAAATTGACCACATAGTTGGAAGTAAAGCACTCCTCAGCAAATGCAAAAGAACAGAAATTATAACAAACTGTCTCTCAGACCACAGTGCAATCAAGCTAGAACTCAGGATTAAGAAACTCACTCAAAACCACTCAACTACATGGAAACTGAACAATCTGCTCCTGAATGTCTACTCAGTACACAACAAAATGAAGACAGGAATAAAGATGTTCTTTGAAACCAATGTGAACAAAGACGTAACATACCAGAATCTCTGGGACACATTTAAAGCAGTGTGTGGAGGGAAATTTATAGCACTAAATGCCCACAAGACAAAGCAGGAAAGATCCAAAATTGACACCCTAATGTCACAATTTAAAGAACTAGAGAAGCAAGGGCAAACACATTCAAAAGCTAGAAGAAGGCAAGAAATAACTAAGATCAGAGCAGAGCTGAAGGAGATAGAAACACATAAAGCCCTTCAAAAAATCAATGAATCCAGGAGCTGGTTTTTGGAAAAGATCAGCAAAATTGATAAGCTGCTAGCAAGATTAATAAAGAAGAAAAGAGAGAAGAATCAAATAGAAGCAATAAAAAATCTTAAAGGGGATATCACCACCGGTCCCACAGAAATACAAACTACCATCAGAGAATACTATAAACACCTCTATGCAAATAAACTACAAAATCTAGAAGAAATGGAAAAATTCCTTGACACATACACCCTGTGAAGACTAAACCAAGAAGAAGATGAATCTCTGAATAGACCAATAACAGGCTCTGAAATTGAGGCAATAATTAACAGCTTACCAAACAAAAAAAGTCCAGGACCAGATGGATTCACAGCCCAATTCTACCAGAAGTACAAGGAGGAGCTGGTACCATTCCTTCTGAAACTATTCCAATCAATAGAAAAAGAGGGAATCCTCCCTAACTCATTTTATGAGGCCAGCATCATCCTGATACCAAAGCCTGGCAGAGACACAACCAAAAAAGAGAATTTTAGACCAATATCCTTGATGAACATTGATGTAAAAATCCTCAATAAAATACTGGCAAACTGAATCTAGCAGCACATCAAAAAGCTTATCCAGCATAATCAAGTGGGCTTCATCCATGGGATGCAAGGCTGGTTCAACATACACAAATCAATAAACATAATCCACCATATAAACAGAACCAAAGACAAAAACCACATGATTATCTCAACAGAGGCAGAAAAGGCCTTCAACAAAATTCAGCATCCCTTCGTGCTAAAAACTCTCAATAAATTAGGTATTGATGGGGCGTATCTCAAAATAAGAGCTATTTATGACAAACCCACAGCCAATATCATACTGAATGGGCAAGAACTGGAAGCATTCCCTTTGAAAACTGGCACAAGACAGGGATGCCCTCTCTCACCACTCCTATTCAACATAGTGTTGGAGGTTCTGGCCAGGGCAATCAGGCAGGAGAAAGAAATAAAGGGTATTCAATTAGGAAAAGAGGAAGTCAAATTGTCCCTGTTTGCAGATGACATGATTGTATACCTAGAAAACCCCATCGTCTCAGTCCAAAATCCCCTTAAGATGATAAGCAACTTCAGCAAAGTCTCAGGATACAAAATCAACGTGCAAAAATCACAAACATTCTTATACACCAATAACAGACAAACAAACAGCTAAATCATGAGTGAACTCTCATTCACGATTGCTTCAAAGAGAATAAAATACCTAGGAATCCAACTTACAAGGGATGTGAAGGACACTTCAAGGAGAACTACAAGGTTTGTAGTTCTCCTTTTAGCAATATTTCTTTATTGCTCAAATAAATAAAGGGGATACAAACAAATGGAAGAACACTCCATGCTCATGGATAGGAAGAATCAATATCGTGAAAATAGCTATAATGCCCAAGGTAATTTATAGATTCAATGCCATCCCCATCAAGCTACCACAGACTTTCTTCACAGAATTGGAAAAATCTACTTTAAAGTTCATATGGAACCAAAAAAGAGCCCACATTGCCAAGTCAATTCTAAGGCAAAAGAGTAAAGCTAGAGGCATCATACTACCTGACTTCAAACTATACTACAAGGCTACAGTAACCAAAACATCATGGTACTGGCACCAAAACAGAGACATAGACCAATGGAGCAGAACACAGCCCTTGGAAATAATACCACACATCTAGAACTACCTGATCTTTGACAAACCCGACAAAAACAAGAAATAAGGAAAGGATTGCCTATGTAACAAATGGTGCTGGGAAAACTGGCTAGCCATATGTAGAAACCTGAAACTGGATCCTTTCCATACACCTTATACAAAAATTAATTCAAGATGGATTAGAGACTTAAATATTACACCTAAAACCATAAAAACCCCAGAAGAAAACCTAGGCAATACCATTCATGACATAGGCATGGGCAAGGACTTCATGTCTAAAACACCAAAAGCAATGGCAACAAAAGCCAAAATTGACAAATGGGATCTAATTAAACTAAAGAGCTTCTGCACAGCAAAATAAACACCATCAGAGTGAACAGGCAACCTAGAGAATGGGAGAAAATTTTTGCAGTCTACTCAACTGACAAAGGGCCAATATCTAGAATCTACAAAGAACTCCCACAAATTTATGACAAAAAAACAAACAACCCCATCAATAAAGTGGGCCAAGGATATGAACCGACACTTCTCAAAAGAAGATATTTATGCAGCCAACAGAAACATGAAAAATTGCTCATCATCACTGGCCATCAGAGAAATGCAAATCAAAACCACAATGAGATGACATCTCACACCATTTAGAATGGCGATCATTAAAAAGTCAGGAAACAACAGGTGCTGGAGAGGATGTGGAGAAATAAGAACACTTTTACACTGTTGGTGGGACTGTAAACTAGTACAACCATTGTGGAAGATAGTGTGGCGATTTCTCAGGGATCTAGAACTAGAAATACCGTTTGACCCAGCAATCCCATTACTGGGTATATACCGAAAGTAATATAAATCATGCTGCTGTAAAGACACATGCACACCTATGTTATTGCAGCACTATTCACAATAGCAAAGACTTGGAACCAACCCAAATGTCCAACAATGATAGATTGGATTAAGAAAATGTGGCACATATACACCATGGAATACTATGCAGCCATAAAAAATGATGAGTTCATGTCCTTTGTAGGGACACGGATGAAGCTGGAAACCATCATTCTCAGCAAACTATCTCAAGGACTAAAAACCAAACACCACATGCTCTCACTCATAGGTGGGAAATGAACAATGAGAACACTTGGACACAGGAAGGGGAACATCACACACCAGGGTCATTGTAGGGTGAGGGGAAGGGGGTGGGATACCATTAGGAGATATAGATAATGTAAATGATGAGTTACATTTGCATTTACATTAGTTATGAGCACACCAACTTGGCACACGTATACATATGTAACAAACCTGCACGTTGTGCACATTTACCCTAGAACTTGAAAGTATAGTAAAAAAGTATATATATATATATATAAAATAAATAAATAAAATAAATAAGTAGATAAATTAATAAATAAGTAAATCAATCAATCAATCAATAATTGGTGATACTTAAAACATCTAAAAGTGGTTTCTATTTCCTCCACTAAATTTTAGATAATGCATCTTGTGTTTTACTTGGCAATATTTCATCTCTAGTGTTTTCTTTAAACATATCTATTCAACAACATTTAATTTAAATTGTAAAACTCTTATGACTTACATCTTATTTGTTATTGGCTACACAGTGCAGATTCAGGGACAATGGAGGAATGTTTGGCCTTTGCAAAATTATTTTGACAGAGTCCTACTGCAAGAGTGAGCCCTGTATTCTCAAGTAGAAACGAACCATGTTTCAGGACTCTGATAAAACAATATCTGCCTCCCTTAGGAAACTGATGTTCTAATATTAAGAGTATATTTTATGGTATTAATCTGTTTTTTGAAACTATTTTTTGACACTGGGTCCAGTGGCTCATGCCTGTAATCTCAGCACTTTGGGAGGCTGAGGCAGAAGGATCACTTGAGATCAGGAGTTCGAGACCAGCCTGGCAAACACGGTGAAACACTGTCTCTATTAAAAACACAAAAATTAGCTAAGCATGGTGGTGCATGCATGTGACAGCTACTTGGGAGGGTGAGGAAGGAGAATCTCTTGAACATGGGAGGCAGAGGTCACAGTGAGCCAAGACTGTGCCAGTGCACTCCAGCCTGAGTGACAGAGCGAGTGAGACTCTTGTCTCAAAAAAAAAAAAAAAACTTTTTGAGAAAAAAAAGTTTTTAACCTCAATCCTTTTAGCCTCACTCCTTGTGTGTCCACAGGATGATTGATTTCCTTGGCATGAGGCAACAAACCTCAGGTTTTATGCCCAGACAAACGACGATGCTTCAAAGTGATCCTCCCACCCCAGCCTTCTGAGTATCTGTTACTACAAGAGTGTATGCACCACCATGACCAGCTAATTTTTGTTTAAATTTTTGGTAGAAATGAGGTCTTACTCTGTTGCCCAGGCTGTTCTCAAACTCCTGGCCACAAACAAACCTCCCACCTTGGCCTTTCAAAGTGCTGGGTTTACAGGCATAAGCTGCCACACCCAGCTCCCTAAAAATATTCATGTTTACCCTGAACCTCAAATTGTGACCTTAGTTAGAATAGAGTCTGCAGATACAATCAACTCATTAATGTGAAATTGTACTGGCTTGAGATGTACCCTAACCCAATGAGTAGCATTCTCGTCAGAAGAGAGAAATTTGGACATAGAAACAGGCACAGAGGGAAAATAAGCTGAGATGCAGAGAAAAAGTCCATGTGAAAATGGGGCAGAGACAGGAGTGATGCAGCCACAAGCCAAGAGATGCCTGGAGCCACCAGGAGCTGAAAGAGGTTGGAAGGATCCTCCCCTATAGCCTCCTAGTCTCCTTATTGTTATTACGTGGAGTCAGTAGCTGATCTTCCTTTTATAAAGTTATACTATCTCTTATTTGCCATAAATTACAGTTACAGTATAGGTGATCCCAATTAGTTTGTTTTTAAGGAGCTGGTCAACAGAATAAAATATAATACAGCTCACTTCTTTGATATATTCCTTCCTCCAAAAAAGGAGACACTTTTAATTAATTCCTTTTTGTCAGCATTTTTAAGTGGGTTTATAATTTTCATTATAAAAAGTCTTGTAGTTAACATACAACATAATGCTAAGATACTTCTCAGGAATTTGAACATATTTGTCTTTCAAGATTCAAAGTATTGAGTAACAGAAAGTTATCTTAAAGAAAACTGAAGTCTCAGGTACCCAAGATGTGAATGCACTAAACAATATTACATTTCACTAAGTTTTTTTTGGTTTTTTTTTGGTTTGAAGGAGAGTGCTCCAAAAATGAATGCATGGAAAAAATGTAGTCGTAGAGACAAATATTGACAGTTGTCTCCCAGGACAAAGAGATGGTTGAGACCAGCTACCAAGGACATCTTGTCAGGCTATGGGCACACATTCGTAAATGCATACACTATAAGATTAAAATCATCGCACATTTATATCCAATTCTTAAATGCAACTCTCTGTTCTGATTCTAGTATGCCGTTTCACTGATTTTATTTCAAAGAAGTTCAGGAACATGTTTTTATAAACCTAGTATGCATAGCCATCACTTGACAATTAAATGTTTCATTCTAGATTAATAAGTGGGACATTCTATCTTCAAGGCTTTCAGTACTTAACAATTATCATCACTTGGAGACAGTGTAACTGTGAACCATCAACTCTGAGGCTCTATAGAGATCAAATTTCTGGACTTGAAAATTCAAAGTCTGATCTGAGCCCCTGGTTAATTCTCCATGACCAATTCTAAATTTTAATTTTAAGACATTATTCACACTTAACGGCAATGTCTTCCTAATTATCTGTATGAATTTGACTACTCTAAGTATGTCATATAAGTGCAATAAAACAGCATTCATTCTTTTGTGATTGAATTATTTCATTTAGCACAATATCTCCAGGCTTCATCCATGTTGCAGCAGGTGTCAGAATATCTTTTTTTCTTAAGGCTAAATAATATTACATTGTATGAATGTGTCACATTTTCTTTATCCACTTATCTGTAAATGGATATTTACATAGTTTCCATACCGTAGTCATTGTGACTTGGACCCATACCTTACACCACATATAAAAAGTAACTAAAAATAGCCTAAAGTATTAAATATTAAGACCTGAAATTATAAAACTCCTACAAGAAGAACATAGGGCAAAAAGCCCCTTGGTCTTAGCAATGATATCTTGGATATGACACCAAAAGCACAGGCAATGAAAGCAAAAATAGACAAGTGGGGTTTCATGATACATACATTTTTTGGACGAGTCAGGATGTTTCAAAACAAAAAGATAAGTACAATTAATATATGTATCATTTTTCTAATCAAATCCCTCTTTCCTAATCAGTGATTTATGCTGATATTGACCAAAGCAAATCCTGAAATATGAAATCTATTTGGGTTCATTCACTCTTTGTTTCAGGGACCTAGGGAAGGAGATGTGGAAAAGGGTTTATTTAGGGCCATAATGGTGTTAGCTGGGAGAGTGAATGTTTACATGCCTGAGTTTCCTATGCTGGCAGCTGAATCCTCCATAACAGAGGGTCCCAGTTGTGGCATTATTGAGAGAGAGAAAGAGAGACAGAGGAGAGAGAAAGAGAGAGAGAGAGAGAGAGAGAGAGAGAGAGAGAGAGAGAGAGAGAGAGAGCCATCTTATCTGGGACTTTCTCACATCTTATGTGGGACTTTCTGAAACCAAAGAGCTTTCTTGGTTGCCTTTGGGGAAAAGCTGCTCTGTTTTTAACTGATTATCAGGGTTATTTCTTCAAGAGAGAACAGAGCCCCATGTAAGGACTGCAACATAGAACAGGCATCTGTACATCCTAACACTGTTAATGCCATGTAATGTTGAACACACCGAGGGAGACAGCTCCATGCAATAGTTCACCCACATTTCACCTATGCAAGGAGAAAAGTCAGTGTATACACCTCACTGTCATAGACATCTGCTTGAACATGAGGAAGATAAAACAGCCCTGTTCCTGCATTTAGTTCATATGAATAGATCCTCATCTGTTGATAATTCAGCAATCTTGTTCTTTTTATTAGGTTTAAAAATTATATATATATACACACACACACACACACACACACAGACATACATGCACATACACACACATATTTTAATTTTGAAACAGTCTGTCTGTGTTGCCCAGGCTGGAGGGCAGTGGCACAATCTTGGCTCATTGAAACATCCATCTCCCGGGTTGAAGTGATTCTAATTCCTCAGCCTTCTGAGTAGCTGGGATTACAGGTGTGTGCCATCATATCCAGCTAATTTTTTTATTTTTAGTAGAGAAGGAGTTTCACCATGTTGGCCAGGTTGGTCACAAACTCCTGGCCTCTAGTGATCCACCAATCTTGGCACCCCCAAAGGGCTGGAATTACAGGTAAAGGAACTATGTGCCTGGCATAAAAATTATTTCTTATGTATTTTCTCCTTATTCCACATGTTATTTGACCTGTAGGGTGAAAGAGAAAACACTTCCTCTGTGTCCTCCAAAGGTTTCCCGAAAATGAACTGAGAATAGGCAGATTCATAGGAGAAAGGACATACTATGTTTATATAAAATGCAGAAACAGAGAGGAATCCCAGGAGAATGATTACTCAATAAACCAATGAGGCCCATGTGCTTATACACCCTATTACATATGGGAAGGGAGAGATGGGATCTGTGAAAGTAAACGATTTTCAGGGAAAAAGGATAAGCCCAAAGATCAATGGTCTGGAAGGAATTTCCTTTGACCTCTGGTTAGAGGAGCGAAGGTGAGGGGCAGAACTTCACTGTGAACAAAAGTTGTCTTATTATGCAGACAAAGTCTCCCAGGCAATATATTAGGGTTGCACTCAGAAGAATAGATGAAAAGCTTTCCTTTCTCCAGTGATTAAGTATTTCCTGGGTATTTGATAATATTCCTAGGGAAGAAAGTCGGAAACCATCATTCTCAGCAAACTATCACAAGGACAAAAAACCAAACACTGCATTTTTAAATAAAAGTTTTCTAGAGAGTTCCACCTGGAGCTTTGGGAAGAAGGAGAATCAGAGAGATGAGCGTAGCAGAAAGTTAGAGAAAGACTTTGGTCTGCAGGCTTGTTTCTGAAATTGTTCTAATTCCTTTAATCCACAGCACTCAGCATGCCAAAGTGACCTTTTCTCTTTCTTTCTTTTTTTTTTTTTTTTTTTGAGACAGGTTCTTGCTCTATCATCCAGGATAGAGTGCAGTGGCACAGTCTCAGCTCACTGCAACATATTCTTCTCACGCTCAAGTGATTCTCATGTCTCAGCCTCTGGAGCTGCTGCAATTACAGGCAAGGACCACCATGCCTGGCTAATTTTTTTGTAGTTTTTGTAGAGATGGGGATTCTCCATGTTGGCCATGCTGGTCTTGAACTGCTGACCTCAGTTGCTTTGTCCACCTTGGCATCCCAAAGTTCTGGGATTACAGGCATGAGCCACCATGGCTGGCCAAAAGTGCCATATTTGAGGGTATCACTTTTTTCACCACAACAGACCACTTTTAAAAATTGTAGAAATTCAGCTGGAGTTTATTCATTTATACTTCCATAACATAAATTCCACACCATATTTTAACACATGGAAGTGCTGACTCATAGAATCACATGGTGGTTAGCATTTTTACATTTTAGTATTTAGACATTTCTTAAGGTGTATGTAAGGTTCACTTAGCTTTATTTTAATTAATTAAGATTCAAATGAAAGATTGAGGCAGGGCTTTTGGGATATGAAGGCTGGAATCAACAAGCAGGGAGAGATAGCATATAACAAAAAAATAAGAGAAGATTCTGATGTGAGAAGAGTGAAAAATTTAGAGAAAACATGAACCTTTAATCTACAAGTAGTAATGATAGATAATGCAGGATTTTCAAAACTTACAAATGAGATTTTTTTCCGTAAGAATTCAAAGCATAAAACTCAAAGGATAACTATGTCAGTGAACTTTAATGTATTCTTACAGCCATGAGTATAAATTTTCCTTTTCATATTTTTCTTATTTATTTACTTAAATGAAAAGCATTCTTTATAGCTCTTAGTAGGGACTTTATAAATTAATTCCTATTTTAAAAATATTTAACTTATTTTTCCTGCAGGAAAATTAATTTCCTCTTTCTCCTCATGCATATAAAATCATCTGCTTTCCTTAAAAAACATCCATTAATAACTGATTTCATTTTGCGACATCCCAGTCTTTCCTTTATTCTACCTCTAAATAAACCTCCATTTTTCTTTCCTAATGAGAAACCTCCATTTCTTTTCTGTATCTATCAACTCTCTACACCCTATCATATAGCATCCTTTTCCTCTGTGGCCTAATATCAACATTTTTAACACATTTGGCACAAAACACATAACATCTTCTCATCTTTTCTTATATATTTGCCTTTTCATGCCATGAAAACATCACTCTTTATTAGTAAGATCTCACTGTAACATTTACATACTTTTGATGTGCAGACAGACACTTCATATTTTCTGCCACTAGGACAAATTTGAAGAAAATATTCTTCCCTTTTTGGGTGATGTTGCTAATAAAGATTAAGTATCAAAATAAATACACTTTAAACTCCATAAAAATGCATTCATCCACAAATATCGTTCTACTAAAAATTTATATGAAGGAAATGCATCTAGATACTGTTAGTATATGAACAATTAATATCTTTGTTGAAGTGCATACATTGATGGTTCTTTCCAAATGAACCAATGCAAAGTAATACCTCTACACCACATAATTAGCTGTTTCTAAGTAATTACATTATTCATTCATTGATATGGTTTGGCTCTGTGTCCCCACCCAAATCTCACCTCCAGTTGTAATCCCCACATGTAATGGGAGGGAGGCGATTACTTTGTTGCAGTCATTTCCCCCATGCTGTTGTGAGATACTGAGTGAATTTTAATGAGGTCTGATGATTTTATATGGCAATTTTCCCTTCTGTTGCTACTTTCTCCTCCTGCCATGTAAAATGTGCCTGCTTTCCCTTCCACAAGATTGTAAGTTTCTTGTGGCCTCCCCATCCATGTTGCAGAAATGTGATGCAATTAGACCTCTTTCCTTTAAAAATTACCTAGTCCCGGGAAGTATCTTTATAGCAATACAGTCATCAACTTAAACAAAAGATGGTGGTGTAAGTTAACATCTTAATGAGTCTGAAAATAACACAACAATAAAATATTAGAGAATATTAGGGAAATGGTATCCTGAGTTAAAAATTCAATAATAGACAT
The DNA here is from genome assembly GCF_000001405.40 of Homo sapiens. Taxonomy (NCBI): domain Eukaryota; kingdom Metazoa; phylum Chordata; class Mammalia; order Primates; family Hominidae; genus Homo; species Homo sapiens. The sequence continues at coordinate 16,696,248 of NC_000024.10, forward strand.
GCATTGCATGTCTGTATCAACATATCTCATGAAACATATAAATATATAAACCTATTATGTTCCCACAAAAAGAAAAAAATTAAGAAAAATTCAATTACCTATCTTTGTCCTTTCTAAACCTCAGCTAATACACCAGTACTAATGTCTGCAATGTGAAATAATACTTTGGGAAAAAGAATTCTGAATCAGGTGGGGTATTTCCTGAGCTCATTTGTACAAATGTGTCATTTCCCCAAATTTTATGTATTCTGGGCATGAAATGAACAGAGAAGCACTCTAGTTTATCCCCCAAATTTGCTTCAATGTATTGCTAATGAAGATCCATTATTCAGCTCTCAATTTAAATAATTATGCACACACACTTACTTTTCCTAGTTAAGAATAATTATTGCTGATTTATATGTAAGGGGGAAAGGATTGTTATCCTGGAATTGTCAGTACCTGAATTTTAACTCAAAAGAATAAAGAACAGGTTGTGAAGAACTGCCACCCCAAGGCCTTTGATGAACACTCTCCATTTCCTAGCTCTGATATCTTGGCCTCATGAATTTCACCATCATTAAATGTTTATTGACATATCTCCATAAGAGAATTTGCAGAGCTTCTAAGGTCTTTAATATTTACATTAATAATTCCAACTATTAATAATTTTCTTTTTCTCATTATTTGGATTACATAGTTAACACTTTTTAAACACTATTACTGGAAGCAAATGGACAAACAAGAAACATTGGATTATTATTTTGGTTTTCTCAAGCATAGCCCCAGGTCTTAGAATGGAGGGCAGAGTGTCTAATCTCTCAAGGATACTAACAGTGAACTAGTCAAGACTGTAAGCTCCAGGATCATTCACATGAAAATTTTCTATGTAACAAAGCCAAGGGGAGGACATGCTAACCAAGCATTGTGATGATTCCCTCTAGAGCTACTCCTCCAAATAGGGACTCTCTTTAGAGTTAGCACATTTGTAGGACAGACCCCTCTAACTTAATGGTAGTGAGAATAAGTCTCATTCAGAAACGTATGGGGCACACCCTGAGAAAGAAGGCTGAGGCAGTAAGAGGACACAGTAGGAAAGGGAGAACTATGGTAGTGTAGAAACCTTTCAACCAGAGAAACCATATGGCCAACAGAAAGCATATGACACTGGAATCCAGATGAAAATTTGAACCGTGGTTCCACCATTTAATGGCCCCATGAGCATGAGATAATTGCATCACCACTGAAAAATAATGAACATTTCTGACTTTATATGCCCCAGGCACTGCTTATTAATCCTTTGTAAAGAAAAAATAAAATTCTGAGCCCCTCCATCATCTGAACAGACCCCTCCTCTCAGCAAGGGCATTCCAAAGTTAGCCTGAAAAACTAGTTCAGATCATGATGGGAAGTAGGGCTCAGAAATGCCTCATTATATCCTCATTCTCTTTGGAATTCTGGAAAAGCTGACCAGCATTAACTTAAACACAGCCCTAAAGTCTGATAAGAAACATTTACAATATGTTCCCTCTGAAGCCTGCTACCTGGAGGCCTCCTCTGCATGGTAAAACCTTGCTCCACAACCCCTTATCATAACCCAGATCTCTGTTGATTCCAGGTCTTTAGATAATAACTGTTTCAACCAACTGCCAATCAGGAAATCTTTAAATCTACCTATGACCTGCTTTGAGACATCCTGACTTTCCAGGTTGAACCAACATACACCTTACATGTATTGATTTGTATATTATGTCACCCTAAAATATATAAAAGGAAGGTGTACTATGATCATCTGAAGCACCCAGCATCCAGACCTCCTGAAGCTATGTCACAGGCATGTGCCTAATATTGGGAAAAGTAAACTTTCTAAATTGATTGAGACCTGTTTCAGATACTTTTGGTTTCAGACCTTTAACTCTCAAGATAATCACCCATGAAATGTGCAGAAAGGAGCAGAGTAAATTCTTCATAAAAAGAAGTGTCTTTGATTTATTACAGGTATACCTTGAAAAATGTATCATGGGGAGAGGAAAAGATGTTCTTCCCCCAGTGGAGGGAAAGAAGTAGTTCAGTTACTGCCATGTAGATAAATATGTTTCCTGTTGCTGCAGTAACAAACAATCACAAATTTGGTAGTTCAAAACAACATTGCTTTATCTTACAGTTATTGAGGCTAGAAGTCTGAAGCCAGTCTTTTTGGGCTAAACTTAAAGATTTGGTAGGGCTTGTTCCTTCTTAGGGTTCCATGAAAGAATCTGTTTTCTTAACTTCTTCAAATTCTAGAGGCCACTGCATTTAAAGCTAGCAGCATAGCAAATTCAGATTTATCTCTGACTCTTCCAAGGGCTTTCATGATTACATAGAGTTTTTCTCAATAATTCAAGATAGTCTCTCCACCTCAACATCTTCAACTTAAACACATCTGCAAGGTACCTTTTACCATATATATATAAAGCATTCTGTTATAAAGATACATGCACATTTGTATTTATTGCACCACAGTTCACAATAGCAAAAGATAGAAGCAAGCTAAATGCCCATCAATTATAGACTAGGTAAAGAAAATGTGGTATATTTACACCATGGAATACTATGCAGCCATAAAAAAATAATGAGCACATGCCCTTTGCTGAAACTTGTTTGGAGTTGGAAACTGTTATCCTTAGCAAACTAAGGCAGAAACAGAAAACCAAATACCACATGTTCTCACTTGTAAGTGGAAACTGAATGATGAGAACACATAGACACATGGTGGGGAACAACACACACTGGGGCCTCTCACAAGGCAGCGGTGGGGAGGGAGAGCACTAGGAAAAATAGCTAATGCATGCTGGGCTTAGTGCCTAAGTGACAGGCTCATAGGTGCAGCAAACCAATGTGGCACACTTTTTTACCTGTATAGCAAACTGCAAATCCTGCACATGTACCCTTTAACTTAAAATAAAAGTAGAAGAAAAAATAAATAAAAATAAATAATAAAGTAATATTAACAGGCTCTGGGATTATGATCTGCTCACTCTCACACTCCATTATTTAGCCTACCAGAAGATTGCTATGAGAAATGTTACTGGGTGTACACATCAGTAAAATTTGTTGATAGAAGAGAATGTGTGAAAACAGTGGTCTTCTACAATAACACATATAATGATCAATTTTGGAGAGGACATCATTTCTCAATGCTCTTTGGCCAATCAATAGAAGTACTGAAATCTCAAGGGTGAGACTGTGCACAGTCAACGCCAGTAAATGCTTTGAGATTCAACCATAGAAGTTTGGATATAGTTTAAGGAACAGAATCTGGAGTTCCACAGTCCTAGGCCTAACCCCTTAATCAAGACTGTGGTACATGTTCATCTGTTGGAAAGGTTTTACAAAGAGAGTCCTTGTCAGAACCACGCTCCTGAATTCCTCAGAATATACAGTCAGGCAAAGATTTAAAGGGAGCCAGCATAGTCTGTTTGGGAACGTGCAGTATGTCTTTTACTTTGCTTTTAAATTCAAACATGGACAGACAGAGCTAACAAAAATATAATCAGAGACACACGTTTTTGGTTTATAGTTGGAGACTGGTGCTCACGCAGTCTTTGTCAAAGGATGTTGCTCCAGACATCCATCAGAACTGAAAGTATTTGAGGTTGTTGGACAAAAGGACCCTAGCAACGTGGTGAGATCTTGGTTGAGCCAGGTTAAATGTTTCCAGAATGCAGTGATTCCTGGAACATCTAAAAAAAACATCAATTTTATTTTGTAATTTATGAAAAATAATTGTATATATTCATGGTATACATAATGATGTTTTGATACATACAATGTCAGGTGATCAGGTTTGGGTAATTAGCATATTCATCATATTAAATATTTATGATTGCTTTGTGCTGGGAACATTCCATATCCTCCTTCTAGCTGTTCTAAACTATGTAATATATTGTTAACTATAGTCATCTTTTAGTGCTATAGAACAATAGAACTTATACTTCCTATGTAGCTGTAATTTTGCATCCTTTAACAAATCTTTCCTTAAGTTCCTTTACCCCCTACCCCTCCCAGCTTCTGGTACCATTTGTTTTACTTTAACTTCTTTGAGATGAGTTTGTTTTTTTTGTTGTTGCTTTTGCTTTCTTTGTTTGTTTGCTTTTTGTTTTTTAGCTTCTATGTATGAGTGAGAACATGTGTGTTTAACTCTCTGTTACTGGATTACTTAATGTCTTCCAGTTCCATCAATGTTGCTGTGAAAGACAAAATTTTAGTCTTTTTTTATGGCTGGATAGTACTCCATTGGTTATGTTAATATACATGAAAAATCCTTAAGCATGAAAATAGGGTTTTTTTATGAGTTTTTTTAATAAACTTATTTGATCCAGAATACCTTTTATTTCAGAAATATCTTGAATAACTAACATTTTCTATGCCAACACTTTACTGGGTATACATAGCACCTGGAGATGTCTTCTTAAGCAAATTTTGACTCCATAGATCTGAAAAAGGGGTCAATATTTTGCTTGTTTAATAAGCTCCCATGTGATGCTGAGGCTGCTGTCCTGAGACCACATTTCCAGTCATGAGCAGACATTCAAAGAAATGCAGCAGTTTTATTCACAGAAATCTCTGGAATAGAGGGGGGCATGATTTATATAATAGTCCACCTTGAGTAAAATCTACACAAAGGTTTTTGAAATGCAGAAAAGGCCTAGTGGAAATTTGCACAAATGCGATTTCATATTACCCAAACATTTGTGGTTGCTCTAAATGGCTGACAATTCTTTTACTTCAAGGCAATTGTTTAAATGGAATAGAGAATTCTAACAATGTATGAGCAAAAATAATTATCAAAATGTAGATGTTTGAGAGTTTGTGGAATGAGAGATAAACTAAAGTGAATATTAATTATAAAATTAACCTCTGATTGGAAGAACTGCAGCTTTACAAATGATTCCCTTTAGGGAGTGAATCATTCTCTACAAACTCTGGTTTGAATTGGACTAAACCCAAACAATGTTGCTTCTTCTTGTGGAGAATAGGGCATTTTTCTCAAGTGATCCATCTCACAAGTTAGGAGATGAGGTGGATAAGAGCAGTTGACCTCTAAATTAATAAAACTAGCATTTTAATGTCATTATTCTAATGAAGCAATGGGAATCAATACTGCAGTTTCAATCACTGAAGTTTTCATAAATGGAATGGCACCCCACCCTATCTTATGAAGACACAGTTTCAGGGCTGGAAATATGAATTTGGAAGAATAGCTTAAGACATAGTTCTCATAATGCCTTTTCTTTTCTCTGGATGTCACCATCTCAGACTAAGAGTATCATCTAGTATGTTCTAGACTTTCACCAGATGGGGAGCTTGTATTCAATTCTGAGGGCTCCATTATCAAATTAGCAGAGGCATTTAAAGCAGAGCGACTCAATCTTGAAAGGGTCTCAGTTAAATAAGGCTGGGACCTACCGGTCTGGATTCCCAGGAGTTAGGCATCCTTAGTCACAGGATGAGATCGTCACAAGATACAGGTCAAAAAGGACCCCCGATAAAACAAAATGTGTAAAGAAGCTGGCCAAAACCCAACAAACCTAGATGGCAACAAAAGGGACCTCTCAGTAATCATTATATAATAATTACAATACATGAGCTTGTTGAAAGACACTGTCACCAGCACCATGACAGTTTACAAATTTCATGGCAATGTCATGAAGATACCCTCTGTGCTCTAAAAGGGGAGGAACCCTCAGTTGTTGGAAATCCCCATGTCTTTCCTAGGAAACTCATAACAATCCACCCTGTGTTTAGTATATGATCAAGAAATAACCATAAAAATAGCCAACCAGAAGCCCTTATGGCTGTTCTTCCTATGAAACACTCATTCTTTTGTTTCTTTACTTCTCTGATACATTTGCTTTCATTTACTCCATGAACTTGTTCCAAATGCTTTGTTATGTGAGGTCTCTTCTTTGGGGTCTTGATGGGGAATGCTTTCTGGTAACAAAAGTACCACAAGCAGGATGGCCTAAAGAACACACGCAGATTGTCTTACAATTCTGGAAGCCAAAAATCTGAGACGTAGATGTTGGCAGTGTTGGTGCCTTCTGGAGGCTCTGGAAGAGAAAATGTTTCATGCCTCACCCATAAGTTCTGGTAGTTTTCTGGCAATTTTTGTGTTCCTTGACTTGTAGAGGCAACACATCAACCTCTGTAGTCACATTATATGGTGTTCTCTGTAGTCACCTTATATGGTGTTCTCTTTCTTTTTAACTTTGTCCAAATTTCCACTTCTTAAAAGGTCACCAACCCGAATGACCCCATATTAATTTGATTATCTTCAATGACTACTATGAAATACAATCATGTACTGAAGTAGTGGGTGTTAGGACACTGTGGGTGGGTCACCCTGAAGGTGGATCTTCCTCTCGCAGTCCTAATCCCCACTACAATATGTAAATTTGGCTGAGACACAATTCAACCCATAACTATACCTGGGGTATTATTCAGTGTTCTATAGAGGGAATAAATCAATGGGATATATGTGTAAAGGAAAGGGAGTTTCTTAGGGAGAACTGACTTTCATGATCACAAGGCAAAGTCCCACAATAGGTCATCAGCAAACTGAGAAGCAAGGAAGCCAGTAGTGGCTCAGTCCAAGTCAAAAAGCCTCCAAAGTATTGAAGCTGACCGTGCAGCCTTCAGTCTATGGCCAAATGACCAACAGCCCCTGGCAAACCACTGGCGTAAGTCCAACAGTCCAAAAGCCAAACTTGGAATCTGATGATTGAAGGCAGGAAGCATCCAGCATGGGAGAAAATTGAAGCCTGAAAGACTCAGCAGGTCACCTTCTTCCACCTTCTTCTGCCTGCTTTTTCAGCCATGCTGGCATCCACTGGATGTTGCCCACCCACATTGTGGGTGGCCCTTCCTGAGGGTGGTTTTCCTTTCCCAGTCCACTGACTCAAATGTTAATCTTTTCTGGCAACACCCAGAAACAACACTTTTCATCCTTCAATCCAATCAAATTGACACTTAATGTTAACCATTACACCTGGCAATGTCTCAGCCTGAGATGAATCTGCACAAAATGGCAGCCCCATAGGAGGCAGCCTGAGCCCAGGATATCTGGGCCCTCGGAGCAACTGAATCTTGAAGCCAACTTTATTTGGAAGTTGGATTTTTCATATTTTATGCCCCACATTTCAGTTAAGTCATATTAGAGGCTGAAGCTTTTTCTCAAGGTCAGTGATGTCAATTAGCCAGTGTGTGTAGGTCAGTGCTCTGAAGTAAAGCCATGCTGATGCACATAATTTTTTTTAAAATTACTTCTTTAAATAAAATTTTACAATCTAAAATATCCACTGGGAGGCAGCTTCCCAGTTACTTATAAAGTAGGATTGGTATTCTATACAGGTGAGTGATGTGGCCCAGAGTCAATTCATTAACTAATAAACATAGAAACAAACTCAAAAGCAAACTAATCAATGAAAGGAAGCAAAAGTAGCAGCTGATTAGGTGGCTGTGAAGTTCAATTTCACAGTCTCACAGAATTCACACTGTAGGATCTGGAGTGCTATTGCTGCTGACAAAAAGTAGTAGGGCTTCAGTAGCTTAAAGAGGTAGAAAATAATACCATTCTTAGGCTGTGTATGTAGCACTACTTAATTGAAATAAAATATTAATTAAAATAAAAGGATACACCCTAAGGATAGGGTTAAGGATAACCCTAAGCTATTTCTTAACTTCCTTCTTCTAGTTCCTTGAGATTCCACTTGCTATGAAATACATCTTGTGGGTTTTGAAGTTAAGGGCAAAGTTTTCATTTCTAATCCTACAATTTATTTGTTGAGTTACCTCTAGCAAATAGTCCAACTCTCTGCACTTCATCTTTCTCATTAGGAGAAAAGGTCATAGTACTCCCAATTCAAATAAATAGATGGAAATCAAATTGATTGCTACATTTGAGACTATTTGTAAGGTGTAAAAATAAATCATTCCATATTATTGCTGCTATTATTATGATTATTTCTAATTTGTTTTGTGGCTTTCACTAATACTAAAATGTGTAGGAGTAGCATGTTTACACTTACCCTGGAGAGGTATGATGCAAGAGAGTTTATTTGCATCAATTCGTTTTTAGTATTTCCGGGTGACCTACACTTAAACATATGGCCTATCCAACAAGAAAATTGGAAATACATAGTGTCTATTTGCCATGGGTAATGTGAAAGTATGTGAAAGAGATAGTCAAAGTTTTTCAGGCTTTGCTGCATAATGCATTCCAGGGATATAAAATCAAGGAAAGTGGGAGTTTAAACAAAGCCAATATTTTTATTGTGAACATAAAGACATGCCAGGAAATTAACAAAAAGGAAAATGATCTTTTGAGAGAGAGAAAATGGAATATGCTATTTGGATAAAAGACAAGTGTTGGAGCTTACATTGGTAAGGAAAATAGTGAAGAAGTTTTAGAAAATTTTTGTTGTTATTGAAACAATGAATAAAGGATTAATTGCTTTATTTTCAATATATTTTCTGATGATGCCCAGGAATCTCAACATACCCTTATATTTGTTCACATAGCTTTGTGATGAGGGACTAAGAAGAGCTGGATATTGTTTGTGAAATAATGACAACAAGAATACTAATTGTGGCTGGACCCAGTAGCTCTCATATCTGTAATCCCAGCACTTAGAGAGGCTGAGGCAGACAGCTCACTTGAGGTCAGAGTTCAAGACCAGCCTGGTCAGCATGGGGAAATCCCATCTCTAAGAAAAATACAAAAAACGCCCAGGCATTGTGGTGTATTCCTGTAATTCCAGCTCCTTGGGAGGCTGAGGCAGGAGAATGACTTGACCTGAGAAGTGGAGGTTGCACTGAGCCAGGATCACATCACTACATGCCAGCCTGGACTACAGAGTGCAACTCTGTCTCTAAATAAATAAATAAATAAATAAATAAATAAATAAATAAATCATAAATAAAACTAGGTATTATCAGTGATCAGTGCTACCTTGTACCAGGAACTTAGCACCTATTATCTCATAGAATATTCACAGCATCCACAGGAGACAAGTACTAATATTATCCCCATTTTACACATGAAAATTTTGAGACTTTATAGGATTAAGTCATTTGTCCAAGTCACATAGCTAGTGTCTGAGCCTAGTTTCAAGCCCAGTTATGTCTTTCTCCAAAACCCCCGCAGTGGATTACTGAGAATAAAGACATGCATTTGAGCCAGAGATAAAAATCACAAATTATAACATCTCTTCTGCTATGTAAAATCCAGCTAAGATGATCCTGTGAAAGGATATTTTTCACAGGATATTTTTATTATCTTATAGTCTGTAAACTTTGTCCTGTGAAACCATAATCAGTCATCTCTTTCAGCTAAAAAGTTAATAGGTGAGCATCTGTTTCTAATTTATTAATGCATGATGTAGGCATATGACCAAAAGGCAAGACCCAGAATTAGTTAACACATCAGCTTCACATTTCTTCTTAAGCAACCAAAATCACACTGCTGCATTCCAGCTAAGGAACTACTGCTAACATTTCATTCTAAGTGAGATTACATATTAATTACTTAAAATATAAATTAATAATTCTAAAATCTCGTTAAGCTGATAAGCAACTTTAGCAAATTCTCAGGATACAAAATCAATGTACAAAAATCAGAAGCATTCCTATACACCAATAATGTACAAACAGAGAGCCATATCATGAGTGAACTCCCATTCACAATTACTACAAAGAGAATAAAATACCTAGAAATACAACTTACAAAGGATGTGAAAGCCTTCTTTAAGGAGAACTACAAACCACTGCTCAAGGAAATCAAAGAGGATACAAACAAATGGAAGAACATTCCACACGCATGTATAGAAAGAATCAATGTCTTGAAAATGGCCATACCTCCCAAAGTAATTTATAGATTCGATGCTATCGCCATCAAGCTACCATTGACTTTCTTCATACAATTAGGAAAAACTATTTTAAATTTCATATGAAACAAACAGACAAACAAAAAGCCTGTATAGCCAAGATAATCCTAAGCAAAAAGAACAAAGCTGGAGGCATCACACTACCTGACTTCAAACTATGCTATGAGACTACAATAATCAAAACAGCATAGTACTAGTACCAAAACAGACATATAGACCAATGGAACAGAACAGAGGCCTCAGAAATATCACCACACATCTACACCATCTGAACTTTGACAAACCTGACAAAAACAAGCAATAGGGAAAGGATTCCCTATTTAATAAATTGTGTTGGGAAAACCGGCTAGCCATATGAAAAAAAAAAAAAAAAACTGAAATTGGACCCCTTCCTTGCAACTTATACAAAAATTAACTCAAGATGGATTAAATGTAAGACCTAAAACCATACAAACCATAGAAGAAAACCTAGGCAATACCATTCAAGACATTGTCATGGGAAAACACTTCATGACTAAAACACCAAAAGCAAAGGCAGCAAAAGCCAAAATTCGCAAATGGGATCTAAGTAAACTAAAGAGCTTCTGCACAGCAAAATAAACTGTCATCAGAGTGAACAGGCAACCTACAGAATGGGAGAAAATCTTTGCAACCTATCCATCTGACAAAGGGCTAATATCCAGAATCTACAAAGAACTTAAACAAATTTACAAGAAAAAAGAAAACAACCCCATCAAAAGGTGAATGAAGGATATGCACAGATACTTCTTGAAAGAAGATATTTATGCAGCCAACAATCATATAAAGAAAAGCTCATCATTACTTGTCATTAGAGAAATGCAAATTAAATCCACAGTGGGATACCATCTCATGCCAGTTATAAAGGGGATCATTAAAAAGTCAGGAAACATCAGATGCTGGAGAGGATGTGGAGAAATAGAATGCTTTTACACTGTTGATGGCAGTGTCAATTAGTTCAACCATTGCAAAAGACAGTATGGCAATTCCTCAAGGATCTAGAACTAGAAATAATATCTGACACAGCAATTCCATTACTGAGTATATACCGAAAAGATTATAAATCATTCTACTATAAAGACACATGCACATACATGTAGGTTTGTTGTGGCACTGTTCACAATAGCAAAGACTTGAAACCAACCCAAATGCCCATCAATGATAGACATGATAAAGAAAATGTGGCATATATATACCATGGAATACTATGCTGCCATAAAAAAGATGTTTTCACATCCTTTGCAGGGACTTGGATGAAGCTAAAAACAATCATTCTCAGTAAACTAACAGAAGAATGGAAAAACAAACACCACATGTTCTCGCTTATAAGTGGGAGTTGAACAATAAGAACACATGGTCATAGGGAGAGGAACATCACAGACCCAGGCCTGTTGGGGTTGAGGGGCTATGGGAGGGATAGCATTAGGAGAAATACCTGATGTAGATGATGGGTTAATGAGTGCAGCAAACCACCATAGCACATGTATACCTATGTAACAAACCTGCATGTTCTGCACATGTACCCCAGAACATAAAGTATAATTTAAAAAACAATTTGCTTACTCAAAAAAATTATAATTCTAATTTTATTATGTTTAAATATAAAAATGTTTGTAAATGTATTCTCAAGTTGAAAAAAGTAGGCATTTCATTTCTCAATTTTATCTGTCAGTTTTCTTTCTTTTTTCTTTTTCTTTTTGCTTGCTTTTTTACTGGGATACCATAGTTGTACACAGTGTAGGGGTACATGTGTTGTTGTTTTGATACCTATATGCAATGTGTAATGAACAAATCAGGGAAATTGGGGTATCCATTTCCTTAAGCGTTTCTTTTTTCTTTGTACTGGAAGCATTCTAATTTTCCCCCACAGCTATTTGAAATGTACAAAAAATTATTGTTAACTATAATTTCCCTGCTATACTATCAATTATAAAAACTTACTTCTTCTAACTGTATTTTTGAATCCCTTATGCAACTTCTCTTCACAACCTCTGGTAACAACCATACTGCTATGTAGCTTCATTATCTTCAGGGGATCCACTTTTTTAGCTCTAATATATAAAAGAAAACATGATGTTTGTCTTTCTGTGCCTGGCTAATTTCTAAGTGATCATGTTATCAGACTAAAATTACATCAATGGCAAGTTTAAGAAAGATGTAAAAGAGAAAAATAAGATTCATTTATATTAAAGTCAGATTTTTAAAATTAGTACATTTTTATTCAAATTTAATTTAGTGATCTGTGAGACATTTAAATGTTTAAATTACACAATTTTATACAAAGCCACTAGCATAATACATTTAAGTAAATTTAAATGAATTTGATTTAAATAAATGTGTTATACTAGTCTGTAATACATACTTCATAATTACTGTACTCTTATATTGATGTCAGAAAGAAAATCTTCATATTTGATGTCGAATATAATATCTATGTTTTCCACAAATTTTTTTTTGAGATGGAGTCTTACTCCTTTGCCAAGGCTGGATTGCAATGGCAAGATCTCGGCTCACTGCAACCTCTGCCTCCTGGGTTCAAGCTATTCTCCCGCCTCAGCCTCTTGAGTAGCTAGAATTAATAGGTACCCACAATCATGCCTGGCTAATATTTTGTATTTTGTAGAGATGGGATTTCACCATGTTGGCCAGGCTGGTCTTGAACTCCTGACCTCAGGTGATCCACCTGCCTCAGCCTCCCAAAGTGCTAGGATTACAAGTGTGAGCCACTACACCAAGGACAAAATATTTTCATATTAAATTTCTAAAGTTTAATGCTAAATAAATTCATATGTTATGTTTAGCATTGTAATTAATGTGGAAACAACTAATAAATACTAATAAAAATTTAATTACACAATGAGGAATAGTCTCTAGACAGAGCTATGTTTCCTAATACAGTAGACATTTGTTGTATAGGCTGTTTAATATTGGATATAAATTAATTAAAATTAAATTGAGTATCAAACTCAACAGTCACAAAGCTACAAGTCAAGTACTCAATAGCCACCTTTTGCAAATGGCCACTATACTGAATAATGCCAATGAATAACATTTTTATCCTCACAAAACATTAAAATAAACAGAGCTGATCTAGTTAATAGAGATTGTTTGTGGCTACTTATTAAACTTTCACCACCAACAACACACAGAAACACACACACACACAAACACACACATCCTTGGTTTGACAGATGTTATGAGAATGTAGAGTTCCAACCAATAAAGGGTCTTCAATTACACATGCTTCTCAAATTAAAATGCAAACAAAATATGAATGAATTGTTTTTATTACAGAAGCAAAGATACTTTGAACACAGTGAATTCCATTTGTGATTAGTATAAGGCAATATTTATTCAAATTTTTGATTGCACAGAACAGTATAATTATTAAAATGGAAAACAAGACAAAGAAATAGGCTTCTATTTTCCTCATTCAGTACATAAAAAATACCCATATATTCTGCTTCATTCGAATTTCATAATGCAAATATTTTTGCTAAAATTCAAGAGAGAATAGCCTTGTTAACAAAACACAATTTTAGAATAAAGGAAATTCCTTTTTTTCTTGAATGTATTTGGCTCACTGTAAGCCAAGAGTACTAAATGGAAAACTCATTTGTATTGTTTCCATATAGACATGTAAGTTTCTCATTTTGTCTCATTTTAGAACATTGGCTTTTTTATGTTCTCACTATCCTGTTCAGATATTACAAACCTGGTGTCGTCATTCCTGAGAATTTGCTTGAAAAAAAAAGATGATCTTTTGTTTCTTCTGCCACTACCTTTTAAAGTTTGGGGAAAATTTTGAGATGAATTTTAGAATGATAATCATTATTAACCTACCAGTCATATGGTTATCAAAATTTGACTGCCCTACACAAAATCTGCTAGTCTGTAATACTGGGATCTTAAGAGAAAAAAATGCCCGGTGTTTTGCATCTATGGGTCACACATCTCATACATTCTCTTTGAAATTAATATTAGAAAACCATGATTTCTTATTAAATTACAAAAGTCTAGCAGAAATCATATTTTACATGCAAAAATTATTTGCAGACCAAATAAAATGGAAAATTACTTTGGACTGTGAATTACCTCATTTCACTGTTACAACAATCATTATTTCATGCAGATCAGAAACTGAGGAGCAACTTTCTTATATAGATGTAAAATAGGAAAATATGGTTTCAATATAAAATATTTGGAAAAATCTTTTAAAACATTGTTTATAGAGAGAAATATTAATTATGAGGCTTTTTCCACTTTATTGTGGAAATACCATCTAATCCATTAGTCTTTATTTTAAAAAATAAGTTACAAATTGCTCATTTTATTATGGTGTCTTGTCTACTTTGATTCATGGTAACTTTGCTCTGAATCTACCTTGTCTAACATTCTTTCGGCCACTACATAGATTTGAAACATCCTGTGGAAAGAGGACAGGAGAGATCAATGGGCTATGCCCTGCAAGGTACTCACTTTCTGGAACTCCAACTCAATAAAGAGTTTTATAGAGAGGTTTTTCTTGGTCGTTTTTCTGTCTTTGTCTGCAGAATAGTTTCAAAGGTCAGTCTTGCCACAGGTCTAAGCCAAGAGAGATGGGAAGGAAAAAAGAAGAGACTATCATGAGCAGTGCAAGGTCAGAGATTACCTGGTCCATGCATGTGTCTTTCCACAAGGTTACAGTTTTACTGATGTATTTCAATTCCAAAAGCCACAAGACACATGTTCCCAAGGAGGGAATTCTCCTTAGTATTTCCTTCTTCTAAGAAGAATTGAAATTCTTCTTAGTATTTCAGTGGTAAGAACTGCAGGCACACAGGCTCAAGTAACTCCCAAAGCCAGTCAATACTGCAAAACCATACATAGCATCATATTTAACCAGTACATCAAATATTATAGATTAAACATTCCACAACAAATGATGTAACATTCAACATCAAGAGAAAGGGGATAGGAAAAAGAGTTAAACAAACTAGTCCATGGAGAAAACATAGACTAAAAGAAGATGCTGGTTTGGCCTAATCAGTCCATCCATTTTGCAAGGAAGAAATTTTAAAATGGACAGAGCCTTTGCTAGCAGATGTCAGGTGCTTATTACACATTACCACAAGATGGTGACTGATAAGACAACCATTTCAATCTGTAAAGTCCTGCCATTTATGTGGCCACAGTGTCCTCTGGTGAGGACTGATAGTGGAAGACTGTGCTTAGTTATGTCCTTATGAGGTTGGGTGCAGTCTTTATTGATTAGGCAAGACATCTGGTCCCTGTTGCAAGGTGCCTTATGAAATGCAAGATTTAGCCTTTCTTTAAGATGGTGCAACTTATATCAAGGGTACTCTATACAGAGCCCATTGCTCTTTGAGTTCTGATTTTCCTCTCTAATCTGATGGCTACTATACTTACTGCAATCCACATGTTATTGCCTTGTATGTTCTGCCCAAGCTTTGATTTGTAAACAGAAGCAAACTTAGTGTGGAACATGCTTTCTTCATCCTAACCAGGGCAGCTTTGCCAATTCTGTTCTGCTTGGACTTTTTTCATGCCTCAAAGAGCTCTGAAAGAGCTTATTCATCAAATACTTATCTCCAGACATTGAAAATGGTTTTGGACTCCTGGATTAACCTGGAATTCAATTTTGAGGGGGTGGCCCATTGCTGAACTTCAAATGGAAATTCTCCAAAATGACATCAAAGTCATCTAATCTTTGTATTGTTCACATTTAATCCTATGTGTGAAAACATAATTTATAAATAAACTATCTCTAACCATAGCGAAAGGCCAATTTACTGATTTGTTTTTAATTTTTTAAGGTCACCAACAAACTTCTTTCTTGGACTCCATTTATTTTGCCTTCATGTGTCTATTTTTGAGCTTCAGATGCTAATAAGTCTGTAAAGTATTCTAGATTAAATGATAAAGATCACATTATCCAATCTCTGTTCAAATGTGCCTTTTGCCTTTTATTATCCCTAAATAATAATGAGAAATTTTGGAAATCAAATGTATGAAATATGCCCTCCACCTCTGAAAGCAAGATGGAAGACTGGGCTTGATCACCAGATTGGCAAAGAAATTGGATATCATCAGTGTGACAGCAGGTCAGCTTCAAACAGAGAAGGTGAAGACCAGCACATGAGGCAGTGCTAATGGTTTTAATCAAGGGACATTACACTGTGAAGATAAGAGTCAAAGAGGCAACACAACACAAGCCTGCTGTCAGCATATTCCATATACATTTATACTTAAACATCTTAATCTGTCCCCTTTCCTTTAAACACATGCCATGGATTTCTAACAGAAATGAATTTTTGGAAGATTTCTTTATAGCTATTATTAGAAAGATGCAATGAAGACGGGGGATTGTGATTGGCAAGTCCTCCCAGACCTTTTGGAAGTAAAACATCTGTGCCACTTGCCAGAAAATGTTGGCTGGTTTTTCATCAAAACATGTGCAGCTACAGTAGGTATTGGAAACCCTGCCAGGCAACACCTGCAGACTGCAACAGACTCACCCTCATGTACTTTAATAAGATGTCTTTTGTTATAAAACTGAGATTCCATTTTGCAAGCCTGGCCTCTGACAAAGTGGAAAATTGGTCTTGGAAGTGTCTCTTTTCTCCCACCTGGAGTTGTTTTCAGGGGTTGTTAATATCTAAGAGCCTATTACTACTTTCAGTGATTCCTGCACAAAACTGTTGTGCAGGTTGTTGCCAAATTACCCCTCCAAGGTAAGTGCTGCAAATGCATCTGCAGTTCTCTTCAGAGATATTCGTCAAGGACATTATCTGTTCTCTCAGAAGTCCTCCATCCTGTCTTAGGTTATGATGGGCAACTAGAACACACCGAGAAGAGTCAAGATCAGACTCTGTTGGTCTTATCCAAAGCCTTGGATGGTCCCAGAACTCTGAAAGGATACCAGTGGTTCAGCAGCTCCTGGTCTCTTTGTATGTCATTTATTTTTCAATTTGGTGACTACACAGACCAGTAGCACCAGTGTGAATGCTGGAGGAGCCATTGCATTTGAGTCAGATAGCAGGAGAGAAGGGAACCTGGAGAATGCCGGCTGGACTAATTCCTTTAGCAACCCAAATATTTATCCTTGCACAAGTAGCAGATTCCTTCTTGGTGTGCAGTTCCTAGGCATCCATGCATATTTGCGCACAGTTTTGCTCTTTTCTTAGGTAACACCACAGTTTATTTAAAGCAGTTGACATCCTGACTCTGAAACATTTGAATAAGTCTGGTTTATAAATGCTTAAATTCTACAGCTCACTAAATTGTTAATGATGGCCAAACATGGTGGCTCATACCTGTAATCCCAGCATTTTGGGAGGCCACAGCAGGTGGATCACTTGAGGTCAGTAGTTTGAGACTAGAATGGGCAACATGGTGAAACATCGGACTCTACTAAAAAAATACAAAAATTAGCCAGGCATGGTGGCATGGGCCTGTTGTCCCAGCTACCTGGGAGGCTGAGGTGGGAGGATAGTTTGAGTTCGGGAGGCAGAGGTTGAAGTAAGCAGAGACTGAGCCACTGCACTCCAGCGTGGATGACAGAGCAAGACCCTGTCTCAAAAAAAAAAAAAAAAAAAATTGTGGTGGGTTTTTAAAGATATGTATACAATGAAACTAAGAAATAAGTTAATTAGGACTGAATATAATAAAGTGTTGACAGTTGACCATATATGCATTACAATATCAAAAAAATAATTTTCTGGAATATCTGGAGTTTTCTTCTATAGGTATATTTATTTAGCTAATTGTAGCTTGGCTACTACATTTTAAAATGAGTGGTATAGCTTAATTTTTTTTAAAGAAGCCATTTAATAAAATGTATCTGCTATGCATTAGAAATAAAGTAGACATTTTATAATATTATGCTACACAAAACCTGAAACAACATGTAAAACAGGAGTTATTACTTGAGTCTCCCATTTTATAAACAATGCATACATACTTAGGAAGCCTAGCCATGTTTATTTTTCTTTTCAGATCCTGAACAGTGGAGCTGAAATTAAAACTGAAGACTTACTGATGCTAGACCCACTTTGTCCATTATATTTCCAGAGTATTTCTTTAATTCCAGAGTATTTCTCTAATTCTTTAATTAGAGGTGCAAAAAGTGAGGGCTGGTAAGAGTTCTCTTTGCTCAGTTAAAACCAAACAGAAATGAAAACTGAAAAAGCTATGTCCTAAAGTATTATTTGGGAATTCACTTTGTCTTCTGAAATTATTTCTACGTAAATTTCCCCTTAAATCTTCTGTTTATTGTAGGTTAATTACAAGATTTTAGTTGGAATTTAATTATGGTTGCTAAGAACTTAACCATTAGTAGTGTCGAAGGAACTTCTAGACATCTTTTCCTCTGAATAAACACTGACAACCCTGAGGAATGTAATGATGTTAGAAAAATATGTTCTGCCGCATTAGTAACTCCGCCTGGCTGGGCACAGTGGCTCACACCTATAATCCCAGCACTTTGGGAGGCCAAGGCAGGCAGATCATGAGGTCAGGAGATCACGAACTTCCTAGCTAACACATTCAAACCCCATCTCTACTAAAAATACAAAAAATTAGTCCAGCGTGGCATCACATGCCTGTAGTCCCTGCTACTCAGGAGGCTGAGGCAGGAGAATTGCTTGAACCTGGGAGGCGGATGTTGCAGTTACCTGAGATCCTGCCACTGCACTCCAGCCTGGCCCACAGAACAAGATGCTGTCTTAAAAAATTTGAAAAATAAAAAAATAACCAACCACTATGCCACCTAGACTCTATTCTAGAAACCTCTCACAAAATTTTTTTAATAGCCTAAACCTGGAAAATGTCACAAATTTTTCCCTCCTAGGGCTGAACATATGTCATATTTCTTTCTCCTGGGTCTCCTGACAGCTCAATAATTCCAAAGTTTCAGAATTTACAACAGCATCTGAAGAGTGAATTTTATTTTCTAATGTTGAGGGCATTTTTATCTTGTTTTCTTCCTCACCAATTTAGTGTTTGAGCTGAATCATAAAATTTGCCTTGTACATAACAGGAATTCAAATACTTTTTTTAGATGCCAGAGAATTCCAGAATTAAGTTTGATTTTAACTTTCATCTATCCAAACCTATAATTAATGAATCTCAGAAATGCCTGTACATAAGAATTCCCTGAGGGAATTTTACAAAATACAGACATCTCAGGTCCACTCTTAGAGATTCTGAGTTAATCAGTCTAGCATGGGGATTTCTTGAGAGGGGCATTACAGACAAGTATTCTAAACTCCTTTCTACTACTTAATAATAAGCAAAGTTGTCAAAGAGCCAACATACTACTTTACTGGCTGAATCAGCAAAAATTATTCAAACATTGCTCACTTGACACATCCAGTTAGAGCAGGTGGGAGGAGATGAAATGTGGTACTTTAAAACACAGTTATTGAAATATACCTCTAAGGGTTTTAGATATTATTCTTTCTGTAAGCAAATATTATTGTAAATATTCATCCTTCTTACAGAAAGATTCTGCTTTGTATACATTATCAGTTTAAGGTTTACAGTGACTTGATGTTGATGGCAAGTTGTGATTTCCATTCTGTATGTTGGGAAACTGAGGCTGAAAGACATAAAGTAACTTCTTAAAAGAGTATAAATGTTTGTATTTTTCAGTATTCCCTAGAAAAACAGAATCAATAAGATATAGTTATATACCTATACATATAGATATAATTTTAAAAGATACATCTCTATATTTATCTATCCATCAATATATTTATTATAAGGGGCCAGGTACAGAGGCTTACACCTGTAATCCCAGCACTTTGGGAGGCTGAGGTGGGCAGAAGGCTTGAGCTCAGGAGTTCAATACCAGCATGGACTACATGGCAAAAAACCATCTTTATGAATAAATAGAAAAATTAGCCAGGCATGTGGTGCATGTCTGTAGTCCCAGCTACTTGTTTGGGGGAAGGGGAAGGTGGAGGATCTCTTGAGCCCAGGAGGAAGAGGTTATAGTGAGCCAAGATCATGCCACTGCACTTCAGTTTGGATGACAGAGTAAGGCCCCCTCTCAAAAAAATATTTATAAGGAGTTAGCTCATTTGAATATGGAAGCTGAGAAGTGCCATAACCACGTGTCTCCAAGAAGTAGACACTGGAAAGCCGGTGGTGTAGTCCAAAGATCCAAGAGACAGAGGACGATGGTGCAGATTCCAGTCTCTTCTGAAGATCTGAGAACCAGCAGCACAGAGGGCAGATCAATGTCCCAGCTCAAATAGGCAGAGTTAATTCAAACTTCTTCCACTTTTTGTTCTATTCAGTCCTTTAAGGAATTAAGTGAGGCACACTGACATTGGGGAGGGAAACCTATTTTTTGAATTGACCAGTTTAAGTGTGGATTCCTTGTGGAAACACCCTAACCCTCACAGACACACTCAGAGATAATATTTAACCAGCTATCTGTGCACCCATAGTCCAGTGAAGTTGATAAATAAAATTAACCATAACAATGCTGAATTCTCTATAGAGAATTGGAAAACTAACATCTCAAAATGAAATGGTTAAGTATCAGGAGACAGCAACACTACAAAAAGTAAAATAAGTTTGCTTAGAAGAATGCTCAGATGGCACCAATTACTTTATGCATAACATGTGTTTCTGATTGCAATGTTTTTAGCCCAGAGGTAACTGTATCACTTATACTATAACACATATACTGTATCTTTATATGTTGAGATTGGCTGGTAATTCTGAAAGTGCTGGGAAAGTCAGAAACAGATAATGCAACAGAAAAAATAATGTCAGAAAGCAAAATAAAAAAAAACTGAATAGTTTCTTCTTTATAGATGAAGTGTGAATGGTATTATATTCATATTTATAATAACATCAATGACTAGCCTCACCAATAGTAAGACAGCAGTGAGATTATTGATTGAGGATCTGGAATATGCCAGATCAACCTTAGATATATAAACTACTAGATATCACTCACCTTATCCAACCTGGAATAGTATTGCCTATGAGATTCAAAATTACAAAAAATTAAATTAGTCTCAAATGCCCACTATGCCCTGCAATGTCTCAAGGACTCTCTCGTCAGAAAAGGGACATACATGGTTTGTTTTCCACCTCTTTTACTACCTCATTTATTCATACTACCTAATTCTTTCTGTCTATTCTTGGTTATGTCAGTTTACCACTCGCCCAAATTATTTCTTTTCAACAACTCATGTGTCTTTCCTTGGCATAAATATGGTTGACCCAAGACTGCTTGGCAGATATTGGAAAGGGCTTTGCTATACATATATATATATAGATATAGATATAGATATATAGATATAGATATAGATATATATATCCCCACAACAAGGGTATTAATATTGATTACTTTACATGCATGAGTGCAAAGTTATATTCTCCATTTTAGCTACTTTGCCTTTCTGTTGCATCCCAGATCAAGTTGGTGGTAATATCTAAAAATATCATCCAATTACTATCCTTTCTTTGAAAGAAGCTGTCCTCTCCTCTCTGTTGTAGCATCAGTATTGGGCAGAATTTTTCCTCTCCTTTCTTGTTATGTGAGTAATCTAAGTGTTTTTTTTCCATAAATCTCATTTGAAAATATTATTCTTCTCTTTTTCCAGATAGGAAATGGAATCTGGTAAATAATATAATGACTTGCTCAAAGTTATTCAAGCAACTGTAACACTGGGAAACAAATCCACAACTCCCTGACTCTACTCTCTTCCTCTTTCTGCTGAACTTGTTCAATGACTGAGAAAAGGAAGAGGACAATTGTACTGTTCCTGGTTGTTGTTGTTTATTTTCTTTTTTTTAAGATGGAGTCTTACTCTGTTGCCGGGCTGGAGTGGCATGATCTCGGCTCACAGCAACCTCCGCCTCCCAGGTTCAAGTGATATTCTCCTGCCTTATCCTCCTAAGTAGCTGAGACTACAGATGAGGGCCACCATGCCTGGCTAATTTTTTGTATTTTAGTAGAGATGGGGTTTTACCATGTTGGCCAGGATGGTCTTAATCTCCTGATCTCTTGATCTGCCCACCTTGGCCTTCCAAAGTGCTGGCATTACAGGTGTGAGCCACCAAGCCCTGCCTGTTCCTAGTTGTTTAACATCTGTGTAGTCCTGGATTTTGATCAATGATTTTGATCCAAATGTGTTTGTCTCCAAAGGTCCTGTTGTTTCTACTAAGTTACACCCTTCTTCTGTTGAAAAAATAGAGTGTGCCAATATGGCATACACACACACACAAATACACACACACACAAACATATTCTTAGCATTTGATCTGGCAATCAAAGTCTTAGATATTTAACTTAAAGAAATGATTACTTATGTTCAAACAAAAAATTATTGTTTACATGATTACAGGTATATTCCTAACTGCAAAACTGAAAGCAATGTAAATTTTCAACTGGTGAACAGATAATTAGATTGTGATGCAGTCAGACATTGAGATATTTCTCAACAATTAGAAAACAAACATAAAAAACACTGGAGCTTAAATAGCGGTTTACCAGCAGTGCAATAACTAGTACTTGCAGAGACCCCGGGTAAATCACCAATGCTTATTTAGGGTGATGGAAGTCAGACTCAAATGTCTACATATGGTTTAATTCCCTGTACATGATTTTCTAGAACAGGCAATGCTCTAAGGATAAAAATTTGTTCCATGTTTGCCAAGGGATGTGAGTTGGGAGAAAGTTTGAGTACAAAGAGGCACCGGGGAACATTTTGAGACAATAAAACTGTTTCCATGTCATAACTGTGGTAACAGTTACCATCAAAGAGTACAAACTCCAGAAGCATGCACACAAAAATAAATAAATGTAACTACATAGAAAGTACGTATGGATATACTAAGTATGATGTGTTTTAACATTTGATACAATAATTAATTTATAGGAGAACTTCCTTCATGTTACCAATACTATGGTCTTACTAGATAGTTTGTATCTGTGCTATTTTGCCATAGTATTGTGCCTGTTATTCATTATTACAATTCATATTATGCTGAAAGAGAGAAATCTGAAGTAAGAAATGACACATTTGTCCAGATGTTTGAATCTTGGTGGATTTTAATGATTTTTGCACAGCCAGCTACTCTCCTTTGCCTTCTTGACTGCCTTCTCAATCAATGTAACTTGGATTCCTTTTGCCTTCTGCATAAAGTAAACAAGAGGAAACTGAAAAAATGCATTTGATAAAAGGAAAACGTTATCCACTCTGAGTTTCACCTATACCAGACAATTGAAGTGTGAAAGAAGTGATATTCAGACCCTGGAATCTTTAGTTTTAGTAAGTTTATTTGTGTTTTTAAAGTGAATTTCCTGGTTGGAAAAGTACAGTAGATGTGTAGCAAGATAGTTCTTGCTTAAATTAAAATCATAGCAATGTTTTGAGAATCTTGTAGAAAATGTTACATTTTAAATAAGCTATTCCTTGGTTTTTGTGCTTTTAATAATTGTATCAATTAGGTATAATTATAAGGGGTCATTCATTATTTAATATTTTCTGCTTCAAACTCAATGTATTAAGTTCAGTAAAAATTATTCAATGATGCATGAACATTTTGGGAAATGTGGCCAAGAAAATAAAATTGTACAACAACCCAAAATTTAAATATCCTTTCATGGTTACTACATAAAACAGTAAAACAATATAATATAATATTATTTGTAATATAATGTATTACATTGAATATTATCACAGTTCCTCAGGTTTAATCGTTTACAATTTTACAAAAATAACTCAGTCTTCCAATCATTTCTTTTCCATGTGGAAAACTGTGTCTATTTAACTATTATCTTTTTAATACCAATTATCACACACATTTCAGAATTGCATCCACATTTTGAGGCAATATTTTTGCCTTTGCTAGAGATGACGATTGTTTCTCACCCATTTGAGTGACTATGTGAATGTTTTGAAAGTTAGCAAACTTATCTTACCTTAGAAACTTTTCACACATTTGAGAAATATAATTTCAATATGTCTTCCAAAATGGGAAAGAAAACTCAGCTGTATTCAACAAATATTACTTTCTTCTCTCCTAAAATCAGGCTGCAGAAATCTTGCATAGTGTAAGGGATATTTAATTGCTTCATTGGAGTCTATCACAAACATAAATGTTCTTATCATAGAATTATTTATGTTTCTATAAGAAAAATTATTTATTTCTAATTTTTATTTTCTAGTATATAATTCACAATATGAATTTCGAAATATAGGAGGGAGAAAAAATTATAATCATGTATATTTTGTTGTGTTTCTTTTAGCTTTTATTTGTATTTGTGTGTTTTGTAAAATTAACAAGATACACAAGTATATGAATTCGTATGTTTTAATTATTTCATCCAAGATAATGAAAATATTTTTTATTTCATTGATAAGTTTTATTGTTTTATTTCAATTTTTTAGAATTATTAGTCCAATATAACATAATAGATATGAATCATTTTCAAAGGGTTGTTGTATAACTGCATAGACTCCTTTTTTAGAATATTGTACTTTAATGATGTATCTCATTTTGGAAAGCCAAATTCCCTGTTTTTCCTATTTGACCTTTTACGTGATAATCTGTGCATATGCATCTTTCTAGACAATTTTGATAGTTCTTTACAGTAGATTCCAGTAAATAAAATTACTATGACCAAATGTAGAGTTGTAAGATCACTGGTTCAGAGTGTTAATGTTTATCCAAACCTAAAAAAAAAAAATACATATTAATAATATTGCCAGCAGCATTGAATAAGAATGTCTTGTTGACCTGCCTTTTAGTCATTGCATTGTCTTTTATTTATTTATTTATTTTTTTGAGATGGAGTCTCACTGTGTCACTTAGGCTGGAGTGCAGCGGCATGATCTGAGCTCACTGCTACCTCCAGTTCCCGGGTTCAAGTGAACTTTCCATCTCATCCTCTGGGATTACAGGTGTGCACCACTATGCCTGGCTAATTTTTGTATTTGTAGTAGAGACAAGTTTCATCATGTTGGCCAGGCTGACCTCAAAATCCTGAACTCCTGACTTTTAAGTGATACGCCCACCTTGGCCTCCCAAAATGTTGGGATTATGGAGTGAGCCCTCATGCCTGGCCCTTTGTGTTGTCTTTTAAAGACAATAACATTATTATAAAGACTTCTGTCTCATTATTAGTAGTACATTTATGGTTAGATGTAAAGATAAGCATCATTTTTTTTTTATATTTATTGTTAGTCCTGCAAAAAACTGCTGTGAATTGTTTATGGTGAGGTTTTGTATCTTGATTTCAGCTTAATTTTTCTACTGAGTATTCAGCATGCTATGTTAAGGACATCAATCCTTTATTTTTATTTTTTGCAATTAACAGATGAAGTTTCGGCTACATATGAAATTATCTTAAATTGTCCTTAGCAAATGCTCCTTTCAACATCCTCTTTCCCATTTTTTTTTATATCTCCATTAAAACTATCAGGACAAAGATTTTGCTCTATATTTACAATTTATTTTTTGTCATGTTTTTATGTTGATAAGTATGTTTGCTTTCCACTTCATCAATCACCTTACATTTTCAAAATATATTTATTTAGAAAATCCAATGTGTGTTCTTCCTTGAGTAAAAGGAAAGTATAACATTTCAGATGACAAGATTAACACTAATAGAATCTTTGTTACTGCCTTATTATTATTATATTTGAATAATTTTGAGTCTGGCAATTCATCCTATTTAGAGAGCTAAACTGACCCATTTTAAAGTGCAATAGTGTTTTTTTTTTTCTTTTTCAAGTGATGTTATACTTTTTTTTCTCTTACACATTTCCCCTCCCCTTTTTTTAAAAATAATTGTTTACCTTGTATGTATTTTTTTCTCTTTCTCAAGTGATGCTATACTCAAAAGAAAATATTCCAGTAGAAAAGGAAAGGAAAGAAAAGAAAGAAAAGTGTGGAAAGGAAGGGAAAATAAGAGGCACAGTTACAGGCCAAAACCTCCTGTGGAAATGCAACAGAAACTCCCGCCTTGGTCACCATTTCTTTGATGAGTTGCAGCAAACCACAGTAATGGCTGACATGGAAATCTTGCTGGAATTTGGATATAGTTTTAAGCCCTCCAGGAAATGAACTCACGAATAGACATTCAGGCGGGTACTATTTATAACCCTTATACATATTTTAATATATGCTTATATACTCTTGCTTACATATGTATGTATATGTAAACATATGCAAAAATATGCTGAAAACCCAGCACAATTACTGTCAAAATCCTCCACAATTGATTTAATTAGAAAAATATATGAAAAATCCAAGCTTTTAAAACAAATTGTTGCTGGACAGCCATTTATGTGGGTGGGGTGTTGACAGCAGGGTCTTTGTAGATGAAAGGCATCTGGTCCCCATCTTCAGGCATTTGTACTAGCATCTGAACCCTGAATACCATAGAAACACATACTTTATTTCATGGAATTGTGAAATGGGACTATAGGGGAGTAACTAAGCAACTTCTCACTGGGAGATTTAGGAAATTCTTCACTGGGAGAATGAAGTCTGAGCTGAGATTAAAGGACAGAGAGAAAGTGGTGGGGCCACAGCCTGGAAGAATGTGCAGCACTGTGACATGCAGCACAGGCTTTTTCAGAGATGGAGACCCTACATGTCAGGTGGTGTCACTGGAGAGAAGGAGAAGACCACAGCATCCATCTGCTGACGTCTCCTAGTGGATTTGACTGTGCTGTACGTGGAAAGACTTCATACAGGAAAGGCTTGCATATTATGAAGATTTATGCAAAACTCTGGGAGGTGGACCAAAATGTGTTGAGATGAGATGTGGAGAGAGTAACAGGGGCAAGGGAAGAAAAAGACAGTGGTCATGGAGAGGGGAAGATAGAGAAAATGGGGTGAGGGGACAGTACTCAGATTTGGGGATGGATTGTATATGTCTGAAGGAGGAGAAAGGAGTATAAATTTGGGATTGGCTGACTGGGAGACATCTATGAGGAGTATGCAGAGATGAGCAAAATTTAATAGAGATGAGAAGCTGAGCTGTGGACATTTTTTGGCTGGAAGTGTCTATATATGTTTAGTTAATGATATGCATTTTGAAAAAGGAGGTACATTTCCAAATACATATCTAGACAAAAAAAAAGAAGCATTATCAATTGTCTTTTTTTAACACCTTCTAACTAATTTAGTAATACTGTATCTTCTTTTGAATGAGCTACATCATGCAGCATCCTGATAGGAGCAAAATAAAATAACAAAAAGATTCATAATATTATTCCTAATAATTGCTTTATTGCTAATCAGCACTTTGGTCAACTCAGAATCTCAACAAGAATAATATCGTTAGTCCCACTTTAAATACAAAAAGCTAAGTAATTCTTTGAGATAATATAGCTAGATTTCTGAATAGCTTAGAATTTGATCTTTAAATTCAGAATTCAGTATCAAAAAATTTAAAATCATCATTATTGGAGATGTACTTGAAATATTTCTAAAAGTGTTAAGTATATAGTGTGAAATCAATATTCTGTGCACCTCTGCATCTCTTTCTGTTCTTCAAAAGACACCAGTTCTGTTATTTTGGAGCTCTATCTTGATGAACTAATTTACCCTTAATTATATCTTTAAATGCTATATCTTCAAATACAGTGAAATTGGAGGGTGGGGTGAGAGGGAGACATAACAAGGCCATAACAGAGAGAAATGAATGCATAAAGACATTTAAGTTTTATGAATTAAATTCCTGTGCAATTCTATAGTCATTATAATGCATAGTTAATGTTAAGAAACCAAAATGTCCTATCCAAAACTATTGTGTAAAATGTGTAGATCAAAAGTCCATCAATGTTCCAAGCAGCTAAGCTATAAATGATGAGCTATCGGCTTCCTTAAACATAAATGCAAGTTGTTCTGATATTTTTGGTATTTACTGAAGTATCTAGTTTAGTTTTCTCTTTATTGACTTGATAAAAAGTACTTTTAGGGGCAGTGGATCATGCCTATAATCCCAGTTACTTGGGAGGCTCAGGCAGAAGAATTGCTTGAGCCCAGCGCTTTGAGGCTGCAGTGATCTATCATTGTGCCACTGCATTGCAGCCTGTGTGACAGAGTGAGACCCTGTCTCTAAAAAATTAAAATAAAAAAAAATTAGCCAGGCTTGGTGTCATGTACTTATAGTCCTAACTGCTTGGGAGACTGAGGTGGGAGGATCACTTGAGCCCAGGAGTTTAAGGCTAGTGCAGGCAACATAGCAAAACCCTACCTCTAAAGAAATAAACACTATTGGACACTGATGGAACTGTTATCACCTAATATGGAATCATTCACAATATTTCAGTTAGGCTCAGATTCACCTATTGACTATCCAGATAAATCTCCCAGCCTTTTTTTCTAAACATTATCATCAGATCAGAAATAAATATTGTGATGACAGGTTGAAATGATTGTGTTTTACTTGCCTTCTTTTTTTTCCTGGTCATTGTTCTACTCTCAACTTCATTAGGTCTGCACTTGGCTCTACACTGTTTGCAGAGTTGATACTGCCTGTGCATTTCATAGGGACATCTCCACAAACAGTATGTAGCCTGGGGTACTGAACTGTAGAGTCCTTGAATTCTCAACCATCTCTTAAAATGTGATATAAAATACAAAAATATAATCTAGTCCTTGGGAAGCAATAGAAATTCTGAGGTGGTGAAGAAAAGAGTCTTTTTTTTAATTGTTATTTTTGGGTCAAAGTCTTGCTCTGTTATCTAAACTGGAGTGCAGTGGTGCAATCATAGCTCACTGCAGCCTCAAACTCTGGGACTCAAGTGATCCTTCCACCTCAGCCTCACTTGTAGCTGAGACTGCAGGAGTGTGTCCTCATACCTAGCTAATTTTTTAAAATTTGTAGACATGAGACCTCACTATGTTGCCCAGGCTGGTCTCAAGCTCCCAGCCCCAAGTGATCAATCTGCCTTAGCCTCTCAAAGTACTGAGATTACAGGCATGAACCACCATACCCACCAAAGTGAAGAGCCTTCAAGGTTGAGAAACTCATATTAGGGCTTCGGATAAAACAAACTGAAAAGGTGAGCACACTTGAGCAGTCATGGGAATGTATCTGCTAACACGGAAAGCCACAGAATAAACAAGGACCATTTCCCAGAGGTGACATTGACCGGACAATGTGGGAAAGAACTGCTTATGCTTCTGTAGCAGGACAAGCCACAGACAAAACTCCTCAGACACCAAGTTAAATAAGGAACGGGTTTATTTGGCTAGGGGCATTGGCAATACTACTGTCTCAAGAGCCGAACTCCCTGAATGAACAATTCCTGTCCCTTTTAAGGGCTCACAACTCTAAGGGGGTCCGCGTGAGAGGGTCGTGATCGATTGAGCAAGCAGGGGGTACTTGACTGGGGGCTGCATGCACTGGTAATTAGATCAGAACAAAACAGGATAGGGATTTTCACAGTGCTTTTCTATACAATGTCTGTAATCTATAGATAACAACCGATTAGGTCATGGGTCAATCTTTAAGTACCGGGCCCAGGGTGTGGCGCCAGGCTGTCTGCTTGTGGATTTCATTTCTGCCTTTTAGTGTTTACTTTTTCTTTCTTTGGAGGCAGAAATTGGGCATAAGACAATATGAAGGGTGGTCTCCTCCCTTACTTCCTCTGACCTCTTCCTCATGCGGATTTCTTCATATTTTTCTCTTCATTTCTATTTTTTTTTTCTCTGCTTAATGGAAGAATTTCTCATGCCTATAATCCCATTTACTTGGGAGCTCAGGCTAAGAATTGCTTGAGCCCAGGGTTGTGAGAATTTCAAAGAGAATTTGCATCTCTTATTAGGCTATTTTGGATAGCTCAACTATGACATTTGCTGCTACAAACATCATCTTTACCCTGTAATGAATTTGTGGTATCCCTAGGGCATTTCAGTTTTGCTTGCAGCTCTCTCTCTTATTTCCACTAGGGAGCTTGAAGGATATTTTACCACATTTTGAGATATGTGTGATCCTGTGGTTTCTGCAATGTATTGTGAGAAAATATGAGAAGGTCTTTATCACTGGTTCAGAAGGTGAAGGAAGCGGACACGGATATGACTTTCACAATGTCACACATCAATCTGTTGCTACCTTCAGGGTGGCAAGGTTTTCTACATATGTCATCTTTTAAAACAACATTGAAGGCATAAATCAAATAGAATTAAATGAAGCTTGTTTCTTTTGGTCATTATGATGGTTTTTTTTTTTCCACAAAGCAAAAATTATTTGTTCTTTCTCAGAAATGTTGGTTAAGTGTGTCTACTTCTTAATTTTCCTCTTGCAGTAGTTCTGTATGTAGGGTCTAAAACTAGTATATTTATGTATTCATTTAAGAATGTATGGGGCCGGGTGCAGTGGCTCATGCCTGTAATCCCAGCAGTTTGCGAGGCTGAGGCAGGCGGATCACGAGGTCAGGAGATCGAGATCATCCTGGCTAACACTGTGAAACCCTGTCTTTACTAAAAATACAAAAAAAAATTAGCCGGGCGTTGTGGTGAGCACCTGTAGTCCCGGCTACTCGGGAGGCTGAGGCAGGAGAATGGCCACAACCCGGGAGCATGCAGTGAGCCAAGATTGTGCCACTGTACTTCAACCTTGGTGACACAGTGAGACTCCTCCTCAAAAAATAAAATAATAAAATAAAATAGTATGTAATGTATGTAGGCCAGGTACAGTGACTCACATCTGTAATCCCAGCACTGTGAAGGCTGTGGAGGTGTATTGCTTAAGCTCAGGAGTTGAAGACCAGGCTGGAGAACATAGTGAGACCCCACCTCTAGAAAAAATACAAAACTTAGCTGTGCATGCTGCTGAGTATCTGTAGTTGCAAATAATTGGGAGGCTGAGGTTGGAGGATCATTTGAGCCCTGAAGGTGCAGGTTGCAGTGAGCCAAGAGCACTTCAACCTGGGTGACAGAGTGAGACCCTGTCTCAAAAGAAAAAAAAAAATGTATGTATTGGACTTTACCTGGAAAACATGGAGAGATCATATATAGATTTGATTATGTATAGTTTTGATCATATATAGTAAATGATTGAAAAAATTCTCCATTAAAAAGTATTGAAAAATAATTGAGAAAACAAGGAAAAGAAGGAATTCAGAGATAAAAGTCTGGGCAAAGTTGTAGCAAGTAATAAAATTACATATTGAGATATTTAATTTGTATTAAAAATGTAGAGAGATGGGGTGGAGATGAGAATTATAAGGAATAAAAAGTGCAGTGTTTATAGGCAATCAAAGGGAGAGAATGTGCATTCAGGGAAGTGGAGGGGAGGTTCTTCTCAATTATATCATTGATCACAGCAACAGCCCTGCCTTAGGTGCTTACAGCGTATTGCCTCCGAGAACATTATACTAAATTGCACAGACTCTGGATTCCAAATCCTAGCTCTCTTATTCTTTCCAATATGGAAAACTGAATAAATCAGCATGGGTCTCCTTTTTTAATTTTTTAATCCATAAAATAGTAAGATGGGAATAGATATCACACTATCATATGTTTTTCATATCAATGAGCTTAGCTTCAATTTGAGGTTCCTTTTAGGATCAGTAGGAGATATTCTATCTCCCTATTTCCCTGGTAAGAACTGAGCCAGCCTACCATGCATCCTCACAGGAGAGAAAGAATGAACACTATTTCATAACTCGGCTTTAATTATTGATGTTTGGCTCATGACTTCTACGTCTCCTGGTCCCAAATGGTAAAATATTTTGGTTGTGACCCTAGACACAGGCAAGCAGAGACTTACGAGAATATCTAAATTTCCCTGGCATGTTGGAGAGACAGCTGTAATTTTCCATGAGGTCTTCCAAGATGATATAGGATACATCAGTTTGTCCCTGTTCTCTCATGCCTCTTTAATGCATTAATTGGAGAAAGGATGACATTGTCATCCATTGTCATTTTAAAGCATATGCCACTTGTTGAATGCTTAAAATCCATGCTTATACATAATCTCGAGGGCACAGGAAATTCATCAGGAGGCTCAGAAAACAGTTTCTGAGTATTGCACACAGAAGATGCATTTCGTATGTGTTTAGCTTGTTCAGGGCAAGAACATTTAATTGGCTCACAACCAGGAAAATTGTGGAGCCATTTCTTGGTAAATTTGGAGAGATGTCTGCAGGTAAGAATGTCAGTGCGCTTAGCTGATTGAAGAGGGAACAGATAGATGCTGCCTAGCCTTGGACCACAGGAGCACTTGGCAGAGATAAAGAACATAAGTATTGTGCACAGGGCACCTACTCAGCCATCCTTTCATGTCATAATGCACCGTCTTGTGGACAGGAACCTGGGTTTCTAACACTCCTGAAACTTCGTGAAAACTACTTTCAAAATAGTAATAATTGAGGAGATGCCTACTGATATGGTTTGAATTTGTATTCCCACCCACATGTCTGGTTGAATTACAATCTACCATTTTGGAGAAGGAGCCTGGTGAGAGATGGCTGGATCATGGGAGTGGCTGTCCCCCTTGCTGTTCTCATGATAGTGAGTGAATTGTCATGAGATCTGGTTTTGTAAAAGTGTGTGGCACCTCTTCTTTTTCTCTCTTCTTCCTGCTTCTGCCATGTAAGATGTGCCTGCTTCCCCTTTGCTTCTGCCATAATCCTAAGTTTCCTGAGGCCTCTACAGCCATGCTTCTTGTATAGCCTGTGGTGCCCTGAGCTAATTAAACTCTTCTTTATAAATTACCCATTGTCGGGTAGTGTCTTATAACAACACAACTATGGTCTAATAAATACACCTACTAACTTAATTTCCCCCATACTATGATTTTTAATTTAAAGTGGTAGTATTTTTAAATGCATAAATAAAAGGACTTGAAACTTTTGGTCAAGGTAATATGTATACTTGAGTGTGCATGTGATAACAAAAGAGAAATTCAAGCTTTTTGTTGTCACTGCGGTGTGAAGAAATATGCATATTGGCCAGGTGCAGGGGCTCTCGCCTGTAATTCCAGCACTTCGGGAGGCCGAGGAGGGCTGATCATGAGGTCAGAAGATTGAGACCATCCTATCTAACACCGTGAAATCCTGTCTCTACTAAAAAAAAAAAAAAAATTAGCCAGGCGTGGTAGCAGTCACTTGCAGTCCCAGCTACTCGGGGGGCTGAGGCAGGAGAATGGTGTGAACCCGGGAGGTGGGGCTTGCAGTGAGCCGAGATCGCGCCAGCTTGCGCGACACAGTGAGACTCCATCTAAAAAAAGTAAGTAAATAAATAAATAAATAAATAAATAAATAAATAAGAGTGTCTGAAATTGTGATATGCTTAATGTATGTCAATTCGGTAAGATACAAACTAGTGCACTGGGGGAAAAGCTAGATGCATAGATAAATGGATGGATGGATACATACATACGTACATACATACATGCATACACACATACTTGAAATAGATAGATGAATAGATAGATAAATACATAGATAATTGATATGTCTAGGCACGTGGATGGGTAGGTGGATAGATCAATAATAGGCAAACAGATAAATAATTGATAGAGATAGATAGATGAAATAGATGCATAGATTGATAAATAGATAACATAGATTCCTAAATAGATTTGTAGATAGATGCATAAATCGATAGTTGTGTAGATAGATACATTGGTAGATAGATGGATAGATAGATACATAATAGACACATGCATAAATAAGTGCATAGAGAGATATGTCTAGATGATAGACAGATGGATAGATACATAAATATTGGATATAGATAGATGAATACCTATGTAAATAGATAAATAATTTATAGGTACATATAGGTGATAGATAGATGAATAGTATACATAGGCAGACAGATAATTGATATATATATAGATAGATGGATAGATTATAGATGGATGAATAGATTGATATGGCTAGATGGCAGACAGATGGCAGATAGGGAGATGGGTAGATGCAGAGATAAATGGTGGGTAGACATGAATAGATGTTAGAAGGACAGATGATTGAAAGGCTAGATAGATAAGTAGATTATATAGATAATAGGCAGACGAGAGTTGAGAAGATAGATAGATAGATAGATACAAAGATAGATACAAAGATAGATATAGAAAAATAGATATTTTGCTGCCTGGGATCTCTATAATTGGTTTCTGGTAAGAAGCCACTGCTTTCAAACACAAGTGATGCCTCTACATTAAAGTTAAAAATAAGACTTTTATGTAACAATAGAATATTCTGACACTCCCGAAACATTGTGAAGACTACATTCAAAATAGTAGTCATTGAGGAGATGCCTACTTATATGATTTGGATTGCTCAATTGCTCTCTTTGACACCAAATGATTTCCATCTCACAGAGTGTTATAGGAAACATCTCAACACAGAAGGTGTCAAAGAAAGGTTGTCCAGTTCAGCAACGAGGACTGCTTCTAGCTAGTCAGGGCTTGCACTAATTACCTGAGGAGTTGTGTCAATTTTACACAGTTTTTATCTCATCTCTAAAGTGAGGAGTGGCTATTCAAAGTGTCCTGAACTGTGCTCCTGAGTAAAAATATTGTTGCGCATGACCCATTGTCCATTATCTTTGTGCGCAGCTATTGGGAAAATTAGAAAGAGAAAGACCAACCTCTCACATTTTGTCCATGTTCCTAAATTTAAGGAAATTTGCTGAATGTTAAGGTGCTGGCAAAAATCTCTTCACTAATATGTATGTTTAACTAATTTTAATGGTTACTGCAATATTTTACTTGTAGTAAGAGTAGATGGTTGAGACACATCTTCATGAGGAAGGATTAAGTTTCTTAAATTCATATTTCTCAGAAAAGGATTGTGCAATTCTAGCAACCTATGGGACTGTTCCCAAACATCCTGGAGTGTTGCTGCATTTCAGAGAGTATGATGCAATTTCTTCTATGTTGGCAATATTATTTTGTCTTTGACTGTACACATATTTTTACTAATAATTGCTACAAAATAATTAAATGCAACTTCTATAAATACACATCTAAAATCAAGAAGACACTGAATTTTGATGACAAAAATCTTTGTATTCATAGCTCTTCCAAGGAAAAGGAAAGAAATAAGGTTTAACTCTCACTGGGATACAGCTTGAAGATTTTATAGTCACATGCCCCAGTCTGTTTGGTCTGCATAGCAAAAGGTGTTACACTGGATAATTTATAAGAAAAATACATCTATTGCTCACAGTTATGGAGGCTGGAAATCTAATATCAAGGTATCAAGACATTCAGTGTCCAGTGAAGACTTGCTTCCTGGTTCATAGATGGCACCTTCTTGCTGTGTCCTCACATGGTAGAAGGGGCCAGGGAGTTCTCTGGGGTCACTTTTATAAGGGCGCTGATGCCATTCTTGAGGCTCCAGCCTAATGACCTTATCACCTCCCAAAGGCACCACGTCCTAATACCATCACTTTGAGATTAGGTTTCAATATAAGAATTGGAGGGGCCATAAACATACAGATCATAGCTCTCTGTAATATCTGATGATGGCTAATTTTGTGCGCATAAACGTTGGCAAGGCTGTGGTGATTGGTTGCCTGGCAAACCACTACTCTAGATGTTTCTGTTCAGGTATTTTGTAGAGGTGAATAACATTTACAATCAGTAAGCCTTGAGTACAGCAGAGTATTCTGTCTAATATGAGTGGGACTCATCCAGTGACATACAAACTTGAAGAGCAAAGACTCAGGTTTGCCCCCCAAAAAAGGAACTCTGGCTCAAGACTGCAAAGCACAAATCCTGACTGAATTTCCAGTCTGTGGGCCTGTGCTGAAGATTTAGTGCTTGCAAATGGACCATGAATGTTTACGCAAATTACCCTGCCAGCCTTGGCTCTATATTTTTTTTTTTGTTTATACTTTAAGTTCTGCGGTACATGGTGCAGAATGTGCACTTTTGTTATATAGGTATACACGTGCCATGGTGGTTTGCTGCACCCATCAGCCCATCATCTACATTAGGTATTTCTCCTTATGCTATGCCTCCCCTATCCCCCTACCTCCAGACAGGACCCAGTGTGTGATGTTCCCCTCCCTGTGTCCATGTGTTCTCATTGTTCAACTCCCACTTATGAGTGAGAACATGCAGTGTTTGGTTTTTCTGTTCTTGTGTTAGTTTGCTGAAAATGATGGTTTCCAGCATCATCCATGTTCCTGCAAAGGACAAGAACTCATCCTTTTTATGGCTGCATAATATTCCATGGTGTATATGTGCCACATTTTCTTTATCCTGTCTATCACTGATGGACATTTGGGTTGGTTTCAAGTCTTTGCTATTGTGACTAGTGTCAGAGTAAACATATGTGTGCATATGTCATTATAGTAAAATGATTTATAATCTTTTGGGTATATACCCAGTAACGGGATTGCTGGATCAAATGATATATCTAGTTCTAGATTCCTGAGGAATGGCCACACTGTCTTCCACCATGGCTGAACTAATTTACACTCCCAGCACCTGTATAAAAGTGTTCCTATTTCTCCAAATCCTTTCCAGCATCTGTTGTTTTCTGACTTTTTAATTTTAATGATTGATACTGTAACTGATGTGAGATGGTATCTCATTGTGGTTTTAATTTGCATTTGTCTAAGAACCAGTGATGTTGATCATTTTCTCATATGTTCGTTGGCTGCATAATGTCTTCTTTTGAGAAGGGTCTGTTCATATTCTTCACTCAGTTTTTGATGGGGTTGTTTTTTTCTTGCAAATTTGTTGAAGTTTATTATAGATTCTGAATATTAGCCCTTTGTCAGATAGATAGATTGCAAGAATTTTCAAGAATTTTCTGTAGGTTGCCTGTTCACTCTGATGGTAGTTTCTTTTGCTGTGCAGAAATTCTTTAGTTAAATTAGATCCCATTTGTCAATTTTGGCTTTTGTTGCCATTGCTTTTGGTGTTTTTACATGAAGTCTTTCCCCATGCCTATGTCCTGAATGGTATTTCCTAGGTTTTCTAGTAGAGTTTTTATGGTTTTAGGTCTAACATTGAAGTCTTTAATCCATCTTGAGTTAACTTTTGTATAAGGTGTAAGGAAGAGGTCCAGTTTCAGTTTTCTGCATATGGCTACCCAGTTTTCCCAACAGTATTAATAAGGAATCCTTTCCCCATTGCTTGTTTTTCTCAGGTTTGTTAAAGATCAGGTGGTTGTAGATGTGTGGTGATATTTCTTGGGCCTCTATTTTGTTCCATTGGTCTATATATCTGTTTTGGTACCAGTACTATGCTGTTTTCATTACTTTAGCCTTGTATTATAGCTTGAAGTCAGGTAACATGGGGCCTCCGGCTTTCTTCTTTTTGCTTAGGACTCTCTTGGCTATGCAGGCTCTTTTTTGGTTTCATATGAAGTTTAAAGTACTTTTTTTACAATTCTGTGAAGAAAGTCAGTGGTAGCTTGATGGGTATAGCATTGTATCTATAAATTACATTGGTCAGTATAGCCATTTTCAAAATATTGATTCTTCTTATCCATGAGCATGGACTGTTTTTCCATTTGTTTGTGTCCTTTCTTATTTCCTTGAGCAGTGGTTTGTAGTTATTGTTGAAGAAGTCCTTCACATCCCTTGGAAGTTGTATTCTTAGGTATTTTATTCTCTTTGTAGCAATTGTGAATGGGAGTTCACTCATGATTTGGCTCTCTGTTTGTTATTGGTGTATAGGAATGCTTGTAATTTTTGCACATTGATTTTGTATCCTGAGACTTTGCTGAATTTGCTTATCAGCTTAAGGAGAATTTGAGCTGAGACAGTGGGGTTTTTTAAATATACAATCATGTCATTTGCAAACAGAGACAGTTTGACTTCTCCTTTTTTTACCTGAATACCTTTATTTCTTTCTCTTGCTTGATTACCCTGGTGAGAACTCCCAGCTACTCGGGAGGCTGAGGCAGGAGAATGGCGTGAACTCGGGAGGCAGAGCTTGCAGTGAGCAGAGATCATGCCACTGCACTCCAGCCTGGGTGACAGATGGAGACTCCCTCTCAAAAAAAAAAAAAAAAAAAAAAAAAGAGAACTTCTAATACTATGTTTAATAGGCATGGTGACAGACGGCATCCTTGTCTTGTGCTGGTTTTCAAGGGGAATGCTTCCAGTTTTTGCCGATTCAGTATGATAATGGCTGCGTGATTGTCATAAATAGCTCTTATTATTTTGAGATACATTCCATTAATACTCAGTTTATTGAGAGTTTTAGCATAAAGAGGTGCTGACTTCTGTTGAAGGCCTTTTCTGCATGTGATGGAGTACATTTATTGATTTGTGTATGTTGAACCAGCCTTGCATCCCAGCAATGAAGCCGACTTGATCATGGTGGATAAGGTTTTTGATGTGCTGCTGGATTTGGTTTGCCAGTATTTTGTTGAAGATTTTCACAGCAATGTTCACCAGGGATATTGGCCTGACATTTTATTTTTTCGTTGTTTCTCTGCCAGGTTTTGGTGCTGGCCTCATAAAATGAGTTAGGGAGGATTCCTTCTTTTTATATTGTTTGGAATAGTTTCAGGAGGAATGGTACCAGGTCCTCTTTGTACCTCTGGTAGAATTTGGCTGTGAATCCCTCTGGTCCTAGACTTTTTTTAGTTGGTAGGCTATTAATCACTGTTTCAATTTCAAAACTTATTATTGGTCTATTCAGGAATTCGACTTATTCCTGATTTAGACTTGGGACTGTGTATATGTCCAGGAATTTATCCGTTTCTTCTAGATTTTCTAGTTTATTTGCGTAGAGGAGTTTATATTATTCTTTGATGGTAGTGTGTATTTCTGTAGGATGGGTGATAATATCCCCTTTATCATTTTTATTGCATCTATTTGATTCTTCTCTCTTTCCTTCTTCATTAGTGTGGCAGGCGGTTTATCTATTTTGTTGATCTTTTCAAAAAACCAGCTCCTGAATTTATTGATTTTTGAAGGATTTTTTTGTGTCTATCTCTTTCAGTTCTGTGCTAATTTTTATTATTTTTTGTCTTCTGCTAGCTTTCAAATTTATTTCCTCTTGCTTCTCTAGTTCTTTTAATTTTGATATTAACGTGTTGATTTTAGATCTTTCCTGCTTTCTCTTGTGGGCATTTAGTGCTATAAATTTTCCTCTACACACTGCTTTAAAGCTGTCCCAAGTATTCTGCTATGTTGTGTCTTTGTTAAAATTGGTTTCAAAGAACATCTTTATTTCTGTCTTCATTTCATTATGTACTGAGTAGTCATTCAGGAGCAGGTTGTTCAGTTTCCATGTAGTTGTGTGGTTTTGAGTGAGATTCTTAATTCTGAGTTCTAATGTGATTGCACTGTGGTCTGAGAGTCTGTTTGCTATGATTTCCATTCTTTTGCATTTGCTAAGGAGTGTTTTACTCCCAATTATGTGGTCAATTTTAGAATAAGTGCAATGAGATGCTGAGAAGAATGTATATTCTGTTGATTTGGGGTGGAGAGTTCTGTAGATGTCTATTAGGTCTGCCTGGTCCAGAGCTGAGTTCAAGTCCTGAATATCCCTGTTAATTTTCTGTCTCATTGATCTGTCCAATATTGACAGTGAGGTGTTAAAGTCTCCCACTATTATTGTGTGGGAGTCTAAGTCTCTTTGTATGTCTCTAAGGACTTGCTTTATGAATCTGGGTGCTCCTATATTGAGTTCATGTATACTTAGTATAGTTAGCTCTTCTTGTTGCATTGACCTGACCCCTTTACTATTATGTAATGCCCTTCTTTGTCTCTTTTGATCTCTGTTGATTTAAAGTCTGTTTTATCAGAGATTAGCATTGCAATTCTTGTGTTTTGTTTGTTTGTTTTCTTTTGCTTTTCATTTTCTGGTTAAATATTTCTCTATCCCTTTATTTTGAGCCTATGTGTGTCTTTGCATGTGAGATGGGTCTCCTGAGTATAGCACACCAATAAGTCTTGATTTTTTATCCAATTTGCCCATCTGTGTCTTTTAAATGGGGCATTTAGCTCATTTACATTTAAGGTTAACATTGTTATGTGTGAATTTCATCCTGTCATTATGATACTAGCTGGTTATTTTGCCCATTAGTTGATGCAGTTTCTTCATAGTATCTATGGTCTTTACAATTTGGCATGTTTTTGCAGTGGCTGGTACCAGTTGTTCCTTTCCCTGTTTAGTGCTTCCTTCAGGAGTGCTTGTAAGGCAGTCCTGGTGGTGACAAAATCTCTCAGCATTTGCTTGTCTGTAAAAGATTTTATTTCTCCTTCAACTTATGAAGCTTAGTTTGGCTGGATGTGAAATTCTGGATTGAAAATTCTTTTCTTTAAGAATGTTGACTATTTGCCCCCACTTTCTTCTAGCTTGTATGGTTTCTGCAGAGAGATCCACCGTTAGTCTGATGGGCTTCCCTTTGTGGGTAACCCTACTTTTCTCCCTGGATTATCTTAACATTTTTTCCTTCATTTAACGTTGGTGAATCTGATGATTATGGGTCTTGGGATTTCTCCTACCCAGGAGTATCTTTGTGGTGTTCTCTCTGTTTCCTGAATTTGAATGTTGTCCTGCCTTCCCAGGTTGGAGGAGTTCTCCTGGATAATATCCTGAAGAGTGTTTTCCCTCTTGGTTCCGTGCTCCCTGTCACTTTCAGGCACCCAAATCAAACGTAGATTTGGTCTTTTCACCTATTCTCATATATCTTGGAGGTTTTATTTGTTCCTTTTTATTCTATTTTCTCTAACCTTGTCTTCCTACTTTTTTTCTTTAAATTGATCTTCAATCTTTGATATGCTCTCTTCTGCTCGATTGATTTGGCTATTGATAGTTGTGTATGTTTTACGAAGTTCTTGTGCTGTCTTTATCAGCTCCATCAGGTCATTTATCTTCTTCTCTAAACTGGTTATTCTAGTTAGAAATTTGTCTTAACTTTTTTCATGGTTCTTACCTTTCTTGCATTGGGTTAGGTCATGCTCCTTTAGCTCAGAGGAGTTTATTACCCACCTTCTGAAGCCTACTTGTGTCAATTCATCAAACGTATTCTCCATCCAGTTTTGTTCCCTTGCTGGAGAGGAGTTGTGTTCCCTTGGAGGAGAAGAGGTGTTCTGGTTTTTGGAATTTTCAGGCTTCTTGTGCTGCTTTCTCCCCATCTTTATGGATTTATCTTCCTTTGGTCTTTGATGTTTGTGACCTTTGGATGTGGTCTCTGACTGTATGTGCTATTTTTTTTCTGTTTGTTAGTTTTTCTTCTAACAGGCCCCTCTGCTGCAGGTCTGCTAGAGTTTGCTGGAGGTCCACTCCCAACACTGTCTGTATCACCAGCAGAGGCTGCAGAATAGCACCAATTGCTGCCTCTTCTTTCTTCTGGAAGCTTTGTCACAGAGGAGCACCTGCCAGTTGCCAGCCAGAGCTCTCCTGTTAGGTGTCTCTTGGCATCTACTGGGAAGTACCTCCCAGTCAGGATACAGACGGGTCAGGGACCCACTTGAGGAGGCAGTCTGACCCTTAGCAAAGTTTGAATGCTGTCCTGAGACATCTGCAGCTCTCTTCAGAGCCATAAGGCAGGGACTCTTAAGTCTGCTGAAGCTGCCCACACAGCCACACCTTCCCCCAAGTGCTCTGTCCCAGGGAGATGGGAGTTTTATCTATAAGTCCCTGACTGGGGATACTGGCTTTTTTTCAGGGATGCCCTGACCAGAGAGGACAAATCTGGCAGTCTGGCCATGGTGGCCTTGCTGAGCTGCAGTGAGCCCCACCCAGTTCTGCCTCTAAATCTTAAACTTGTGAATCTCCATAACTAAATTAGACAGCTTCTTAAAATAAACGTATATTTCCTGTTGGTTATGTTTCTCTGTAGTACTTTGTCTAATACACATATTTTCACCATATTATCTGCTCATGTGCAACCAAGAGTGATTTTTTTTGAACACTCA
Organism: Homo sapiens; assembly: GCF_000001405.40. Classification (NCBI taxonomy): domain Eukaryota; kingdom Metazoa; phylum Chordata; class Mammalia; order Primates; family Hominidae; genus Homo; species Homo sapiens. Next base: position 16,738,013 of record NC_000024.10, read on the forward strand.
TTTAGTACCAACATATGTTATATATGACTGAGTCAATAGTTATGATGGATCTTAGCTAACACTTCACAAGATATCAGAGGACATGGATGTCTTTATTTGCAAACTGATTTCATAATCAGTTTCCTTTGGATTCAGGAGAGCTGATAATGGAAATTCCAGCCTGAGTCTGAAGATCTGAGACCCAGGAGAACTGATGGTGTGAGTTCCAGTCTGAGTCTGAAGGCCTGAGACCCAGAAAACCTGGTGCTGAGTTAGATTTTGAAGGCTGACAGCCTATATAAACATAATCCCAGAATGTATACATAATATAGTGTATATGTAATAAACATATCGACACATATACATATTAATGTATGTTTATATGTAGGAATGTTTAAATTCTATATTATATTCATATATTTATGTTTATTACACATGTATATTTGTATATATTTATATATACATATTTATGTTTATATTTATATGTAATAGATACTTATATGCATGTTTATCTATTTATATATAAATAAATTTATATATGCATATATAGTATATGCTTATATATGTACATATATACATATTTATGTACTATATATGTATACATTTATATATGTATATAAACATATTCATATACATAGGTTTATAGATTAACATATATAAAATTATATATTCATACATATATATTCTATATGAATATATATTCATTTACATATTACATATACATTTATATACATATAAATAGATAAACATATGTACTATAGTAGTTACATATGTTCATTGCATATATATATACTATACTGTCTGTGTGTATATATATTTCTAGAATACATATATTTCTGGAATATATATATATATTTAGTATTGAACTTCAATATAAGTGAGAATCTATAATTCCTAGAAAAGCATGTAATAGAGTGGCTACATTCAGGTATAAAGTCTCTGTTGTATTTTATAATACCAGTATTCCCCCTTGATTATTACTAAATTATTTACAGAATAACATGATCTTAAATGATTGGTTATCATACGAATAGAACTGAAACCAAAGGCCAGGGTCACAGAATGGTAATAACATGTGAGAATATTAAGAGTCAAATAAATAAAACAGCCAACAACTAGCTTCTGTAGAAAAAAATAAGTGCCTGATGTGAACACACACAGGAGACACTGGTTTTATACTAAGCACAGTACTGGTCCTAAGAAATGAAAATATTAGAGCAATGTTTACGAATACGTGCCCTTTAAGAAACCCTCATCTCTCATTATTGTGAGGAGTAAATTTAAGCACCACAATCTCTAGTGTCAATCTGCTATAATTACTCTACATGGCCACCACAAATGTGATAAATCAAACCAATGTCTTAATGAAATACGAACAAAACTCTGTATCTTCAGGACTTGGTTTAATGAAACCAAGGAAAAACTCTGAAGTTATTTGATTAAAATAAAAATATCAATCCTATTCATCTGTCCCCTGCACCTCACTTTCATTTACAAGTCTTGAAACCAAAAAGACAAACCTATATTTCTTCTCATTCTGCAGTCTCCTGTGAAAAGAAACCTTCCCATTCCTATAGAACCACATCTTACAACACAGAAAAGAAACAGTTGGTATCAAGCTCTGGTGTAGCATTCTAAAAAGTTATTATGAGAGGTCTTCCTCCATAGAGTAGATTTCATTTTGCTTTATTCATTTTTGTGATTTAGAGTCATGGGGAAAAGATAACCACAGACACACATATGCATACTTGGAAGGCTGCAAAACATGGATGTCCAGGTGAATCTACCAGTGAGACACAATGCCAAGAGAGTTGTGTTGAATTTCAGTAGCCAGAAAAAAAGCTGTAATTTGCACTCACATTCACAAATGCACATTCACACACACATATCCATTTCCAACATGAAAATATTCTTGTATCATTGAAATTAATCTGATTAGGTCATGAAAAACATACTATTTACATTCTGGGCTCACATCTGCTTGGTATGGATGTAGAAATTTTGCATCAATTCATCATAAATAATTTTAATCTATAGGTGTTGGCCTTCAGTGATATCAAATATGAAGATTAATGCTTTAAAAGTTTTCTTTCTTTGTATGCAGTCTAAACAGCTTCATTATCACTGAAAGCCTATGTTATATTATGTAAAATTTATGGGAGCAAACATTTACAGTTGAGCATGATTAAGAATCGCATTGATATATTTAGTGATAATTACATAATAACACTTCATATACCTTCTGTTGATAGTTGAATTATTTTTGTTTCCCTTACAACTCATTTTGTCTAGTTTCTGCATTTATGTATATTATTCATCCATGAATTAAATTGTATAATATGAAGCTGAATTCCTTTCTACTTTCTTGTGTATTCTCTTTTCTAACACTATTACGTTTCTCCTGCCTTTCTGTTCCCACTTCTGCATTTTAATTCCCATCAACTTATATTTTTATGTTTTTGAGGTGATAGCTTTATTCAGGTCTGCAACAATGTTCACATTTTCAGTGACGGTTATGACTCTAAAACTTAAAAATCTATGATAACATCTGTAAGTCTCTACAATTATTGTTATTTTAAACAGTAGAGCCAATTATGCTGTTACAATTGAATTTTTCACCTCTACAATTATCAGTGATTCTACATCATCGACAACAACAGAAGCACAAATGGTGCCCCTTTCATGAATATTTTATTTAGAATATGTATAAATGATACATATCTTGAATACTTGCTTTCACTTTTTCAATTGCCCTCTTTTCTCCAAGCACAACATTTCTCTAGCTTAGCCTTGGTGTTTTCCAGTTAATTGGAAACCATATTACTGGTACCAGAGTGCATTCTTCATCTAACACCAACTTCCTTTTCCACATTGGGCCAGTTAAGCTTTTTTAAATTAATTAATTATTATTTTTTTTAAATTAGTTTATTCAGTGGGAGGTACAAGTGTTTTTTTGGTCACATGGATGAATTATATAGTGATGAATACTGAGATTTTAATGCATCCATCACCCATGTAGTATATATTGTTCCAAATATGTAGTTTTCTATCCACACCTCCCTCCCCCGATCCCTTCTGACTCTCTAAAGTCCATTATATCTGACTCTCTAAAGTCCATTATATCTCTAAAGTCCATTATATCTCTAAAGTCCATTATATCATTATATGAGTATGCCTTTGCATCCTCATAGCTTAGCTCTCACTTATAAGTGAACATACAATGTTTGGTTTTCCATTCTGAGTTACTTCCCTTAGAATGGTGTCCTCCAGCTTCATCCAAGTTGCTGCAAAAGACATTACTTCATTCCTTCTTATGGCTGAGTTGTATTCCATGATGTATATATACCATATTTTCTTTATCTACTCATTAAACAATGAGTTAGTTCCACTTTTTTGTAATTGTAAATTGTGCTACTGTAAACATACATATGCGAGTGTCTTTTTCACATAAAGACTTCTTTTTCTTTGGGTAGATACCCAGTAGTGGGATTGCTGTATTGAATGACAGATCTACTATTAGATCGTTTTATTTTATTTATTTATTTATTTTAGATGGAATCTCTCACTGTTGCCTGTGCTGGAATGCAATGGCGCCATCTTGGCTCACTACAACCTCTGCCTCCTGGGTTCACGCGAGTCTCCTGCCTCAGCCTCCAGAGTAGCTGGGATTAGAAGTGCACACCACCACACCTTGTTAATTTCTTGTATTTTTAGTAGAGATGGGGTTTCACTATGTTGGCCAGACTGATTTTGAACTCCTGACCTCGTGATCTGCCCACCTTGGCCTCCCAAAGTGCTAGTATTACAGGCACGAGCCACCATGGCCAGCCTACTGTTAGCTTTTTAAGGAATCTTCATACTGTTTTCCCTAGAGGTTGCACTAATTTACATCCCCACCAGCAATGAGTAAGTGTTCCTTTTTCCCCAAATCCATGCCAATATCTATTTTTTTCTGAGTTTTTAATAATGGCCATTCTTACAGGAGTAAGGTGGTATCTCATTTTTCTTTTAATTTGTATTTTCCTGATTACTAGTGATGTTGAGCATTTTTTTTCATGTTTCTTGGCCATTTGTATTTTTTTTTTGAGAAATGTCTATTCATGTCTTTTGCCTACTTTTTAATGGAATTATTTGATTTTTTTCTAGGTGATTTGTTTGAGTTCCTTGTAGATTATGGATAGTAGTCCTTTGTCAAATGCACAGTTTGAAAATATTTTCTTCTATTCTGTGATTTTTCTGTTTATTCAGTTGATTATTTCTTTTTATTTATTTTCAATGCCTTTATGATGATTACCTTTTTAAATTTATTGTGCTGAGCTTTTATCATTTCCTGGCACTCCACTTTTGCCTTTTGAATTTGGACCTGCCTATCTGTTTCTCCCTTAATTCATCACTCAACACTCAACTTATGGGTGACATTAAAATCCTTTGCTATTCAGAAATTCACACCTCCACTGGGAGAGAGATTTGGTGGAAGATTTAACTTGGAGAACCGTGAAGTTAAGGAAGCTCAGAAGAGAGGAAAAAATAACTGCTTATCCAACATGGACAGCCACCTACCACAAGAAAATTGGCTTTAATTTTGTGACATTTGTTTTTTTCCATCTGACAATTATAAATAAAGGGTCTATCTCTGTGTGTGTTACTTTCCTTTAAAAATGGACATTTTATAATATATAAATGTTAAATTTAATAATCATCTGTTCAAAATTATTTCTTCATGTATGAATATTAAACATGTATTATTGATTCTTATTCTCAAAGAATCAGATATTAAGGAGAAAAATTATTACTCTACCTTCCTATAATCATTCCAGTCTTATTTTATTTCTAATTTTTCTAGTGATTCCTCTAAACTCTTCAAGAATATCCATGAATCTACACCTCAATGTATCATCCTTAAAATATCTGCTTACTTTCTTTATGAAAAGGGGGATAGAAATTGATTTCAACTTCTATCTGGCAGTCTCTCCCAATCCTCTTCCACTTTTTATTAATATTATTATTTCTCTATTTTCCATTTGTAGAACATTTAAATTATGCATATCAACCACTTATCCCTGTACAGTGTTGGTGAAATGTTGAGTATGGATTTATTGTTCACTAATTTTCTGTACTGTCTGTGTGTCACTTTAAAAAATTTAGAGTAAGTTTTTAAACTTTTAAATTATTATTGGTATATAATAGTAGCATGTGTTTATGAGGTACAAGTGCTGTTTTGATACAAGCAGATATTGTGTAATGATCAAATTAAGCTAACTGGAATACCCATCACCTCAAGAATTCATTATTTATTTGTATTAGGAATATTTCAATTCCATTATTTTAGTTATTTTTAAACATATGATAAATTATTGTTAACTATAGTGACTGTATTGTAACTACTGTACAGTAGATCTTCTTTCTTTCTGACTGTATTTTTGTAGACAATATTCATCCAAGGTTACCCCCTCCCCAATACCCTTCCCAGTCTCTGGTAACCACAATTCTACTCTCTACCTCCATGAGTTCTTTTTTTTCTTTTTCTTTTTCTTTTTTTTTTTTTTGAGATGGAGTTTTGCTCTCATTGTCCAGTCTGTAGTGCAGTGGCACAATCTCAGGTCAATGCAACCTCCCCTTTCAGGTTTAAGTAATTCTCCTGACTCAGCCTCCTGAGCAGCTGGGATTACAGGCACTTGCCCCCATGCCCAGCTAATTTTTTGTATTTTTAGTAGAGATGGGGTTTCACTGTGTTAACCAGGCTGGCCTCAAACTCCTGACCTCATGCGATTCACCTGCCTTGGCCTACCAAAGTGCTGGGTTTACAGGCATGAGCCACTGTACCTGGCCCATGAGTTCAATTTTTAACATTTTTAACTTTTACATATGAATGAGAAAATGTGAAAATTGTCTTTCTGTGGCTGGTTTGTTTCATTTCAGATAATGACCTCCAGCTCCATCCATGTTGTTGAAAATGGCAGCATTGCATTCTTTTTTATGCTGAATAATATTCTCTTGTGTATATACCACATTGTCCTTATTCATTTATCCATAGGCACTTAGATTACTTCCAAATCTTGGCTATTGTGAAATACTGCTACAATAAACAAGGGAGTGCAGGTATACTTTTGATGTACCCATTTCATTTCCATTGGATAGATATCCAATAGAGGAATTGCTGGATCATGTAGTAGTTCTATTTTTAGTTTTTTGAGGAAGCTTCATACTGTTTTTCATAGTGTTTGTACAAATTTACATTCCCATCAACAATGTAGGAGAGTTTCTCTTTGATCATATCTTTCTCAGCATTAAGAAAGATTTTTTTAAGGCCGGGTGCAGTGGCTCATGCTTGTAATCCTGGCACTTTGGGAGGCCAAAGTGGGCAGATTACCTGAGATCAGGAACTCGAGACCAGCATGGCCAACATGGTGAAACCCCGTTTCTACTAAAAATACAAAAATTAGCTGGGCATGGTGGCACACACCTGTAATCCCAGCTACTCAGGAGGCTAAGCCAGGACAATTGCTTGAGCCCAGGAGGAGGAGGTTGCAGTGAGCTGATATCATGCCACTGCACACTAGCCTGACCAGCAAAGCAAGACTCTGTCTCAAAAAAATAAATACAATAAAGTAAATAAAGATTTTTTAATATTTCTGAGTATCTCCTATGTTTGAAATATTTCATATATTTACAATTGAATGACAACAGTTCAGGATAAGGGATACTTGCAAATGATGATGGCTAAGCTAAATTAAAAGCAATTATAATACCTGACCCAGGACTGCATTGGTATTATGAAAAAAAATAACCAAATGGGAATAGGATAGCCTGGCATCCAGTAGAGCAAATCAGAGAAAATCAAGAAATGCTGAATAGAAGATTTATTATTCCCTCTGGGAAAACTGATGTAAACATTTTTTTTCAGAGAAAATTCAGGGAGCGGCCACTCTTTCAAAACAGTGGGTTTTTGTTTTTGTTTGTTTCTTTGTTTTTTGTTTGTTTGTTTGTTTGTTTTTTGAGACGGAGTCTCGCTCTGTCGCCCAGGCTGGAGTGCAGTGGCGGGATCTCGGCTCACTGGCTCACTGCAAGCTCCGCCTCCCGGGTTCACGCCATTCTCCTGCCTCAGCCTCCCAAGTAGCTGGGACTACAGGCGCCCGCCACTACGCCCGGCTAATTTTTTGTATTTTTAGTAGAGACGGGGTTTCACCGTTTTAGCCGGGATGGTCTCGATCTCCTGACCTCGTGATCCTTCCGCCTCGGCCTCCCAAAGTGCTGGGATTACAGGCGTGAGCCACCGCGCCCGGCCGTTTGTTTGTTTTTAAATAAAACTTGCTTGTGGCTGAGGTTGGGATGATGGTGGGTTTTCTTCATCATGAACATTTTCACCCTTTTCACTCTCTCTCAGAGAATGGCACAGCTTGTTCATGATGCGTTAGGATGTCAAATAATATTGCTCTAGGATGTCAAATAATATTCCAGGTTATTCAGTAAACAACAAGTTCAGACTCTTCTGTTGATGGAACTCCTTTAATCAAGGCAGCCTAGACCACAGCTAGGACTTGGCATTCTTCCAAGTCTGATTTCTATTTCTGTGAACGTTGCAAAATTTCTGGTCCATGAGAAGGTACCCTCTATCTCTATATTCAGATTCATAGCAGAATTACACAGAAAGAGTGGTGACAACTTTCATCTCATAGCACTACGTTTTTCCTACCTTTTTTTTTCTTTTTTTTTTTTTTTGTTGTTGTTGTTGTTGAAATGGAGTTTCACTCTTTTTACCCAGGCTAAAGTGCAGTGGTGCGATCTTGGCTCACCACAACCCCTGCTTCCTGGGTTCAAGTGATTATCTTGCCTCAGCCCCCTAAGTAGCTGGGATTACAGACACCTGTGACCACACCTGGATAATTTTTGCATTTTTGGTAGAGATGGTGTTTCACCATGTTGGCCAGGCTGGTCTCGAACTCCTGACGTCAGGTGATCTGCCCACTCACTTTTGGCCTCCCAAAGTGCTGAGATTGCAGGTGTGAACCACCTCGTTCAGCCTTTCCTGTCTATTTTCAAAGAAGGAATTGCTCTGGGGGAAACACCATAAAAGAACAACGATAACAAAAAGATTTTCTGTAGAAAATTAAACACTAAGATTGGTGCCCCCCTTATGTGGACAATCACTTGGCAGAATCCTATAGCTTGCCTGTTTATCCATATTACAATTAGATTTTGAAGCTCAATAGTAAACATGCAGAAAAATAGCACTAATCTATAAATCATTGCCTTTTCTGCTTTGATATTTTTCACTATTCTCAAGAGTTGCAAAGAGGATGGTGAATTCCCCCAATGACTCTGATTGAAACTGTGGCTCAGTTTTATATTATTTTAGAAACAGAAGTTGTCGAAAGTTACAAGTGTACTCCAAACAAAAGAGTAACATACCTTCTAGTAAACAAAACGCTATTGGAGTTAAGAGGCCATCTTTTGTTTTAATAAAAAAATATAACTCAAAAGAGGACCTTTTTGTACTTTGGGAGGCTGAGGTGGGAGGATCATGAGGTCACGAGTTTGAGACCATCCTGGCCAACATGGTGAAACCCCGTGTCTACTAAAATTACAAAAAATTAGCTGCACGTAGTGGCACGTGCCTGTAATCCCAGCTACTCCGGAGGCTGAGGCAGGAGAATCGCTTGAACTCAGGAGGTGGAGATTGCAGTGAGTGGAGATCATGCCATTGCACTACAGCCTGGGCAACAGAGGAAGACTCCATCCGAAAAAAAAAAAAAATGGGAGCCTTCTTTTTATTATAATTTGCTGAAAGATTATTGGATGCAATAAAACAAGCCTTCTGCTTTCTGTAATACATGTTTATGTATTTACTCCTATCATGTATTTATTAGAAAAATGGGGAGTATATCTTACATTTTGCTGAACATATGCAGGTGACAATATTGTTTTATGATTGTTCTTGTTTCAATATGTTACGTAAAAGATTTGCAAATCTTGTACTTATCAGAGGCTAAATATGGTGTCATCTTCTCAGTGCTATTTTTTTGTGACATGTCTAATTCTAGGAATAAAGAGACTCAATCCCTCTGTAAAGTAGTGAAAAAAATCTTCACTCATATTGAGCAGTATATTCCAAAGTGATAAAATCATTACTTTAAAAGATTTTATTTACGTTCTGGGATACATGTACAGAACGTACAGTTTTGTTACGTAGTTATACAAATGCCGTGGTGGTTTGCCACACCCATCAACCAGTCATCTACATTAGGTATTTCTCCTCATGTTATCCCTCCCTTAGCCCCCCACCCGTCAACAGGCCCCAGTGTGTGATGCTCCCCTCCCTGTGTTCCTGTGTTCTCCCTGTTCAACTTCCACTTATGACTGAGAACATGCGGTGTTTGGTTTTCTCTTCCTGTGTTAGTTTGCTGAGAATGATGGTTTCCATGTTCATCCATGTCCCTGCAAAGGACATGAACTCTTCCTTTTTTATGGCTGCATAGTATTCCTTGGTGTATATATGCCACATTTTCTTTATCCAGTCTATCAGTGATAGGCATTTGAATTGGTTCCAAGTCTTTGGTATTGTGAACAGTGCTCCAAGAAACATACAGGTGCATTTGTCTTTATAATAGAATACTTTATAATCTTTTGGGTATATACCTAATAATGGGATTGCTGGGTCAAATGGTATTTCTTGTTCTAGATCCTTGAGTAATTGCCACACTGTCTTTCACCATGATTGAATTAACTTACATTCCCACAAACAGGGTAAAGTTGTTCCTATTTTTCCACATCCTCTCCAGCACCTGTTGTTTCCTGATTTTTTGATGATTGCTGTTCTAACTGGCATGGCCACATTAATGTCTATTTTTGAGAAATGTCTGTTAATATCCTTCATACAGTTTTTGATGACGTTTTGTTTTTTTTCTTCTAAAATTATTTAAGTTCTTTGTAGATTCTGGATATTAGCCCTTTGTCAGATGGATAGATTACTAAAATTTTCTCCTGTAGGTGGCCTATTCATTCTGATTATAGTTTCTTTTGCTGTGCAGAAGCTATTTAGTTAAATTAGATCCTGTTTGTCAATTCTGCCTTTCTTGTCATTGCTTTTGGTGTTTTAGTCATGAAGTCCTTGCCCATGTCAATGTCCTGAATAGTATTGCCTAGGCCTTCTTCTAGGGTTGGTCATGGTTTTAGGTCTTACATTTAAGGCTTTAATCCATCTTGAGTTAATTTTTGTATAAGGTATAAGGAAGGGGAACAGTTTCAGCTTTCTGCATGTGGCTCACCAGTTTTCCCAACACCATTTATTAATTAGGGAATCCCTTCCCCATTGCTTGTTTTTGTCAGGTTTGTCAAAGATCAGATGGTTGTAGATGAGTGGTTTTATTTCTGAGGTCTCTGTTCTGTTCCATTGGTCTATATATCTTTTTTGGTATCAGTACCATACTGTTTTGGTTACTGTAGTCTTGTAGTACAGTTCAAAGTCAGGAAGTGTGATGCCTCCACCTTTGTTCTTTTATCTTAGGATTGTCTTGGCTATACAGGCTCTTTTTTCGTTCCATATGAAATTTAAAATAGTTTTTTTCTAATTCTGTGAAGAAAGTCAATGGTAGCTTGATGGGGAGAGCATTGAATCTATAAATCACTTTGGACAGTATGGCCATTTTCATGATACTGATTTTTCTTGTCCATAGGATGGAATGTTTTTTCCATTTGTTTGTGTCCTCTCTTATTTTCCTGAGCAGTGGTTTGTAGTTCTCCTTGAAGATGTCCTTCACAACCCTTGTAAGTTGCATTCCTAGATATTTTATTCGGTTTGTAGCAATTGTGAATAGGAGTTCACTCATTATTTGGCTCTCTGCCTATTACTGGTGTATAGGAATGCTTCTGATTTTTGTACATTGATTTTGTATCCTGAGAATTTGCTGAATTTCCTTATCAGCTTAAGGAGATTTGGGGCTGCAATGATAGGGTTTTCTAAATATACAACCATGTCACCTGCAAACAGAGACTATTTGACTTCCTCTCTACCTATTTGAATACGCTTTATTTCCTTCTCTTGCCTGATTGCCATGGCCAGAACTTCGAATACTATGTTGAACAGGAGTGGTGAGAGAGGACATCCTTGTGTTGTGTGAGTTTTCAAAGGGAATCTTTCCAGCTTCAGCCTATTCAGTGTTATATTGGCTGTGAGTTCATCATAAATAGCTTCTATTATTTTGAGATACATTCCACCAATACCTAGTTTATTGAGAGTTTTTAGCATAAAGCAGTGTTGAATTTTGTCAAAGACCTCTTCTGCATCTATTGAGATAATCACGTGGTTTTTTTCATTGGTTCTGTTTACGTGATGGATTACATTTATTGACTTGCATGTATTGAACCAGCCTTGCATCCCAAGGATGAAGCCAGTTTGATTGTGGTGGGTAAGCTATTTGATGTGCTGTTGGATTCAGTTTGCCAGTATTTTACTGATGATTTTTGCATCTTTATTCACCAGAGATATTGGCCTGAAATTTCCTTTTTTTTTTTCTGTGTCTCTACCAGGTTTTGGTATCATAATGATGCTGGTCTCATAAAATGAGTTACGGAAACGTCCTTTTTTTTTGGGGGGAATATTTTCAGAATGAATGGTACCAGCTCCTGTTTTTGTCTTTGGTAGAATTTGGCTGTTAATTCTTCTGGTCTTAGGGATTTCTTGGTTGGTAGGCTATTAATTACTCTCTCAATTTCAGAACTTGTTATTGGTCTATTCAGAGATTTGACTTATTCCTGGTTTAAACTTGGGAGAGTGTATGTTTCTAGGAATTTATCTATTTCTTCCAGATTTTCTAGTTTATTTGCTAGAGGTGTTCTCTGATTTTTTGTAGTGTTCTTTGATGGTAGTTTGGATTTCTGTGGGATCAGTGGTGATATCACCTTTATCATTTTTTGTTTCATCTATTTGATTCTTCTCTCTATTCTTCATTATTATTCTGGCTAGTGGTATATTTATTTTGTTAATCTTTTCAAAAAATCACCTCCTGGATTCACTGACATTTTTGAAGGGATTTTCCTATCTCTATCTCCTTCAGTTCTGCTCTGATCTTAGTTGTTTCTTGGCTTCTGCTAGCTTTTGAATTTGTTTGCTCTTGCTTCTGTAGTTCTTTTAATTGTGATGGTAGGGTGTCAGTTGTAGATCTTTCCCACTTTCTTTGTGGGAAGTTAGTGTTATAATTTTCCTATAAACACAGCTTTAACTGTTTCCCAGGGATTCAGAAACACTGTGTCTTTGTTCTCACTGATTTCATAGAACTTATTTGTTTCTGCCTTAATTTAGTTGTGTGTCAAGTAGTCATTCAAGAGCAGGGTGTTTAGCTTCCATGTAGTTATCTGGTTTTGAGGGTGTTTCTTAGTGCTGAGTTCTAATTTTATCGCACAGTGGTCTGAGACACTGTTTGCTATGATTTTTGATCTTTTGCATTTACTGAGGAGTGTTTTACTTCCAATTATGTGGTCAATTTTAGAATAAGTGTGACGCTGCACTGAGGAGAATATATATTCTGTTGATTTGGGGTGGAGAGTTCTGTAGATGTCTATTAGGTCTGCTCAGTCCACAGCTGAGTTCAAATCCTGAATATCCTTGTTAATTTTCTGTCTCATAGATCTGTCTAATATTGACAATGGGGTATTAAAGTTTCCCAGTATTATTGTATGGGAGTCTAAGTCTCTTTGTAAGTGTCTAAGAACTTGTATTAAGAATCTGGGTTCTGCTGTATTGTTTGCATGTATATTTAGCATAGTTAGTTCTTCTTGTTCCACTGATCGCTTTACCATTATTTAATGGCCTTCTATGTCTTCTTTGATCTTTGTTGGTTTAAAGTCTGTTTTATCAGAAACTAGGATTGCAACTCCTGCTTTCTTTTTGCTTTCCATTTGCTTGGTAAATATTCCTCCATCCCTTTATTTTAAACCTGTGAGTGTCTTTGCATGTGAGATGCATCTCTTGAGTACAGCACACTGAAGGGTTTTGCTACATCCAATTTGCCAGTCTGTGTCTTTTAATTGCGGAATTTAGCCCATTTACATTTAAGGTTAATATTGTTATGTGTGAATCTGATTCTGCCATTATGATGTTAGCTGATTGTTTTGTCTGTTAGTTAATGCAGTTTCTTCATAGTGTCAGTGGTCTTTACAATTTGGCATGTTTTTGCAGTGGCTGGTATCAGTATTTTTTTTTTCCATATTTAGTGCTTCCCTTAGGAGCTCTTGTAAGGCAGGAAAGGTGGTGACAAAAACTCTCAGTATTTTCCTGTCTCTACAGGATTTCACTTACGTAGCTTAATTTGGCTGGATATAAAATTCTGAGTTGAAAGTTCTTTTCTTTAAGGATGTTGAATATTTGCCCCTACTTTCTTCTGCCTTGTAGGGTTTCTGCAGAGATATCCACTGTTAGTATAATGGGCTTCCCTTTGTGGGTAACCCAACATTTTTTTGTGGCTGCCCTTAACATTTTTTCCTTTATTTCAACTTTGGTGAATCTGACGATTATGTGCTTAGGGTTGCTCTTCTTGAGGAGTACCTTTGTGTTGTTCTCTGTATTTTTTGAATTTGAATGTTGGCCTGCCTTGCTAAGTTGCTAAAGTTGTCCTGGATAATATCTGGAAGAGTGTTGTCTAACTTGGTTCTGTCCTCCCTATCACTTTCAAGTACACCAATCAAATGTAGGTTTGGTCTTTTCACGTAGTCCCATATTTCTCTGAGGCTTTGTTCCTTTTCATTTTTTTTTTTCCTAATCTTGCCTTCACGTTTTATTTCATTAAGGTGGTCTTCATTCTCTGATATCCTTTCTTCCACTTGATTGATTCGGCTATTGATATTTGTGTATGCTTCATGAAGTTCTAGTATTGTGTTTTTCAGCTCTATCGGGTCATTTATGTTCTTCTCTAAACTGGTTACTCTAGTTAGCAATTTCTCTAACAATTTTTCAAGGTTCTTAGCTTCTTGCATTGGGTTAGGATATACTCCTTTAGCTCAGAGGGGTTTGTTTTTACCCACCTTCTGAAGCCTACTTCTGTTAATTAGTCAAACTCATTCTCTGTCCAGTTTTGTTCCCGTGCTGGCAAGGAGTTGTGATCCTTTGGAGGAGAAAAGGCCTTCAAGTTTTTGGAATTTTCAGCCATTTTTGCTGATTTTTCCTCATCTTATCTACCTTTGTTCTTTGATTTTGGTGACCTTTGGATTGGGTTTTGTGTGGTCATTCTTTTTGTTGATGTTAATGCTATTCCTTTCTGTTTGTTAGTTTTCCTTCTATTTGTCAGGCCCCTCTGCTGCACTTATGCTGGAGTTTGCTGGAGGTCTACCTCAGACCCTGTTTGCTTCGGTATCACCAGTGGAGCCCGCATAACAGCAAAGATTGCTGCTTGTTTCTTCCTCTGGAAGTTTCGTCACAGAGGGGCACGTGCCAGAGGCCAGCAAGAGCTCTCCTGTATGAAGTGTCTGTTGACCCCTGCTGGGAGGTTTCTCCCCATCAGGAGGCACGGGGTTCAGGAACCCACTTAAGGCAGTCTGTCCCTTAGAACAGCATGCATCCTATGCTGGGGGATACACTGGTCTCTTCAGAACCAGCAGGCAGAAATATTTCTGTCTGCTGAAGCTGTGCCAAGAGCTGCCCTTTCTCCCAGGTGCTCTTTCCCAGGGAGAATGTAGTTTTATCCATTAGCCCCTTACTGGGCCTGCTGCTTTTCTTTCAGAGATGCCCTGCCCAGAAAGGAGAAACCCTAGAGAAGCAGTCTGTCTACAAGGACTTTGCTACTCTGAGGTGGGCTCCACCCAGTTTGAACTTCTGTCAGCTTTGTTTACACTGTGAGGGGAAAACAACCTACCTAACCCTTAGTAATGGCAGAAGCCCCTCCCTGCACCAAGCTCAAGTGTCCCAGGTTGATTTCAGACTGCTGTACTGGCTGCAAGAATTTCAAGCTCATGGATCTTAGCTTGCTGGGCTCCATGGGAGTGGAATCTGATGAGCTAGGCCACTTGGCTCCCTGGCTTCAGCCCCCTTTCCATGGGAGTGAATAGTTCTGTCCCACAGGTGTTCCAGGTGCCACTGGGGTATGGAAAAAAAAAAAAAAAAAAACTTCTGCAGTTAGCTCAATATCTGTCCAAATGGC
Source organism: Homo sapiens (assembly GCF_000001405.40). Taxonomy (NCBI): domain Eukaryota; kingdom Metazoa; phylum Chordata; class Mammalia; order Primates; family Hominidae; genus Homo; species Homo sapiens. The sequence continues at coordinate 16,753,120 of NC_000024.10, forward strand.
CACCCAGTTTTGTGCTTGAAATTCAGGTTCCTGGTGGTGTAGGCATCTGAGGCAATCTCCTGGTATGTGGGTTGTGAAGACTGTGGGAATAGTGTAGTATCTGGGCCAGAATGCACTGTTCCTCACAGCACAGTCCTTCACGACTTCCGTTAGCTAGGAGAGGGAGTTCCCTGACCCCTTGCACTTCCCAAATGAGGTGATGCTCCACCCTGCTTCTGCTCTTTGGGCTGCACCACCTTTCTAACCAGTCCCAATGAGACGAGCTGGGTACCTCAGTTGGAAATGCGGAAATTACCCATCTTCTTCATTGATTTCGCTGGGAGCCTCAGACTGGAGCTTTTCCTATTCAGCCATCTTGCCAGCCACCCCTTAATTTCCATATAGAGCATGGTGTATATATATCTATAATTCATGTATATACATGATTTTATGTATTGGAAAATCATGAAATATTAATAAAGTCATGTAGCATTAGATAAAGTAACACATTGAAATATAAAAGGCTGTGACTTAATCAAAAGCTAACACAACAGGCAACAATAAATATAAATTAGCTGTTTTTAATCTATTTAAAGACAGAATATGTCATATTTAAATTAACAAAGAGGAATATATTGCTATAAAATCAACCATGAGCACCACTATAACATAATAGCATGAGGACAATGTCAATGTCTATTAACCAAGAAGGTGTTAAATAAACCATGGTTCCTTCACCCAGGGAATCACCAAACAACATTATTTAAAATTCTACAATTTAATTTTTAACTATTTTAAATATAATATGAAAAGTTGACTTATTTTATGTATGGGTGTAATTATTAATTAAAACAAAAGTGGTATACTACAAGATCTATTCCAATTTACGTAGTAAATACCTGTGATGACACACAGGATGGCAACAAAAAAAATAAAATAAATAAAATAACTTTGAAGAGTAAAAACCATCAACTAATTTATCCAGAAGTTTTTGAGGCTGGGGAATGTTGATTTATATTTCTTATATTATTCAGTAGTTATGAGTATTCTTAGACACTTTTTAGAAATAAAGAGCTTCACTTAGGAAATAAATTTCCCATGAAAAAAATGATTAGAAGATTATATATTTAAAAAGTTATGAATTTTATTAAGGGAAATTGTAAAAAATTTGAAAACAATATAATAAGACAGAAATAAGGCTTATGGTATATTAAAGTATGTTATGCTATGCCATATATGAATATATTACATGAATCTTAATCAATTTTGCCCTTCAGATATTTTTTTTTCTGCTTACACCAAAATATCCATTTTATCAGAAAACACAAGACTCAGTTATTCCCAAATTCATGATGAAACAAAATGAGAAATATATCTGGACACCTCTCTAAATATCCAAAAGCTAGACTAATGCTTCTTGTACATAGGGAATCATGACACAATTTTACCCAGAACCAGAGGACATAAATCCATTTGTGAGAGTAAATTGACTGAGGTTTAATATAGCAATACAAATGGAAATCCCACATGCATTGTTATTAGGTTGGTGCAAAAGTAAATGCGGCTTTTGCCATTTAAAGTAACAGCAAAAACCGTAATTACTTTTGCACCAGCCTCACAGTAAACCAGTAATTAAAATACCATAAACTATTAAGTGAAAAGTATACAAAAATTAAGACATTTTAACACACAGTGCATTACAGATTAAACAAAATGAGAAATATCTAGGGTCAGGCTAATATTCCATTGAACGTGTTTATGTCTCCAGTTCACTGAATTTAACATTGGCAGAATGGTTTGAAATAGCTTTTCTGTCCTGCTTTACTCACAAGTGCAGTCTTGGAAAATTTCACAAATTATCCATTCAATGATTATTTACTGAACCCAAATATTACTTTATTGAACAGTGTTCTAGGTGCCTGGGAAATCCCAGTAAACGAAATAAACCAACATCCTTGCTCCCTTCAAATAGCTGTTCTAGACATTGGAGACAGATGATGAACGCTAGCAATTATGCTAAGAAATGAATAGGCCGTATATTTGAAAAGGACACTGGGTAAGGAAAAGGGCAGGCTGAACAAGTCACAGAGGAGTCCTGGGTAAGGGGAGAGATCTACAATGTAAACACAAGGAGAAATTGGGGCAGATGTAAAGGAAATGGAGGTACTGACCAATAAGGAACTATGAAATGATTCTTCCGGGCAGAGGATGCAGACAGGGAGAGATTATTATTACATTAATGGCAGTCATAATAGAAGAAGAAAGCAGTTGCTTACTGCGTGCCTCCCCTCTTGTGAAGTCACTGAGCTCTTTGAACTACAACATTTTTTCCTATTGATAGTAGTATTAGTTATCAATGTCTTTTTTTTTTTTTTTTTTTTTTTTGCGGAGTCTCACTCTGTCTTCTAGGCTGGAGTGCAGTGGTGTGATCTCAGCTCACTGCAACCTCCACCTCCTTGGTTCAAGCAATTCTCCTGCCTAATGCCAGTATCTAGGACTGCAGGTGTGCTCTACTACCCCAGGTGAAGTTTTTGTAGTTTCTCTAGGGACAGGATTTCACCATGTTGGTCAGGCTGGTCTTGAACTTCTGACCTCAGATGATCTGCCTGCCTCTACCTCCCAAGTGCTTGGATTACAGGTATGAGGCACCATACCCAGCAATGTAAATTTTTAATAAGAAGAATTGTAAAGCAATACTAAGCTAACTATGTTTCATGTATATGATATATGGTTATATAAATGCATAGCTCAAATATTCTTTCAAAACATACAGCATATATCTGAAATATACAATTAAATATTATATGCACATTTTTTACTCTTAAATGATTTTTCTTCCCATTATGTTCTTTCATCATTTAGTAATTTCACAAAATTAAAAAATATCCTGCTCTCATGGTGATTTGGATTAATCCTCTTTTTGGGTTAAACATAAATAAGATGCATATTTATCTTTTACTTGGATATAATAAACTATTTTAAAACGTGGAACAGGAAAAAGATTTTTATTACAAAATGTTGTTCTCTAAATATAACATTCATGATAGATACTGATGATTTTGACTGAAATGAAACATCAAACTCTGACAGTCACATTAATGTAGAAGTTTATTCTATGCACCCCAAGGAAAGTAATCAGCTTATGTCACTTCATATATTTAAACAGCTACCAGATACATCTCTTTTGTCAAGATGCTGTTATTAACATACTATTTTAACACATCAAGTGATTAATGGAATATACAATTATAAAGTTAGGTCATATTTGAGAATTAGTTTTAGTTGTATGCATAAAAGAATCATCTCTTATTCCATAGAACAGAAATCCCAGTGTAATAAGGTTTTGCTCTTGATAATGTGGACCCACATGTTATTTGAACCAAAAATTTTCCTAAAAACAACTTGAAGTTTGAAGAAAAAGATGAACTTTTAAAGTGTTATTATAGTTACAAATATAAGAATCAAGTCTAAGTGAAAGTTCAAACATGGAGAAATTTTTTTTAAAAAAATAATAAAATTGTAAAACCACTTTCAATACTTTTCATTAAAATAAGTGGCAATTAACTAAAGCTTTGTTTGCAAGATTAAAATTGGATGTCTGATGCTAGTGGAATGGTATTTTCAATGTGCTCACTTCACTAGGTTGAAGATTATTATATTTTTACAAACAGTTTTTTTCTCCAAATTCAGTGAATTTATTTTGGATCATAGGCCACTTTAAACTACTCAAGACTCTTTCTTTTAGACATGAAAATACTAAAATCTGTGTTTTTCTGCAGACAAATAAATTTTAAAAAAGAAAAAATTTCTTTTACATTTTCAAGTGGCCATATGAAATCTAATCAAAGAGGTGATAAATTTTTTTCTTTTTTTTATTATACTTTAAGTTCTAGGGTACTTGTGCACAATGCACAGGTTTGTTACATATGTATACATGTGTCATGTTGGTGTGCTGCACCCATTAACTTGTCATTTACATTAGGTATATCTCCTAATGCTATGCTTCCCCCCTCCCCCAACCCCATGACAGGCTCTGGTGTGTGATGTTCCCCTTCCTGTGTCCAAGCGTTCTCACTCTTCAATTCCCACCTATGAGTGAGAACATGTGGTGTTTGGTTTTTTGTCCTTGCAATAGTTTGCTGTGAATAATGATTTCCAGCATCATCCATGTCCCTACAAACGACATGAACTCATCATTTATTTATGCATAGTATTCCATGGTGTATATGTGCCACATTTTCTTAATCCAGTCTATCATTGTTGGACATTTGGGTTGGTTCCAAGTCTTTGCTATTGTGAATAATGCCACAATAAACATACGTGTGCATGTGTCTTTATAGCAGCATGATTTATAGTCCTTTGGGTATATACCCAGTAATGGGATGGCTGGGTCAAATGGTATTTCTAGTTCCAGATCCTTGAGGAATTGCCACACTGTCTTCCACAACGGTTGTACTAATTTACAGTCCCACCAACAGTGTAAAAGTGTTCCTATCTCTCAACATCCTCTCCAGCACCTGTTGTTTCCTGATTTTTAATGATCGCCATTCTAACTGGTGTGAGATGGTATCTCATTGTGGTTTTGATTTGCATTTCTCTGATGGCCAGTGATGGTGAGCATTTTTTCATGTGTCTGTTGGCCGCATAAATGTCTTCTTTTGAGAAGTGTCTGTTCATATCCTTTGCCCACTTTTGGATGGGGTTGTTTGTTTTTTTCCTGTAAGTTTGTTTGAGTTCTTTGTAGTTTCTGGATATTAGCCCTTTGTCAGATAAGTAGATTGCAAAAATTTTCTCCCATTCTGTAGGTTGCCTGTTCACTCTGATGGTAGTGTGTTTTGCTGTGCAGAAGCTCTTCAGTTTAATTAGTTCCCATTTGTCAATTTTGGCTTTTGTTGCCATTGCTCTTGGTGTTTCAGACATGAAGTCCTGGCCCATGCCTATGTCGTGAATAGTATTTCCTTGGTTTTCTTCTAGAGTTTTTATGGTCTTAGGTCTAACATTTAAGTCTTTAATCCTCTCGAATTAATTTTTGTATAAAGTGTAAGGAAAGGATCCAGTTTCAGCTTTCTCTAAAACATCTTTCTTGTTAGACTCTCTTTCTCTGTGTGTGTGTGTGTGTGTGTGTGTATGTGTGTTTGTGAATGTGCGTGTGTTTCTTCATAGCATATTGGAATGCCAATGAAAGTACTAATTATTTTAGGACACTTTCCAAATGTTCACTCCAGCAAACAAAACAGCAGTGTTTTAATTATTTATTCTCAGCTTCCAGGAACAAAAAATGTAAGTTCGAGAAATATGTTGCTATAAAGTAAAATATGTTGAAATGGAAAACAAATGACACCCCTTCTGGATATCTACATATATGATCTGCATGGAAATTAGCTAAGGTTTAAAAATGTGCATTCTTCTCTAGTTAAAAATAAATTACAATAAAAGGAGTTGGTCAGATGATTTTCCAAAACACACATCAGCTTTTTTTGAAACTCATACTCAGTAGAGCTTGCTATTGTCCTTGGGGTCGGTCAAGGAACACATGTTCATTCATTCAATACACAGGCTCAGAGAATAGACATTCTTTTATGATTTAGATACTTTTATTTTAGAAAGTTATATCTTGTCTGAAAAATGTTTATTTTAAAACTGGTTTCATTTTTTCTTTTTCTAAGAAACTGCAATGACAATCAAATTGGTTGTGGATGAATTCATATGGGTATGGAAAGGGAAAATTTGAGGTCCTGTGTCCATATTTCAGAGTCAGTTTAAGGATTCTAAATGTGATCGTGTCAACCTTCATGTTACAGGAGTTATAAAAGCAAGCTAACCAATTTTCTTTTTTTTTCCTGAGAACTTCGAATATATTTATTCATTGTCTTCATTTTTGTGGGTATATCTACTTATGGGTTATATGAGGTGTTTTGATATAGATCAGCAGTGCATTGTAATCACATCACAGGTAATGAGGTATCCATCCCCTCAAGCATTTATCTTTTGTGTTACAATCAATTATCCTCTTTTAATTATTTGTAAAAATATTTAGAAATAAAACAGAAAGCCTATGAATTGCTTCTTCACACTGGTTCTATTAGCAATACATCTTCTCATTGATTTTTACAAATTTTTCTCTGTTTTACATGTCATTTATGCTTGTCTCCTTACTCAGCCTAAAAATACAAGGTCCTCCATTAAAATCATTCTTTTGAGCACAGGATTTTCCTCTTTGCCCTTCTCCTCTCCACCTACAGAACTTGCCCAAATAAACCATATATCTTGTTACACCAGCTATTTGATCAATTTCTGACTGTACTTGAATATTTCAACATTACCAAAATACATACACAAATGTCCAGAACATAAAAAACACACAACCATGAAGATTGTTCTCACTTTGCAGGCAAGAATAGGCTTATCCAATGGCTTCCCACACTCCATAAGTGCTAATAGTCTTGCTTTAAATTTTTGAATAAATCTAAGTACAAGAGCAGCTTTGCTACATGGATATATTATGGAATGATACAGTCTGGGCTTTCCATTTAACCATCACTATAATAACGTACATGGTACCTACTAAGCAATTTCTTACCTCTCTCCCAACTCCAGCCATCCCACCCTTCTGAGCCTCCAATGTCTATTATTCTACTCTATAGAGAGAAGAGAGAGAAAGAAAGAAAGAAAGAAAGAAAGAAAGAAATAAAGAAAGAGAGAAAGAGAGAGAGAGAAAGAAGGAAAGAAAGAAGGAAAGAAAGAGAGAGAAAGAAGGAAAGAAAAGAGAGAGAAAGGAAGGAAGGAGGGTGAGAGGGAGGGAGAAAGGGAGGAAGAGAAGGAGGGAAGGAAGGAAGGAAGGAAGGGAGGAAACAAAGAAAGAAAAGAAAGAGAGACGATGTATTATTTGAGTTTCTGTTTCTGCATTGTTTCACTTAAGATAATGACCTCTAGTTCCAATTCTATCCATGTTACTGCAAAATACACAATCTTATTTTTTTTACAGCTGAATAGTATTTTATTTTGTATCTTTATGACATTTTTTCCTTCATCCCTTCCTTCTTCCTTCCTTCTTTCCTTCCTTCCTTCCTTCCTTCCTTCCTTCCTTCCTTCCTTCCTTCCTTTCTTCCTTCCTTCCTTCCTTCTTTCCTCCCTCCCTTGCTCCCTCTCTCCCTTCCTCCTTCCCTCCCTCCTTTCTTTTTCTTTCTTTCTTTCTTTCTTTCTTTCTTTCTTTCTTTCTTTCTTTCTTTCTTTCTTTCTTTCCTTATTTCTTCCTTCCTTCCTTCCTTTCTCTTTCTTTCTTTCTTTCTTTCTTTCTTTCTTTCTTTCTTTCTTTCTTTTCTTTCTCTCTTTTCTTTCTTTCTTTTCTTTCTTTTTTTTTGAGACACGTTTATGCTCTGTCACTCAGGCTGGAGTGTAATGGCACAATTGTGAACCACTATAGCCTACACCTCCTGGCCTCTATCAATATCACTGCTTCACCCTCCCAAAGCACTAGGATTCCTGGCATGTAACCTATACCACATTTTTTCTTTTGTTTCTCTTTGTATCGAACTCTTATTTTAGGTTGAAGGGTTATATGTGTCAGTTTGTTACATGGGTAAATTGCCCAGTGTGGGGGTTTTGTGTATAGATAATTTTGTCACCTAGATTAGCAGCATAAGACACTACGGGAAATTCTTGAATCCTCACTGTCTTCCCACTCTACACCCTCAAGTGGTCTATTTTCCCTGTCTTTGTGTCCATGTGTACTCCATGTTCAGCTCCTACTTATAAGTGAGAACATGCAGTATTCGGTTTTCTGTTCCAGCATTAATTGACTTAAGAAAATAGCTTCCAGCTCCATTCATATTGCTGCAAAGGACATGGTCTCATTCTCATTTATGACTGCACACTATTTCATGGGTATATATATCACATTTTCCTTATCCAGTCCACTGTTCATTGGCATCGAGGCTAATTCCATATCTTTGCTATTGTAAATAATGCTGCAAGGAAAATGTCCATGCATGTGTCTTTATCGTAGAATAATGTATTCTCCTTTGGTTACATATGGAGTAATGGTATTCCTGGGTCAAAGGGTAGTTCTATTTGGTTCTTTGAGGAATCTTCTGACTTCCTTCTTTAGTGGGTGAATTAAGGAAATAATGAGAAGAATTTACCTTCCCATTAGTGGTGCATGAGAATTCCCTTTCCTCTATAATATCAACAGCATCTGTTATTTTTTTATTTTGTAACAATAGCCATCCTAACTGGTGTGAGATGATATCTCTCATTGTGGTTTTGATTTGCATTTTCCTAATGATTAGTCCTGTTGAGCATTTTTTAATAAGCTTGTTGGCTGTATGTATTTCTTCTTTTAAGAAGAGTCCACTCTTGTCCTCTGTATATATTTAATGGAGTTGTTTGCTTTTTGCTTGTTGATTTGCTTGTTTCTTTTTTTAAAGGCTAGTCAAATAGATTTTGAATATTAGACCTTTGTTGGATGCCTAGTCTGAAAATATTTCATCTCATTCTGTAGGTTAACTGCTTATTCTTTTGCTGTGGAGAAACTATTTAGTTTAATTAGGTCCAACTTGTCAACTTTTGTTTTGTTTCCATTGCCTTTAAGGTCTTCATCACTAATTCTTTGACAGGACTGAAATCTAGAATGGTATTTTCTATTTTCTTCTAGCATACTTATAGTTTTCAGTTTTAAAATTAAGTCATTAATCCATATTGAGTTGATTTTTTATATATGGTGAAAGGTAGGTTTCCAATTTCATTCTTCTACATATGGCTAGCCAGATTTCCCAGCTAGGGATTTCTTTCCCCATTGCTTCTTATTGTCAGCTTAGTTGAATATCACTTGGTTGTAGGTGTGTAGCTTTTTTTCTGGGTTCTCTATCCTGCTCCATTGGTTATATGTCCTCTTTGTTCCAGTAGCATTGTCATTGACAGTTTGATAGAAATAGCATCAAATCTGTAAATTGCTTTTGGCATGATGGCTGAATGGGAACAGCTCCAGTCTACAGCTCCCAGTGTGAGTGACACAGAAGACGGGTGATTTCTGCATTTCCAACTGAGGTACCATGTTCATCTCACTGGGGCTTGTCAGACAGTGGGTGCAGGACAGTGGGGACAGTGGGTGCAGCCCACTGAGTGTGAGTTGAAGCAGGGCCAGGCATTGCCTCACCCAGGAAGTGCAAGGGATCAGGGAATTCACTTTCCTAGCCAAGGGAACCTGTGACAGAGGGCACATGGAAAATTGGGTCACTCCCATGCTAATGCTGCACTTTTCCAGTTGTCTTAGCAAATGGCACACCAGGAGATTATATCCTGCACCTGGCTCAGAGGGTGCCACACCCACGGAGCCTCACTCATTGCTAGCAGAGCTTTCTGAGATCAAACTGCAAGGCAGCAGTGAGGCTGAGGGAGGGGTGCCTGCTGTTGCTGTGGCTTCAGTAGGCAAACTAAGCGGCCAGGAAGCTCCAACTGGGTGGAGCCCACCACAGCTCAAGGAGGCCAGACTGCCTCTGTAGACTCCAGCTCTGGGGGCATGGCATAGCTGAACAAAAGGCAGCAGAAACCTCTGCAGACTTAAATGTCCCTGTCTGAAAGCTTTGAAGAGAATAGTGGTTCTCCCAGTATGGAGTTCAAGATCTGAGAATGGACAGACTGCCTCCTCAAGTGGGTCCCTGAACCCCAAGTAGCCTAACTGGGAGGCACCCCCCAGTAGGGGCAGACTGACACCCCACATGGCCAGGTACCCCTCTGAGATGAAGCTTCCAGAGGAATCATCAGGCAGCAACATTTGCTGTTCAGCAATATTCGCTGTTCTGCAGCCTCCACTGCTGATACCCAGGAAAACAGGGTCTGGAGTGGACCTCCAGCAAATTCCAACAGACCTGCAGCTGAGGGTCCTGACTGTTAGAAGGAAAACTAACAAACAGAAAGGACATCCACACCAAAATCCCATCTATACATCATCATCACAAAGACAAAAGGTTGATAAAACTACAACGATGGGGAAAACACAGAGCAGAAAAGTTGAAAATTCTAAAAATCAGAGTGCCTCTTCTCCCCCAAAGGAGAACAGCACCTCACCAGCAATGGAACAAAGCTGGATGGAGAATGACCTTGATGAGTTGAAAGAAGAAGGATTAAGACCATCAAACTTCTCTGAGCTAAAGGAGGAAGTTTGAACCCATCACAAAGAAGCTAAAAACCTTGAAAAAAGATTAGACAGATGGCTAACTAGAATAACCAGTGTAGAGAAGTCCTTAAATGACCTGATGGAGCTGAAAACCATGGCACAAGAACTATGTGATGAACGCACAAGCTTCAGTAGCCAATTTGGTCAACTGGAAGAAAGGCAATCAGTGATTGAAGATCAAATGAATGAAATGAACCAAGAAGAGAAGTTTAGAGAAAAAAGAGTAAAAAGAAATGAACAAAACCTCCAAGAAATAGGGGACTATGTGAAAAGACCAAATCTACATCTGATTGGTGTACCTGAAAATGATGGGGAGAATGAAACCAAGTTGGAAAACACTCTGCAGGACATTACACAGGAGAACTCCCCCAACCTAGCAAGGCAGGTCAACATTCAAATTCAGGAAATACAGAGAACACCACAAAGATACTCCTCGAGAAGAGCAACTCCAAAACACATATAATCATCAGATTCACCAAAGTTGAAATGAAGGAAAAAATGCTAAGGGCAGCCAGAGAGAAAGCTCGGATTACCCACAAAGGGAAGGCCATCAGACTAACAACTGATCTCTCAGCAGAAACTCTACTAGCCAGAAGAGAGTGGGGGCAAATGTTCAACATTCTTAAAGAAAAGAATTTTCAACCCAGAATTTCTTATCCAGCCAAACTAAGCTTCATAAGTGAAGGAGAAATAAAATACTTTACAGAGAAGCAAATGCTGAGAGATTTTGTCACCACCAGGCCTGCCCTAAAAGAGCTCCTGAAGGAAGCAATGAACATGGAAAGGAAAAACCGGTACCAGACACTGAAAACACATGCCAAATTATAAAGACCATTGATGCTAGGAAGAAACAGCATCAACTAATGGGCAAAATAACCAGCTAACATCATGACAGATCAAATTCACACATAACAATATTAACCTTAAATGTAAATGGGCTAAGTGCTCCAATTAAAAGACACAGACTGGCAAATTGGATAAAGAGTCAAGAGCCATCAGTGTGCTGTATTCAGGAGACCCATCTTACGAGTTGAGACACACATAGGCTTAAAATAAAGGGATGGAGGAAGACCTACCAAGCAAATGGAAAACAACAAAAAGGCAGGGGTTGCAATTCTATTCTCTGATTAAACAGACTTTAAACCAACAAAGATCAAAAGAGACAAAGAAGGCCATTACATAATGGTAAATGGATCAATTCAAAGAGTAGAGCTATCATAAGTATATATGCACCCAATACAGGAGCACCCAGATTCATAAAGCAAGTCCTTAGAGACCTACAAAGAGACTTAGACTCCCACACAATAATAATGGGAGAGTTTAACACCTCACTGTTAACATTAGACAGATTGATGAGACAGAAAGTTAAAAAGGATATCCAGGAATTGAACTCAGCTCTGCACCAACTGGACCTAATAGACATCTACAGAACTCTCCACCATAAATCAACAGAATATACATTCTTCTCAGCACCACATCACACTTATTCCAAAATTGACCACATAGTTGGAAGCAAAGCACTCCTCAGCAAATGTAAAATAACAGAAATTATAACAAACTGTCTCTCAGACCACAGTGCAATCAAACTAGAACTCTGGACTAAGAAACTCACTCAAAACTGCTCAAATACTTGGAAACTGAACAACCTGCTCCTGACTGACTACTGGGTACATAACGAAATGAAGGAAGAAATAACAATGTTCTTTGAAACAGATGAGAACAAAGACACAAAATGCCAGAATCTCTGGGACACATTTAAAGCGGTGTGCAGAGGGAAATTTATAGCGCTAAATTCCCACAAGAGAAAGCAGAAAAGATCTAAAATTGACACACTAACATCACAATTAAAAGAACTAGAGAAGCAAGAGCGAACACATTCAAAAGCTAGCATAAGGCAAGAAATACCTAAGATCAGAGCAGAACTGAAGGAGATAGAGACACAAAAACAAACTTTCAAAAAAAATCAATGTATCCAGGAGCTGGTTTTTTGAAAAGATCAACAAAATTGATAGACCTCTAGCAAGACTAATAAAGAAGAAAATAGAGAAGAGTCAAATAGATGCAATAAAAATGATAAAGGAGATATCACCACTGATACCACAGAAATACAAACTACAACCAGATAAAACTATAAACACCTTTCCACATCCACAAATAAACTAGAAAATCTAGAAGAAATGGATAAATTCTTGGACACATACACCCTATCAAGACTAAACCAGGAAGAAGTTGAGTTCCTGAATAGACCAATAATAGACTCTGAAATTGAGGCAATAATTAATAGCCTATGAAGCAGAAAAAGTCCAGGACAAGATGGATTCACAGCCAAATTCTACCAGAGGTACAAGGAGGAGCTGGTACCATTCCTTCTGAAACTATTCCAATCGTCAATAGAAAAAGAGGGATTCCTCCCTAACTCATTTTATGAGGCCAGGATCATCCTGATACCAAAGTCTGGCAGAGACACAACAAAAAAAGAGAATTTTAGACCAATATCCCTGATGAACATCGATGCAAAAATCCTTAATAAAAAAAATCCTTAATAAAATACTGCCAAATCAAATACAGCAGCACATCAAAAAGCTTATCCACCATGATCAAGTGGGCTTCATCCCTGGGAGGCAAGACTGGTTTAATATATGCAAATCAATAAATGTAATTCATCATATAAACAGAAACAAAGACAAAAACCACATGATTATCTCAATAGATACAGAAAAGGCCTTTGACAAAATTCAACAGCGCTTCATGCTAAAAACTCTCAATAAATTAGATATTGATGAAATATATCTCAAAATGATAAGAGCTATTTATGACAAACCCACAGCCAATATCATACTGAATGGGCAAAAACTGGAAGCATTCCCCTTGAAAACTGGCACAAGACAGGGATGCCCTGTTTCATCACTCCTATTCAACATAGTGTTGGAAGTTCTGGCTAAGGTAATCAGGCAAGAAAAAGAAATAAAGAGTATTCAATTAGGAAAAGAGGAAGTCAAATTGTCCCTGTTTGCAGATGACATGATTGTATATTTAGAAAAGCCCATCATCTCAGCCCCAAATCTCCTTAAGCTGATAAGCAACTTCAGCAAAGTCTCAGGATACAAAATCAATGTGCAAAAATCACAAGCATTCTTATATACCAATAACAGAAAAACAGACAGCCAACTCATGAGTGAGCTCCCATTCACAATTGCTTCAAAGTGAATAAAATACCTGGGAATCCAACTTACAAGGGATGTGAAGGACCTCTTCAAGGATAACTACAAACCACTGTTCAACATAATAAAGGAGGAAACAAACAAATGGAAAAACATTCCATGCTCATGGATAGGAAGAATCAGTATCATGAAAATGGCCATACTGCCCAAGATAATTCATAGATTCAATGCCATCCCCATCAAGCTATTAATGACTTTCTTCACAGAATTGGAAAAAAAACTACTTTAAAGTTAATATGGAACCAAAAAAGAGCCCTCATTGACAAGACAATCCTAAGCAAAAAGAACAAAGCTGGAGGCAACACACTGCCTGACTTCAAACTATACTACAAGGCTACAGTAACCAAAACAGCATGGTACTGATACCAAAACAGATGTATAGACCAATGGAACAGAACAGAGCCCTCAGAAATAATACCACACATCTACAACTATCTGGTCTTTGACAAACCTGACAAAAACAAGCAATGGGGAAAGGATTCCCTATTTAATAAATGGTGCTGGGAAAACTGGCTAGTCATATGTGGAAAGCTGGAACTGGATCCCTTCCTTACACCTTGTACAAAAATTAATTCAAGGTGGATTAAAGACTTAAACGTTAGACCTAAAATCATAAAAGCCCTAGAAGAAAACGTAGGCAATACCATTCAGGACATAGGCATGGGCAAGAACTTCATGTCTAAAACACCCCAAGCAATGGCAACGAAAGCCAAAATTGACAAATGGGATCTAATTAAACTAAAGAGCTTCTGCACAGCAAAAGGAACTACCATCTGAGTGAACAGGCAACCTACAGAATGGGAGACAATTTTTGCAATCTACTCATCTGAAAAAGAGCTAATATCCAGGACCTACAAAGAACTCAAACAAACTTACAAGAAAAAAACAAACAACCCCATCAAAAAGTAGGTGAAGGATATGAACAGACACTTCTCAAAAGAAGACATTTATGCAGCCAAGAGATGCATGAAAAAGTGCTCATCATCACTGACCATCAGAGAAATGCAAACCAAAACCACCATGAGATATCGTCTCACACCAGTTAGAATGGCAATCATTAAAAAGTCAGGAAACAACAGGTGCTGGAGAGGATATGGAGAGATAGGAACACTTTTACACTGTTGGTGGGACTGAAAACTAGTACAACTATTGTGGAAGACAGTGTGGCAATTCCTCAAGGATCTAGAACTACAAATACTATTTGACCCAGCCATCAAATTACTGCGTATATACCCAAATGATTATAAATCCTGCTGCTATAAAGACACCTACAGACGTATGTTTATTGAGGCACTGTTCACAATAGCAAAGACTTGGAACCAACACAAATGTCCATCAATGATAGACTAGATTAAGAAAATGTGGCACATATATACACCATGGAATACTATGCAGCCATAAAAAAGATAAGTTCATGTCCTTTGTAGGGACATGGATGAGACTGAAACCATCATTCTCAGCAAACTATCGCAAGGACAAAAAACCAAACACCACATGTTCTCTCACAGGTGGGAATTGAACAATGAGAATGCTTGGACACAAGAAGGGGAACTTCACTCACTTGGGCCTGTTGTGGGGTTGGGGGAGTGGGGAAGGATAGCATTAGGAGATATACCTTATGTAAATGATGAGTTAATGGGTGCAGCACACCAACGTGGCACATGTATACATATGTAACAAGCCTGAATGTTGTGCACATGTACCCTAGAACTTAAAGTATAATTTAAAAAATTGCTTTGGGCAATATGGCCATTTTAGCAATATCGATTTTTCCAA
This sequence comes from Homo sapiens, assembly GCF_000001405.40. NCBI lineage: Eukaryota > Metazoa > Chordata > Mammalia > Primates > Hominidae > Homo > Homo sapiens. Next base: position 16,768,270 of record NC_000024.10, read on the forward strand.
TCCATGAGCATGGAATGAGTAGAACATTTGTGTCATCTCTGACATCTTTGAGTCGTGATTTGTTATTCTCTTTGTAGAGAGCTTTCACCTGCCTGGTTAGATGTATTCCTAACTATTTTATTCTTTCTTTGGCTGTTGTGAATGGCATTCTATTCTTGATTTGGCTCTCAGCTTGGATGTTGCTCAGGTACAGGGATGCCATTTATGTTTGAACACTGACTTTGTATCCTGAAACTTTGATGAAGTTGTTTCTCAGGCCTAAGAGACTTTGGGCAGAGTCTGTGATGGTTCCTACGTATAGAATCATATCAATTGCAAACAAATTTTTTGCCATCATCTCTTCCTATTTGGATGCCTTTTATTTCATTCTCTTGCCTAATTGCTCTGGTAGGAATTCTAATAATATGTTGAATAGGAACAGTGAAAGAATCCTTGCCATTTCCGTTTTCAAGCATAATGCTTCCAGGTTTTGCCCATTTAGTATGATGTTGGCTATGCATTTGCCATAGGTAGATCTTATTATTTTGAGGTACGTACCTTCAATGCCTAGTTTGTTGAGTTGAGGGTTTTAAATCTGAAGGGATGTTGGGTTTCATCAAAAACCTTTTCTGAGATTTTTGAGATGATCATGTGGTTTCTGGTTTTAGTTCTGTATATGTGTACCACATTTTCTTTACCCATCAATCTTCTTAGGGTAACACTGTTCTTTGAAGACATCTTTCTCTCCACTTTAAATATTTTTGCTAGAGGATCTTCAAGCCCTCTCCCTGAAGACATTGACTTACACTTCACTGAGAACATGAAAGCCATCAGAAGAGGGGTTGATCTCTAATTTATTAACCTGAAAGAATTATCTGTATTTGGACTTTGCCTGCTTCATATTTTAATAGATCAAATGTGACCACTTTTACCAAAGAATTGCATCTCTATCTGGTTACAGATTTCTTTCTTGGTAGACTTCTTCATTCTTCACCATAGAAATGATATCATGTTCCTATTAACGATGAGTCTTTCTCTCTGTATTTTCCTCATGAGAAAACAAGCACACTCTCTTGAATCCAACATTAGAACATAGAAACTTCTGCAGTTTCATTTGTCATGTTCAGTACTGTCCTGTGTTTCTTTGCCTTCGCAAAGGAAATAATGTATCAAGAGAATTGTGTACTAACTCAGTGTTTCTACTCTCATTGTTTCCTTAAAAATGTTGAGTCATTCTATGTCCTTTTTCAGCTTATATTGTCTCATTGCACTAATTGAAATATTGCACATATGTCTGTCTGTTCTGGTACATTTATTTTATATAACATGACAATAATCCATCTGTTTCTGGATGGGTTTGTAGAATTTTCCATTAAATCCAACTCTTCCCGCTGTGATTTCTAAGGTTACATTAATCACATCTTTCTGTAATTAATTTTTGTATTCTGCCCATGTCTGTTATTATATTAGCTATTCCAATTCTTCTCAAATCAGACTTGATATTTGCTATTACTCTACATAACAATTCACAAGGGAAACAGCATGGTTATTTATTCAGAACTATACTTTGAATAAGGGCCCTGGTCAGTATTCGAAAACCAACTCTCTTAGAAGAGACTCACTTAACAAGGAGCTATCAATAGCTCCACTTTACATAAAAAATAAAGTCCAGGCAGCTTGGAAGGACTTGGAAAAATCAATGGTAGTTAATCCATGCAGGCAGTAAATCCAGGCACCTCTGTGATTTGTCCCAAATCCACCTTGCTGCACAGTCTCCACACCCTAGTCTCCATCTTTTAGGGCTATGTTCAGATGGACACCATTGGAGCAGAGAATTATGGTAACATACAAAGAGAGCAACCATAAATATTTACTGAATGAATGGATAGGAGCTTGGGAAATGAATCATGTCAATCACATGACCTCCAGCGGTGACACCTTTATGATATCACCTGCAAATAGAGAATCCTGAAGTATTTATTGTGTAGGTAAACTATGTATTAAAAATCATATGATAGTGCCTGGCATTTATTGATCAAATGATAATAAAGAGTATTACCTTTGAATACCTTTATGCCTTCTCTCCCTAAATATTTCTATTTTGATTGTCCAGTAAAAGACTCAGGTTATTCAATAATCTCAGTTGAAACCAATTTATCTAACCATTAGGCTTCCTTAAACATGCCTTTCCAAAGTTCTTAGAGCTAATTTTTTTAATTGTCTGGTTATGACCCTCTTCATGAATAAATATGATTTTGGAGGGCATTGGTCAAGTTTTCTTCATTATAGTTATAATTATATCACTGATGGTGTTGTTATATTAGGCATGAATTTGCTTTTAATGATAGAGTGTTTGGATAAATAAATGAGGACCATTTGAGGTAATAAAATATGAGATTTATAGACTACAAAAAGCTTGTTTACAGAATGGGTACATTTGATTGTTAAGCTGATTCCATTATTGCATGTAATTGGTTACTATATATATTTATCTATACTGATTTGATCAATATAACTACAAATATATACATTCTATATATAACTAGAGATAATAAATATAGATGAATATTATTATATGAAGCAGTGGGGTTTAATCAGATGACTAGAACCAGTATAAGACATAGACAGATACATAGTTAGACAGATAGATATGTGTTCATTCCTCTCTATAAATAGAGGAAGATAGATATAGATGCGGATATGTATCTGATAAATTCATAATAAATACAGATACATTGCAGACAGATCATCTATCTGATCATCTATTAATCAAAGACAACTTTGAAGAATAAAGACATAAATAGGAGTAAGGTGAAAAGAACAAAACATTTGATATTTACTCTTTTAGATAGCATTTTAGTGTGTGGTTTTAAAAGTTACATTCTCTGTAAGAAATTGATAGATAGATGATACAAATTTATATCATATAGAGAGATATAGGTATATTCATCTATATCTATATTTGTACTTATCTGTATCTTTACATATGTATTTATATTTATCTATCTGTATTTATCAATCTCATCCCTATATCTGTTTATCATCTATTTATCTATTAATCTGTCTTCTACCTATCCATCTATTATCTGTCATCCATCACCTATCTTTTTTTTTTTTTTCTCTTTAACATGGAGTTTTGCTTTTGCTTCCCAGGCTGGAGTGCAATGGCACAATCTTGGCTCACCGTAACCTCTGCCTCCCAGGTTCCAGCAATTCTCCTGCCTCAGCCTCCTGAGTAGCTGGGAATACAGGCATGCACCACTATGCCTGGCTAATTTTGTATGTTTGGTAGAGACAGGGTTTCTCCATGTTGGTCAGGATGGTCTTGAGACTCTCGACCTCAGGTGATCCACCTGCCTTGGCCTCCCAAACTGCTGGGATTATACCCGTGAACCACTGCACCCAGCCCATCCATTATCTATCACTTATCTAGCTATTCATTTATCTATGACCTATCTGTCATCTATTCATCCATTCATCTATTATCTATCTATAATCTATCCATTTATGTATAATCTATCTATCCTACATCTATCCATCATCTATCAATCACCTGTCTATTATTTATTTATCTACATCATCTCTCTGTCATCTCTATCCACCTATCATCTATCTACTCATCTATCTATATAATCTATCAACTATATACCATCTATGTATCCATCTGCCATTAGTCTATATAGCTTTCCTCTCTCTCTCTATCATCTCTCTATATCAATTATCTATCCATCAACTATCTATTCATCTATCACCCCTATATTGTCCATTTATGTAGTTGTCATCTATCAATTATTATCTACCTATTACCTATTTATCATCTATCTATCATCTATCTATCTATCTATCTATCTATATACTTATCTATCTATATCTTATCACATCATAGGCAAGATAGAACTCATAGGCACTGGCCAAGCTACAATCCACAGATGACCTCTCTCTCTCTCTCTTTCTTTCTCTTCTTTGTTTATTCTGTATGCAAAAAGTAGAAATAATAGTTGTCCAGAAACATAAACTTGAGCAATGATCTACCCAGATCTCTTGTTTCCTGAATTTCTTTTCTACTTTTATGAAATATGTTATCATCTATACCAGAGCCTCCAAGTTCTCAAGCCAAATAAGGACTGGTGTCTCGGGCATCTTAGACATCCTTGTGTCCAACTTAGATGAAGGAGATTTCTACTGACCTTAAAATCGCCCCACCTGTGTGGAAAGATCTAGACTATGGTGAGAGACAGCTTTGAAAAATAAAGACACAAATAGCAGTGAGCTGAAAAGAACAAAACATTTGATATTTACTATTTGAGATAGAATTTTAGTATGTGGTTTTAAAATTTACATTCTCTGTAAAACTCATAGAAAAGAGTGAACACTGTTTGTTTATTCCGCTTTTCCATTTCATTCTTTCCTATTTCATTCTGTTTATTCAAATTCATTCTTGATTTCATTCTTTTTTTCCTTCCTTTTATTCTACCTCAATTTATTTGTTTTTTTGAGTTAGAATGAAACTAAGTATTGAGAGAACAGAAAGAACTGAAGAAACTGCTAATCAAATGATAATTTCTCTTTACATTTGCTTAACAGAAATGTCTAATAGATACACAACAGTGAACAAGGGCCATTGATGTTGTAATTCACTAAATGCAGAGCTTGAAGTTTGGGAGTAGAAGTTTCTATATTAAAATGGGAAAGACTCCTTCTTTCTGGTATTTCTGGGTCCTAAATCCAGATGATTATAGCTTGCTCATTTTTACTTAATGCTCAGCATAATCAATAAAATTATAGCCAGTTTTCTATAACTGACTAAATAAATACATTTTGATGAATCATTAGAACTGTTATATAAAAAATAGTAAACAGGCCAATTATTTTTACTAACACAGAGTTTGATCTTGGGATAATATGCAAACGCTATCTTTACAAGTATAGAAGATCCAGATAAACATGAAGAGCTGAAAGAACTCATAAAACTGTCCCATATTAAATATTACAACTATCTCTGGTTTAAGTTCATTCTATGTGCTAAAAATGTAATATTTGGAAATAATTGCCTGTCAATGGTTACAGTAGTCAAATTACCTTTCTTAATAATCAACTAAAAACTGTTGATCTTAACAAAGGGTAATTAATATTGGTTCTCTCTTGTGCTAACATAAATTTATGGGAGTGGCCATTTCTTGCCAGTATAAATGACTCAAAAATGAACCAGTAAGCCACATGAATCTAACATGGAGAAGCACTAAGCCATCTCTGAGAAATTATTTTGGACACTATTTAAATACTGACAGGCAGATGCTGAAATGCAAAATGAGTGGTTAGCTTGTTCGGTGCAATTCGTAATCATTTTGAAATGCCATGTAGCCCTTGTAAAAATAAGCATTTTCCTGTAACAATCTTAAGGTGCAGTCAGAGCTTGAGGGTTTTTTCCTTGTTGTTTTGTTTGTTTTGGATTACTGTGTTAAGAAAACCATTTCACTTGGATGCATTAAAACATTTGTATACTTTACTGCTCAATGCTTAAAAGTATGAGTAGCTAGTGTTATGTCAACATTGAATAAAAGTCATTTAAGGCTTCTATCTTCAATAGCAAATAGCAGCTTACTTTCTTAGGTATATGAATATCACATTTTATTAATATATCTTTTAAAGAACACAGTAACACAATTCAATTTTCACTCCCTCCTTCCATTCTTCAAAGATTTTATTTTGATTATAAAGTGCATACATCTTTTAAGTGGTCCAATGATAACACAATACTTACCCCAGATCTTCTATGATGATATTCCTATCTTCCACTTATAGCCCCATATTAGAAACTGCCTGATAAAATATCAATGGGCATTCTCGTATCTCAAACACATAAACTCTGTCAGCCATTATTGATACAGTATTTCTCTTTCAGAGGAATTATTATTATTATTTTAAATATTAAGTATTGATAATTACATGTATGTATATTTTATATACTTTTATATACAATATTGCATACATACTTTATCAAGTTTTTTTAATATCAGTCTTTTCAACTGTCATGAGTTTTCTTTAACTATCTGTGGTTAATACAAGATAAAAATATACAATCATCTCAATAATAATTTACAAAATGCATAAGACAGTTTCTGAACATAGAAAGCACCATATATTTCTTTACAGGAGCTCTATGTTCACAGTGGTTTTGTAACACTTTGAAGGTCACACATTGTAGTAAAGCTCTGAGATGTCGCTTTCCATTAAACCAAATGACCAAGCTTTGTGGCATAGGATAAATGTGAGATGCATGATGATAGCAAATACTTAGCAAGGAGAGATGGGTCATGTTTGGAGAAGAAAACCAGGGACATTTCCTCACACTGGTGTGAAAGAAATCTGATGGACAGAAGATAGAGACAGAGAGAGAAGTGAGAGAGGGCAGTGGAGCTGGGTGGCCACCATGCTGATGGGGAATACTCTTTGTTGGAAATTTTATAAAGGACTTGTAAGAGCTGAGCATTCACTCTCCACATACCTTGCTACCTCTCTCTACCCTTTCCTTCTCTCCCTTCTCTCCCTTCTTTCCCTTCCTTCCTTCCTTCCCTCCTGCCTTCCTTCCTTCTTTTCCTTCCCTCCTTCCTTCCTCCTTCCCTCCTTCTCTCCCTCCCTCGCTCTTTCTCTCACCTTTCCTTCTTTCATCCTTCCTCTCTTCCTCTTTTCTTTTTTCTTGGTTATCTTTCATTCCCTCCCTCCCTCCCTACACCCATCCCTCCTTTCTTCTCTTCCTCCCTCCCTCCCTTCCTTCCTTCCTTTTCTTCTTTCCATTCTCTTTATCTCTCCCTTTCTCTGTTCTCCTTCCTTTCTACCCTCCCTTCCTCTCTTCCGTCCCTCCTTTCTTCTTTCCTCAATTCCTTTTCCTTTCTTTCTTCCCCTTCCTCCCCACCTCCTTCCCTCAACCCCCATTTTTTGAGACAGTCTTCCTTTATTGCTCAGGCTGGAGAACGGTGGTGCCATCATGGCTCCCTGTGCAGCCTTGACCTTCTGAGCTCAAGTAGCTCGGACTACAGTTGTGCACCAACACACCTGACTAAATTTTTTCATTTTTAGTAGAGACAAGTTCTTGCTATGTTGCCCAGGCTAGTACCCAATGCCTGAGCCCTAGTCATTCTCCTGCCTCAACTTCCCAAAATGCTGAGATAACAGGCATGAGCCATGGTGCCTGGCCCTGCCTCACTTCCCTCTGTCTCTTCACTGCCTGTCTTTTCTGTGTTTTGTTTTCTCAAAACCACCTAAAATTTCTTACGTTGCCATTGCTAAGTCTCTTTAACAGGAGTGCATTTCCTGTTTATCTTTGTATACATTCTCTTTCTCATGTTTTAAACATTTTCACAGAGTTCATATGTATTTCTTTTATTAAGCTGGAACTTTAGATAATCTCTACAAGACAGTGTTTGTAAACCATTAGATATGACAACTGATCAAATGTTTAATATGCCAAAAGTTATGGCTACTGTCCATTCAGACACCAACAACATTTTAGACTTGTATCTTCAACTTCACTGCAAATTCATGTGCACAGTGTCTCACATGGTGTGTGGACTTTTTCACAACTGGGTGGTTATGAGCCTGATTATCTATCCTTCTCAACATGTGGTCATTTAAGTACTAGAAACAAAACAAAACAAAATGAATAATCCCTGGCTGCCTGAAAAAATAGCTAATGTGTATCCTTTTCTTAAAAGTGATTCATGGGGAATAATAATGCACAGAGTTACTATCCTCAGTGAACTTCTGTTTCTCAACCCCCTACTCATTCAATGCATACTTGAGGGCAATATGTTTTTATCTGAAACCTAACCTGTTTTTTATGTGTTCTGTTTTATTATCAGTATCTATGTATTTATCATATTTATCGTATCTATCTATCATCTATCTATCTATCTATCTAACCATCTATCTGTCTATCCTTCTTCTGTTGTTTGGTTGAGTTCAGAACTGTTTAGGAAGAAATACCTTTCTTTGGTAGTCTCTACCCTCATGAAATAACAGTTTGCTGTTAAGTAATAAGCCACACTTTTTGGAAGGTGTTCCACACTCAGAACCTTTTGGATGCAAAAAGGTCAGTGAATTGTATAAACCTTCTTCACACTTTCCATCTCCTCTAATTTGTGTTTCCAAATGCTGAGTCTGAATAGATTAACTATCATTTCTCAATCTGGCTAATTAGTGCATATAAGTAATTAATATTCTTACTTTCTAAATGCTATGAGTTTTTCACAGTCCCTCCCATGTATTGTAACACTCCCATGTATTATAACTGCCATGTATTTATAATATGTGTTATCTTTACTATAATTATAACGTGTATTATAAATGTGGCTATTGTCATAACCACATTTTTAATTAAGATAAGCAATATCCATGAAAATAATATTTTATACATCACTGTGTTTGATGGCCTTCTCCCAAATTCTGATCAAAATGCCTGCAAAAATACAAGTGAAAAATCCAAATAGCTACAAAATGTAACTATTATTTATGTATGAAATCTGAGAGAGAAATATAAAATATATATGTATGTTATTAAAAGGTCTGTGGGGCATATTTATTTTGTAGTCAGATATGTATGTAAAACCATTGAATGTACACATGTCAGAGAAAACTCAGTGTGGAACAGAGAGAAATATTCTCTTCAAAATATTTTTAATGGATACATCATAGTTGTACATATTTATGGGATACTTGTGATATTTGATAGAAGCATACAAGGTATAATGATCAAATCTGGGTAAGTGGGATATCAATTACCACCAACATTTGTCATCACTGTGTGTTGGGAACATTTCAAATATACTCTTCTGTCAATTTTGAAATATAAAATAAATCGTTAATTATATTCATCCTATTGTACTACCAAGCACCAGATTTTATTTCTTCTACCTAACAGTATTTTTGTAACTTATTAACCACCCCCTTTTTCTTCTGTCTCCTCACTACCCTCTTCACCCACTGGTGACCACTATTCTACTCTCCACCTCCGTAAGATCCACTTTTGTAGCTTCCACATGTGATTGAAAACATGCAGAATGTGTGCTTCTCTGCCTGGATTATTTTACTTAACATAATGTCCTCCAGTTCTAGCCATGTTGTTGCAAATGACAGAATATCTTTTTTTTTTTCCAAAGGTGGAATAGTAATTCATTGTGAATATATACTACATTTTATTTATCCATTCACCCACTGACAGATATTTATGTTGATTTTGCATGTTAGCTATTGGGAATAGTGCAGCAATATGAGTATAAGTAGATTAACCATCATTTCTTAAGCTGGCTAATCAGTGCATATAATTAATGATTCATATTCATAGTTTCTAAATGCTATGAGTTTTTCCCAATTTCTCACCTGTATTATAACACTTCATTATCACAACCACATTTTCATATTGAGATCGACAATATGAATGAAAATAATATTTCACACATCACTGTCTTTGATATATGCTGCATTACAAGCATGGGGGTGCAGGTATCCCTTTGATATATTGCTTTTCTTTCTTTTGGATAAATATCCAGCAGGTGGATTGCTGGATCATATGGTAGCAATATTGTTAGTGTTTGGAGGTAGCTCTCTGCTGATTTCCATGGAGGCTGTACTAGGGATGCCAAGGAGAAAGGAAGAGCGGTGTCTCCTCTCAAGGTTGCATAAGTGAATCAATGACTTGGTGATGAGTGAGGTGTGGTTTTCGAAGGCCAATAATCTTATTTGGAGACCACCACGGTCATAGAACAATTTCTGTTAACTGAATGCAATAAGGTATATCTTCGAATGGTGATAAAATACACTATCTGATATACTTTGCATCAACCACTCATGAGGTTGGACAATGGGTGTCACCCAGTTTAGAAATTTGTTTCAGACTTAAAGACTTGCAGTGGACACTTTAATACTCTAGGCAGAGGCTCCTCCTGTACCTACATGGCGTGATGCTTCCCTTCACCCCAGGCCTTTCAATTCAGTGTCTATGAGGGTGGTTTAAGAGCATTCTCCTGGCTGGGACTGGTGGCTTAGGCCTGTTGTCCCAGCACTTTGGGAGGCCAAAACAGGTGGATCAACTGAGGTCAGGAGTTTGGGACGAGCCGGCCAACATGGCAAAACCCCATCTCTACTAAAAACACCAAAATCAGTTGTATTGCTTATATTATATTAGTTGTATTTCTTATATTATTAGGTGTGGTGGTGTACCTTTACCCTAAACTACTTGGGAAGCTGAGGCAGAAGAATCATTTCAACCTGGGAGGTGGAGAGATTGTGCCACTAGAAGCCAGCCTGGGCAACAGAGCAAGACCCTGTCAACAACAACAACAAAAAAAAAAAAAAATAAAGAAAGAGAGAAAGAAAGGAACAAAGAAAAGAAGAAGGAAAGAAAGGAAGTAGGAAAGAAAGGAAGTAGGAAAGAAAGAAGGAAAGAAAGAAAGAAAGAAAGAAAGAAAGAAAGAAAGAAAGAAAGAGAAAGAAAGAAAGAAAGGAAGAAAGGAAGGAAGGAAGGAAGGAAGGAAAGAGGGAGGGAGGGAGGGAGGGAAGGAAGGGAGGGAAAGTGAAAGCAAGCAAGCAAGCAAGCAAGCAAGCATTCTTCGTATCAAAACTTCTGCGTACAAGTGTTCTCCTGAAATTCTATTTCCCAGGGAACCCTAAGATCAGGGTAGTGTGAATAACTCTATGGTAAATAAGTATATGATTTTAAATAACTGTATGATTTTAAAATATGTTTTCTTTTTATATAATTTTTTTTTTTTTTTTTAGGCTGAGTCTCGCTCTGTCGCCCAGGCTGGAGTGCAGTGGCATGATCTCGGCTTACTGCAAGCTTCCCCTCCCGGGTTCATGCCGTTCTCCTGCCTCAGCCTCCGGAGTAGCTGGGACTACAGGCACCTGCCATCGGGCCTGGCTAATTTTTTTTTGTATTTTTAGTAGAGACAGGGTTTCACCGTGTTAGCCAGGATGGTCTCGATCTCCTGACCTCGTGATCCGCCCGCCTCAGCCTCCCAAAGTGCTGGGATTACAGGCTTGAGCCACCGCGCCCGACCTCTTTTTTTTTTTTTGAAACGAAGTCTAACTCTGTTGGCTCTGTTGCCCAGGCTGGAGTGCAGTGGTGCGATCTCGGCTCACTGCGAGCTCCGCCTCCTGGGTTCATGCCATTCTCCTGCCTCAGCCTCTCAAGTAGCTAGGACTATAGGGGCCTGCCACCACTCCTAGCTTATTTTTTTGTATTTTTAATAGAGATGGGGTTTCACCTTAGCCAGGATGATCTCGATTTCCTAACCTCAGGTCATCCGCCCTCCTGGGCCTCCCAAAGTGCTGGGATTACAGACGTGAGCCACAGCTCCCAGCCATATTTTTATATAACTATTTATCCTCAGCTTCGGCTGCCATTACAAAGTTTCACAGACCGGGCTGCTTGAACAAAAGACATTTATTTTCCTTGAACCCTAATACCAGCCTAGTGTAAATAACTTTATGATTTTAAAATGCGTTTTCTTTTCATATAATTAGTTATGCTTATAGTATTATTAGTCAGCTTGGGCTTCCATAACAAAGTCCCACAGACCGCACTCCTTGAACAACAGACATTTATTTTCTCACAGTCCTGGAGGCTGGAAGCCAAGACCAAGGTGTGGGCAAGGCTGGTTCCTTCTCAGGCCTCTCTCTTTGGCATGTAGAGACCATCTTCTTCCTATGACTTTGTATGATCATCCATCTGTGTACGGTGTCTGTGTCCTAATCTTGACTTTTTTTTTAATTTGTATTTTTTGATACAAGATCTCACTCTGTCCCCCAACCTGTAATGCAGTGACACGATCATGGCTGACTGTAGCCTTTGCCTCATGAGCTCAGGTGATCCTCCGACATTAGCCACCCAAGTAGCTGGTACTATAGGTTTGCACCACCATGCCCAGCTAATTTTTGTTTGTTTGTTTTTTGTAGAGTCAGTTTTCACCATGTTGCCCAGGCTGGTTTCAAACTCCTGGACTCAAGCAATCCAGCCTCCTCAGCCTCCCCAAAAGTTGAAATTACAGGCATGAGATACCAGGCCTGACCAATCTATTTTATTTTTATTTTATTTTATTTTATTTTATTTTATTTTATTTTATTTTATTTTATTTTATTTTATTTTATTTTATTTATTTTATTTTATTTTATTTTATTTTATTTTATTTTTTGAGATGAAGTCTCCCTCTGCTGCCCAGGCTGGAGTGCAGTGGCACGATCTTGGCTCACTGCGAGCTCCGCCTCCTGGGTTCTCGCCATTCTCCTGCCTCAGCCTCCCAAGTAGCTGGGACTACAGGCGCCTGCCACCACGCCCGGCTAATTTTTTGTATTTTTAGTAGAGACGGGGTTTCACCGTGTTAGCCAGGATGGTCTCGATCTCCTGACCTCGTGATCTGCCTGCCTCGGCCTCCCAAAGTGCTGGGATTACAGGCATGAGCCACTGCGCCCGGCCGTCAATCTTCTTTTCTTATAAGGACAGCAGTTCTATTGGTTCAAGGCCCACCCTAGTGACTTTATTTTACCTTAATCCCCTTTCAAAGACCCTATTTACAAATATAGCCAACATAAGGAGGTCTTAGGGGTTAGGATTTCAAAATACACGTTATTCCTGGGAACACAATTCATTCCATAGCGCCTAAGAATGACTAAAATGTCTTTTTGAATTTCCAGTTTTCCTACCATATTTTAAGACACTGCATCCTTTGTCGGAAAAAAAAAAAAAGATTAAGAAGAGCATTGAAAGGAGATTTCAAAGTAGGACTGTAAAGAAATAATGCAACTTATAATTTTACTATCAATTATTTTCTATATAATATGTTTATATAATATTTTCACATATATATGTACACAGATTAGTGTACATGGACTACCTAATCATCCTTTATCTACCATCTATCTATGTACCTATTAGTCTATTAATTATCTATCTATAATCTATCTACACTATGTATGTATGTATGTATCTATCTATCCATCTATCACCTGTCTACCTATCTATGTATCCCTCTACCTTATGTATCTACCTATCTTATCTATTTACATCTTTCAGCCTACCTATCTACCTCTCTAATCTATGTATCCATCTAATCTATGTACCCATCTACCCATTTATCTATCTGCTACCTATGCTGTTTATCTATCATCTATCTACCTGTCTAATCTATCTGTGTATGTATGTATGTATGTATGTATCTATCTATCTCCTGTCTATCTATGTATATATCCCTCTACCTTATCTATCTATCTACCTATTTTATCTATTTACATTTGTCAGCCTACCTATCTAACTCTCTAATCTATGTATCTATCTGGTCTATGTACCTACCTACCCATTTATCTATCTGCTACCTATGCTGCTTATCTATCATCTATCTACCTGTCTAATCTAGCTGTGTATCTATGTATCTATGTATCTATCTATCTATCTATCATCTATTAATCTATCATCTATCTAATCTATCTTTTTATCCACTAATCCATTTACTATCTATCATCTATCTTTCATCTATCAAACTATGTACTCATCCATCTATTTATATCTATCTATGTATCTATCAATCTACACTGGAATATTATTCAGCATTATAAAAAATGCAATCTTCCCATTTGCCATAGCATGAATGGACCTGGAGGACCATATACTAAGGGAAATAAACAAGATGCAGAAAGAAAATATTACATGATCTCACCCCTATGTATAAGCTAAAACAAACAACCAATCAAACAAAAAATAGTCAAAGATACAGAAATAGGGTATAAAACTGTGAATATCAGAGGCAAGGCTCTAGAGGAAATTGTGGAGATGTAGCTCAAAGGATACAAAGAATCAGATATGTCGAATTAATAGAAAGGTAATGTATATCACGAAGTCTACTGCGAATAAAATTGCATTTTATTAGAGATTTTGTCAAACAAGTAGATTTTAGCTGATCCCGTCACTAAACTATAACTGTGTAAGATGATAGGTATGTTAGTTTGCTTCACTATGGTAACCAACTTATTATCTGTTGGTATCCCATAACCTCATTATGTTATCCTTAAATATACAAAATTAAATATATTTAAAATAAAATACTGTTTTTAAAAAAAACCACAAGGGCACTGGACATATAAGGATCCAAGAAGGTGAAAATGATACAGACAGCGACAAGAGGAGCAATAATGTTCTGTAGGTAGCTGTCGAACATGTGCGTTTCCTCTTTCCAGGATTGTATTTCACACATGCTTGGGGGATCTTTCTCTGTATGTACACTGCTACGATTTTCAAATATTTCCCCCTTAACAGTGCCCACACCTATTTTCTTTAGTGTAATGAATTGAAACAATATTTCCTGGACAGGCACATGGTGGTTCACACCTGTAATCCCAGCAGGAGACTAAGAAGGGAGCATCACTTGAGGCCAGGAGTTCACTACTAACCTGGCCAACATAGCAAGATCCCATATCTGCAAAAAATAAAAAAGAAACAATGTTTCCTGTATTTTTCAACTGGGTAGACAGGAAAGACAACTAAGAGAATGGATATTGATGTTTAACCATATGCTGTGACATGAAGGGCATTAAGGTGGCATGAAATCCATCTTGCCTTCCAGAATTAATTTTTTTGTAAATGTAGAGCACGTCCAGTATTACATAATTAGCCAAAAGAGGAACCAATGCTAAGTACCACATTTTCGGTATGCTATTAAGAAGAAAGTCAAATATATGTAACATGAATTATCCAATTTATACTGATCTGGGTTAGAATTGATGAACTACAGACCACTTATATTATACTAGCTATATAAGGAAAAAAATAGATTTTTATTGAAGACTACTAAATATGCATAGTTCCTCTGATGAAGTTTAATTTCTATACCTGAAATTACTTTAATCAAAGAAAAATCATCTTGATATAGCAAATACAAGTGACTTATCTCCTAATTTCACACATCATCATCTCCCTGCTTGCTACTGATGCAGTTAATCAAACTGAGAAATCTGAAGAATTGATGTCCCTATAAATATTAACCATTAATTTTTCTTCAGAAATACATTTCATAAATATATCTTCATGTAGAAATATGTAAAGATATTTTCTTTTTGTTATGAATATCATCCATTTTTTATCTAGTGTACTTTATATATCTTGTATACCCAACAAATAGATAATTATTCGTGAAAAAATATGGAGAACAATGTTTGGAGGATTAAAAAAGAACATAAACTTAACATGTAACCACATTTTGGATCCAAATTTCTAAATGTGCTTCAGTCTTAAATCTGCAAGCTTTACTGTACACCGTAAAAAGACATCTATATTTTTGTCTTATGAGTCAAATGTAGAATCAAAATAGCTGAACTGGGGAAATTTATCATTTTCACATTTAAAAAGTGTAATAACATCTTCTAATGAATTTTATGATGTATATCAGATGGATCAATGACATCTCTTTGAATCAGGCCAGGCACAGTGGCTCATACCTGTAATCCCAGCACTTTGGGAGGCCAAAGCAGGAAGATCATTTGAGATGAGGAGAGTGAGATCAGCCCGGGCAACATAGTGAGGCCTTATCTCTACAGAAAAAAAAAAAAGCAAAATTAGCTCTGTATGGTGGCCCATGCCTGTATTCTCAGCTACTTGAGAAGCCTTGGTTGGAGGATCACTTGGCTGCAAGAATGGGAGGCTGCAGTGAGTGATGATTGTACCACTGCACTCTAGTCTGACAACAGTGAGGCTTTGCTCTCCCCCACTGCCAAGCCCCTGCTGAAATAACTTATCACCTTGAATCAATTTTGTTTTCACCAATTTTCCCAATAATAATGAGGCATACTGAATTTTCTACTTCTTGGTCACTGAGAAACAATCTTAGAATGTTACTGAATATTTAATTTTGGTTTGTTGAAATAACTGGTTCCCAAGAACTTCTTAAGCCACAGAAAAAAAATATAAGTGCTCACAGATATTAGCCACATGTTCTTTTCAAGAAAGTACCTCCCAAGATTATTAAATGATATGCCATTAAAATACTTCCTAAAATTATTCAAATCATATCTAATGTGTGCATATCAATATCCAAGCAGAAAATTGCCACTTAGCAAATGGTAGAGTTCATTATCCAAGGGCAGTTAAGAGTTCTTCAAGGAAAATAGGAAGCCTGGCTTATGATGGTGTATTTTAAAAATATTTTAGTATTTTCTTGATCTATTTATGTTGAGATTTTTGGAAAATATTACTTTATAATCTTATATGTTTCTCGGCTTATCCATCAATTCAGGATCTACTTAAAACCTAAATTTGTTAATATGTCATTTATCCTCTCAGTCATTAATAGTCTTGACAAACTCTCAAATTTCAGTGTTTCTGCTTTCTAATCTGTTAGAACTCTCAACATGATGACAATGGCCATTCAGATGTTCTTAAATAGAAACTTTAAAACATTGCTCTCTTATTTAAAATCACCAATATGAAATCCCGTCTCTACTAAAAATACAAAAATTAGCTGGACACGGTGGCACGTGCCTTTTACTCATAGCTACTTGGGAGGCTGAGGCAGGAAAATTGCTTGAACTCGGGAGGCAGAGGTTGCAGTGAGCCAAGATCATGACACTGCACTCCAGCCTGGCAAAAGAGAGTGAGACCTCATCAATTATCTTTGAGTGTGTCTCAGTTGTGTGTATGTGTTCATGAGTAAAAATGCCACTGTTAAATCTATATCTATAAATATCTGTGGAAGTCTTAATTTAGATGTCTTTTACTAACTCTGTAAATATTAATATCTGTGTCTATGAAATCCATAATGATCCAATCTATATATGCAGTGACAAGAAAAACAAACTTATTATATGAAATGAGAGCTTTAGAATAGAGAAATATTTTATTTTTTACTTTATGCTTGCCTGAGTTTCATCTTTTGTCAAAAACTACACGTTACTTTATAATCATAAGAAAAGAAAGGAAAAATCAACTTAAAATGTCACATTATTGCTATAAGAGAAATGATGCATAAATTGTGTAAAAATAATTTCTGCTACAATAGTCTGTAAATAAGACAGGGTCTATAGCTGTTTTGTAAATAGGATCCCTTAATTTTAAGTCAAGCATTGCAGTGAGAAATGACAACTAATAAATGGTGCTATTAGTGGGCATTTATAACACAATGTTATGGTTTCATTTCCAGGAAATAAGCTAAATATATTTGCATTCAAAGACATGTCTTTTTCTTCTTGAACTAGTAAATACATGGAACAGTGTTTGTTTATATAATTACTTGATGGATAAATCAAGATTTTTAAACCCTACCATATGCAACTTCATTCTATTAGTGGATATGTATATGTTCCTTAATCACTATAATTTCTTTTTTATTTTTAAAATGATAGTGATAGGGTCTTACTATGTGCCCCAGCTTTTCTGAAACTCCTGGGCTTGATCTACCTGTCTCAGCCTCCCAAAGTGCTGAAATTGTGGGCCTAAGCCACTGCACCAGGCCAGATATTTTAAGGTACTTAAAATGATAAGAATGCATGTAAGAACAACCATATATTTAGAGATAAAGCGTATGATTATGCAACATTTTTAAAAAATATCATTTGATCAGTATATGTTTTTTGAATGATTGTACATAACAGTAGTAAATTTTTAAAGATCATAATGAATATTTAGGTGACAGTAAAAAGAAAAAATACCTTAAATGATAATTTTTGTTTTCATAGTTTTAATATATAAAACTATGAAAACTGATATATACAGTATAATTCTTCATTGTTTAGCAATAGAAAATCTTCATCCTTTGGAAAGAAATATATCTTATAAAATATTTCATACATAATATAATTAATTGCATATATAATATATTTATATATACACACAGACATACAAATCCACAGCCATATATACTTCATTCTTTTAATTTTTTCAGTGTACTCATGACATACAGAAATGTTGGAGGAAGTTATTCTAACATTTTCTCAGTATTTTACTCAAATAAAGTAAGAAAAAAATAGAGACTATTTAAATAGAAGAGTAAGTATTCACTTAAGGTACTTATATATATTTTAAGGTACTTAAAATGATAAGAATGCATGTAAGAACAACTATATATTTAGAGATAAAGCATATGATTATGCAACATTTTTTTAAAAATATCATTTAATAAGGAAATATTCCAACATCATCTAAAAGCTACTTTCCCAGCACACTTCCTTTTTTACTCCAGGATGGTAGGTTTATTCACATCCTGATGTTTTAATGGAAATTATAACCTTTGAAAATGTGTAGCTCTCAGCTCAAAAACTGGCATGAATACTTATTAGATACCTGAAGTTGGCAATTGACTAGCAATCTATGAATTTTATTTTTCTCACCTGTAAACTGAAGATCTCTATTGCCCAGATTTATTACAGAATAAAAGGAAATTTAATACTTAATTGGGAATATAGTTTTTATTTTTAAGAAAGTCAAAATTGATATGAGACACCATTCTTTGGAGAGAGAGAGAGAGAGAGATCTATAAAAGTAGTGTATTAGTTTGGTTCAAAATAAGTTGAGGGTTTGCCATTGAAAGTAATAGGAGAAACTGAAAGTAATAGACATTTTCAACATATAAAGAAATTCTTAATGACTCCAAAACCAAGGAGTCATTGAAAATTAGACTCTAGAATAAAAAGAAAAAAGCAAAATACTAACATTTTAAATATCAGGTATCTAGTTTTCTCTTTTTATTTGTGTTGAGTTTTTCTTTAATTGGACCTTAAAAGAGATAGTTCACTCTTGAGTTAATAAATTACATAAAAAAAGAAAAGAAAAAAGAAGCCTTTTAGATTCTTTGATTCTAGACATCAAAGATCTCTGTCTTCTGTGTTGTTGCTAAAATGATTATAGAGTTGTGAGGTTTTTATTAATTTATCAGTTGCATTGGAGGTTGAATTGCATTCTCTAGAGGCCAAATACATAAATAACATGTAGCAGAAAGAGTTATTTATGTGGGACATGAACTTTGACAGAGTCCCGCTTGCTCTTTAATTGTAACAGCAGTTAATGGATGGGAAAAACAAAAAGTATAGCTGAAAGGAAACGTGCTAATAGACAGTAGAACACTTTTAAATGCAGTGTTTTGTAATTAAATGTCTGGTTTGTTGGAGTAGAGAGCTCATGTTTCTGGGAACTTGATCACATCATAGATCAGTTAGTCTTACACCAGAAAATATTATTTGAAAGGTTAGGAAGACAAAAAATAAGAAATTCGTGAGATATGCAGAGATTACAGTTTAGAAAATTAGTGTCCAATACACAAACTGTTCACAGTTCATAAACTTGTGAACATAGTGTTGGGGATGCATTTACAGATAATTAATTACAGTGTTTTCTATTTCTACTGGTTTTTCGAAGGAGTGTCTGAACCACAAAGACATTGCTTTTGCTTAGTGTTTGACCCACATCCAAGGTCATTTCCTTTACAAAATTTTTTCCCAAGACCTTGAGAAGCACAAATCATCTATAAACGTCTACAAAAGTACCTGTAAATTGTGTATTCTGTAGAATATCTTACCAGTAACCTGGAAAAATAAAATCTGTAAGTGCTGTAGTAGCCTGTCTAGAAAAACAAGGGGAAATGGAGAGATATTCATGAAAATAGGCAAAGTTTCAGTAATGCAGAATAATGAAGTGCTGAAGATCCAATCTATAGCATAGTGACTGTAGATAATAACATATACTTGAAATTTCCTAACTGAGAATATATTAAGTGTTCTCACAACCATTTTCTCACATACACAGACACACACACACGCACACAGGTAATTATGTGAGGTGGTAGCTACATTTTCCTTGATCGTGGTAAGCATTTCACATTTCACAATGTATGGGTATATCAAAACATCACCTTGTCCACATTATATACCTACAATTTTTATGTGTGCATTACACTTCAATAGAAATGAAGGGGAAAAAGAAAAAAAATAAAGAAACACTATAATTTCTTTCAAAGACAATTTGGCGAGTTCTAATAAATAACTTAAATAAATGCCTGGGGTTTGCTGACTGCACAAAATAAATATTTAGTTGGAAAAATAAAGTTTTCATGACTTAAATGATAACTAGTCTGAGGTTTTTACCCAAATTAATATAACTATCTGAAGATGCAATTGTGATTTAAAAAACATAGATCTTTTCATTTCTAATATAAAATTATTGCCAAAATCATTTTTACATATTTTAGAATATTTTGGAAAAATGTTTATTTGAAAACAAGTTCTTTAAAATGTCTTAAAAAACGAAGTACTTAAAATAAATATTTTTTCAAAGATGGCTGAAAGAAAAGTTCCAATGGGCAACTCCCAGCACGATTAATGCAGAAGGCAGGTGATTTCTGCATTTCCAACTGAGGTATACAGCTCATTTCATTGGGACTGGTTAGATAGTGGATACAGCCCACAAAGGGTGAGGCAAAGCAGGGTCAGGCAATGCCTCACCCAGGAAGCACAATGTGTCGGGGAACTCCCTTTCTAGCCAAGGGAAGGCGTGAGGGACTGTGCCATGAGGAACAGTGCATTCTGGCCCAGATACTATGGTATTTCCACAGTCTTCACACCCCATGTACCAAGAGGTTCCTTCAGGTGCCTACACCAACAGGGACCTGGGTTTCAAGCACAAAACTGGGTGGCCGTTTGGGCAGACACTGAGTTAGCTGCAGAAGCTTTTTTTTCCGTGCCTCAGTGGTACCTGGAACACTAATGAGATAGAACTGTTCACCCCCTGAAAAGTGGGCTGAAGCCAGGAAGCCAAGTGGTCTAGCTCAGTGTATCCCACTCCCATGAAGCCCAACAAGCTAAAATCCACTGGCTTTAAATTCTCGCTGCCAGCACAGCAGACTGAAGTCAACCTGGGACACTCAAGCATGGTGGGGGGAGGGGCGTCCACCATTACTGAGGCGTAGGTAGGTGGTTTTCTGCTCACAGTGTAAACAAAGCTGCCTGGAATTTAGAACTAGGTGGAGTCCACTGCAGCTCAGAGAAGTTGCTTTAACAAGACTGCCTCTCTAGATTTCTTCTCTCTGGGCAGGGCATCTCTGAAAGCAATGCAGCAGCCTCAGTCAGGGGCTTATAGATAAAACTTCCATTTCCCTGAAACAGTGCAGCTGAGGGAAAGGGCAGCTATTGGCACAGCTTCAGCAGTCTTAAATATTAATGTCTACTGGCTCTGAAGAGAGCAGCAGATCCCCCAGCACAGTGCTCGAGCTTCGCTAAGGGACAGACTGCCTCCTCAAGTGGGTCCCTGAACCCTGTACCTCTTAAAGGGAGATACTTCCCAGCAAGGGTAAACAGACATCTCATACAGGAAAGCTTTGGCTGGCATCGGACGGGTGTGCCTCTGGGACAAAGCTCCAAGATGAAGGAACAAGCAGCAATCTTTGTTGTTCTGCAGCCTCCACTGGTGATACCTGGGCAAGGAAGGTCTGGAGTGGACCTACAGCAAACTCCAGCAGACCTGCAGCACAGGAGCCTGAGAGTTAGCAGGAAAACTAACAAATAGAAAGGAATAGCATCGACATCAATAAAAAGGACCTCCACACAAAAACCCCATCTGAAGGTCACTAACATCAAAGGCCAAATGTAGATAAATTCAGGCAGATGAGGAAAAAACAGTGCAAAAAGGATGAAAATTACAAAAACCAGAATGCCTCTTCTCCTCCAAAGGATCACAGCTCCTCGCTTAGCAAGGGAACAAAACTGGATGGAGAATGAGTTTGACAAATTGACAGAAGTGGTCTTCAGAAGGTGGGTAATAACAAAGTCCAAGCTAAAGGAGCATGCTCTAACCCAATGCAAGGAAGATAAGAACCTTGAAAAAAAGGTTAGAGGAATTCCTAACTAGAATAATAAATTTAGAGAAAAATGTAAATGACCTGATGGAGCTGAAAAACACAAAAATGAGAACTTTGTGAAGCATTTGCAAGTATCAATAGCAAAGAAATCAAGTAGAAGAAAGGATATTAGGGATTGAAGATCAACTTAATGAAATAAAGCATGAAGACAAGATTAGAGAAAAAAAATGGATGAAAAGGAACGAATAAAGCCTCTGAGAAATATGGGGCTATGTGAAAAGACCAAACATACATTTGCTTGGTGTGCTGAAAGTGACAGGGAGAATGGAACCAAGTTGGAAAACACTCTTCATGATATTATCCTGGGGAACATCCCCAGCCTAGCAAGACAGGCCAACATTCAAATTCAGAAAATACAGAGAATACCGCAAAGATACTTCTTAAGAGGTGAAACCCCAAGACACATAATCATCAGATTCACCAAGGTTGAAATGAAGGAAATAATGTTAAGGGCTGCCAGAGAGAAAGGTCATGTTACCCACAAAGGGAAGTCCGTCAGACTAAGAGCAGATCTCTCTGCAGAAATCCTACAAGCCAGAAGAGAGTGGGGGCCAATATTCAACATTCTTAAAGAAGAATTTTCAACCCAGAATCTCATATCCAGCCAAACTAAGCTGCATAAGTGAAGCAAAAATAAAGTCTTTTATAGACAAGCAAATGCTGAGGGATTTTGTCACCACCACACCTGCCTTATAAGAGCTCCTGAAGGAAGTACTAAATATGGAAATGAAAAACTGTACCAGCCCCTGCAAAAATATACCAAATTGTAAAGACCATTGACACTTTGAAGAAACTGCATCAACTAATGGGCAAAATACCCAGCTCGCATCATAATGACAGGATCAAATTCACACATAACAATATTAACCTTAAATGTAAATGAGCTTAATACCCAAATGAAAGACACAGACTGTCAAATTAAATAGTCAAGACCTATCAGTGTGCTGTATTCAGGAGACCCATCTCATGTGCAAAGACACACATAGGCTCAACTCATTACTTTAGGAATGTATTTACTGTAAAAATGTAATGGTTGCATTACTTTTGAATGAAACTATTATGTATGTGTGTGTCCACACCTACATATATAGAAGTGATAAACAGTGAACTTTTAATAATTATGATAATCCAGGAAAAAAATTAACACTTGCTGATGTTAGAAGCTATGATTCTTACAATGAAAAAATATATCCAAATAAAAGAACCTATACATTAAGTCCTTATAGGAATAGCTTGGAAAGGTAAGTATGAGTGTGAGTTGATCATTTCTAAAATATACATCTGTAAGTATATTTTCCAGTACATGTGCATATGTATATCTGTAGGTGTATGTATGTAAGCCCACACATTTGCGTATCAGTGCATAAATACATATAATTCCTAGATCACTTCACTGAAATATCCAAGAAGAAAAGACACCCATTAGCAGTGAGCACACACTAGCATCCAGATCATTTGTCTCTTACTTGACTTCATTATAGATACAACCAACTCCAGTTTTGTAGCTGTGTAGTTATGAAAAAAGCCTGAAATATCTTCAAATATGTCAAAATGTGAGAAAGTGCTCAACAATATTATAAGGGCATGTCAGAGGGACATAGGAGCTAGGGTGAAGAACATCCCCTTTCTGTGATAATTTAAGTACTAAATAAAATAAGTACAATAATAAATTATAAACCTTTCAAAAAACAGAAATGCATCTTTCCAAATTGAATACAAATAGATATGTATTTGTATGTATCTATATATACATTCAAATATATATGCATATGTATATAAACTCATATACAATGTGTATATGCATACATTAATATACACAAAATGTATATATGTATGTATGTCTGTGTGTGTATGAAAAAATAACTGTTTATAATAAAATGCCCAGTCCTAACAGCTAAATATGGCACAAATGCTGTTGTTCAGGGATTCCTCTGGCACCGGAATTCACACTGGCACGTCAGGAGGTGAGCAGTGGGTGAGCAAGCCAGCAAAGCTTCATCTGTATTTACAGCCAGTTCCCATCACTTGCATTACTGCCTGAGCTCAGCCTCCTGTCAAATAAGCAGCCGTATTTGATTCCCATAGGACCTTGAGCCTTATTGTGAACTGCGCACGGGAGGCATCTATGTTGCACACTTCTTATGAGAATCTAATGTTTGATGATCTGCCACTGTCTTCCATCACCCCCAGATGGGATTGTCTAGTTGCAGGAAAACAAGCTGAGGGCTCCCACTGATTCTGCATGATGGTGAGTTGTATAATCATTTCATTATATATTGAAATGTATCAATAATATAAATAAAGTGCAAAATAAATGTAATGTGCTTGAGTCATCCTGACATCCGCCAGCCAAACCCCAGCTCATTTGTGGAAAAATTGTCTTCCATGAAACTGGTGCCTCCTGTAAAAATGTTGGTGGACTGCTGATATAACTGGAAAAAATATGTACATAATTATATAACCACCATGGTATAGTTCGGCTATCAAATCTTTTTTTTTTCAACTTTTATTTTAGATTCAGTGGTATATGTGCAGGTTTGCTACATGGGTAAATTATGTCACAGAAGTTTGGTATACAGGTTATTTCCTCATCCATGTAATTAGCATAGTACCTGATAGGTAGTTTTTCAATCCTCTCACTCCACCTAGTCTCCACGCTTGAGTAGGTGCTAGTGTTTATTATTCTCTTCTTTGTGTCCATGTGTAACCAATATTTGGCTCCCACTTGTAAGTAAGAACATGCAAGGTTTGGTTTTCTGTTGTTGTGTTAGTTCACTTAGGATAACAGCTTTCAGTTCCATCCTTGTTGCTGCAAAGGACATGATCTCTTTCTTTTTTAGGACTGTGTAGTATTCCATGGTATATATGTACTATATTATTTTTTATCTGGACTATCAAGTCTTACTAAATATAGAGGGAAATTTTTTTCTTCAACTTTAAATTTCAGGGGTACATGTACAGGATGTTCAGTCTTGTTACATAGTAAATGTGTTCCATGGTGGTTTGCTACACAGATCATCCCATCACCTAGGTATTAAGCCCAACATCCATTAGCTATTCTTCCTTATGCTCTCCCTGTCCCCATCCTAACTCCAGTCTGCCCCAGTGTGTGTTCCCCTGCATATGTCCATGTGTTCTTATCATTCAGCTCCCATTTACAAGTGAGAACATGCGGTACTTAGTTTTCTGTTTCTGCATTACTTTGATGAGGATAATGGCTTCCAAATCCATTCATGTCCCTGCAAAGACATGACCTTTTCCCTTTTTATGGCTATATAGTATTCCATGGTGTATATGTACCACATTTTCTTTATCCAGTCTAGCACTAGTAGGCATTTAGGTTGATTTGATGTCTTTGCTATTGCGAATAGTGCTGCAGTGAACATACACATATATGTATCTTTAAAATAGAATGATTTATATTCCTTTGGGTATATATCCAATAATGGAATTGCTGGGTCAAATGGTATTTCTGTCTTTAGGTCTTTGAGAAATGACTACACTGTCTTCCACCACAGTTGCACTGATTTACATTCTCATCAATCGTGTAAAAGTTTTCCTTTTTCTCCACAACCTCAGCAGTATCTGTTGTCATTTGACTCTTTGATAATAGTCATTCTGACTGGCATGAGATGGTATCTCATTGTGGTTTTGATTTGCATTCTCTAATGATCAGTGAAAGGAGGTATTGGCATGGCGGTAAAGTACCTCCCTACTGAGATACTTTTGTTTCTGAGGAGGAAAATAATATTTATTCAAAGGAGACCTCCAGCAATGATCCAATGGAGTGATCCAAATTACCAGCAGCAAGAAGTGGCCAATGGCTACTTTGAGTAGAAGTCCACAGCACCGGTTGCATAAGCCACCTGAGAATGCATAGCCAGGATCTCATTACAGGGAAGCAAAAGAAACAAGCCAACAATAAACAAACAAGGAAGGAAAAAAGCACTATATTACTTACATTTGTACCAAAATAAATGATCTATTTGGAGATGTGTTTACACATGTAAGATCTACATCGGGGTACTTGTCCATGTCCTGTTAGAAACTGGGCAGCACAACAAGAAGTGAATGGTTGGTGAGTGGGCAAAGCTTCATCTGTATTTACAGCAGCTCTCCAATGCTCACGTTACCACCTGAGCTCCACCTCCTGTCAGATCAGCAGAGGCATTACATTCTCATAGGAGCATAAACCTTCTTGTGAACTGCACATGCAGTGGATCTCAATTGTGCACTCCTTATGAGAATGTAATGACTAATAATCAGTCCTGTCTCCTATCACCCCCAGATGGGGCCATCTAGTTGCAAGAAAACAAACTCCATGTTCCCACTGATTCTACATTATGATGAGTTGTATAACAGTTTCATTGTATATTCCAATGTAATAATAATAATAATAATAGAAATCAAGTACACACTATATGTAATGCTCTTGAATCATCTCAAAACCATCCCTCTAACTCTAATCCATGGAAAAATTGTCTTCCACGAAACCAGTCACTGGGATCAAAAAGGTTGGGGACCACTGAGCTATGTTAAAAACTAGCAAACAAATAAACAACAAAACATTGATGAGAGTAGTTAATAAATATATAAACATTGCATTGTGCTGTATCACCAGCAAAGGAAAATAATCAGAAATAACTTACTTTCTGCCAAAAAATAACAACGTCAATAACAACAAAGTCAGGCAGTGATGTTCTTATCTTTCTTTACCCTTTCTCTATTTTTATTTTAATCACCTGTAATTTCTTGTAATGCCTAAAGTTTTAGAATCAATGGGGCAGTTTTCTGTTCATTTTCATGCCTGGATGTTTTCCTAGTTGCTAAGCCTTGTGGTAGGCTCAACTTTCCCAAGTGCAGCTTCCATTGAAGTGCTAGGCAGATATCCAGCATCCAGTACTCATTATCTGTTCTCAAGGCTTTGATTTGTAGCAAGAGTCCTGGTAGGCAATACTTTTGCTCTCATGAGTTGCATTCTTTTGGGCATTGGGTGTAAAATATGCAAGAAAATAAGCAAATACATAAACAGGTGACTTCAGGAAGTGAAAAATTTGCAAAGCAAATAGAGGAGTAGATGTCAGAGGGATGAAATGATGTCTAATTATGATAGGGTAGCCTGGTGGGGAGTGATTTATGTTGAGTCTTGAATGATGAAAATAACATAACCCTTTGAAGATAGAAGAAGGAACGTTTGAAAAGTGTGCAACCAGCACATGTGCTCTGCTGAATGGTGGAGCTAAGCAGGTTCTAGCACAAGAAGGACAATGAGTGTGGCTATAGCTGTGAGCTGCAGAGACAATGGAAATTGATGAATTAGGAGGTAAACAAGGAAGTAGATTGTGTAGGAAATTAAGGGCCATGGCTCAGCTTTCCACTTATCATAAAATAAATGAGAAGCAATTGCTTTATTTTCAGGGGAGACAGCAAGAATCTAATTTGCGTTTTTACCAACACATCAGAATTTTAGAAGCCATGTTTATTTTTCACTTGAGGTTAGTAGTGTTTGTTATACTAATACAGCAGTTCTCCCTTATCCACAGGGGATATGTAAAAAGAACAAATGCTCACCTCTCGCCACCAGTGGATGTCTGAAATCTCAGATAGTAATAAAATATTTTTATATATACAGTTTTTTCCTATACATATGTACTTATGGTAAAGTCTAATTTATAAATTAACAACAAATAATATTAAAATAGAACAATTATAAATATGCTCTAATAAAAGTTATGTGAATATGCACTCACTGCTGCATATCTTATGCACTTTACCATGAGTAACTGAAACTGCAGAAAGTGAAATCATAAATAAGGGGGAACTACTGTATAGTATAACACAACAATTTCATTTTTTTGTTGTTGTTTGGAGACAGGGTCCTGTGCTGTTCCCCAGGCTGAAGTGCAGTGATGTTATCATGGCTACCTGAAGCCTCAGTCTCCCAGGCTCAAGATATCCTCCCACTTCAGCTTCTCAAAAATACTATACACACACACACACACGCACGCACACACACACATATATGTACACACACATCCATATATATGTGTGTGTATATGTGTGTGTGCATGCATGTGTGTGTGTGTGTGTGTGTGTGTGTGTATATATATATATATTAGAGAAAGGGTCTCCCAGTATTGTCCAGTCTGGTCTTAAACTCCTGGAATGAAGTGATCCTCCTACCTCAGTAACCCAAAGTACCGGGATTGCAGGTGTGAACCACCACACCTGGCTGAGAATTTTATAATTTCATTACTATTATTAACATCTGTGAATTAGACTCCTCACATGTCATACATGGTTTGGAATTTTTAAGGTATGACTTGAAGTAAATTTTTAATTTAAAACATGTTATGACAGTTCTTCAAAGAGATTCAAAGTCGATTAACGAAGAGTTAGTACACAAATAAATATTATTGAAACCAGAATTCATCAATGATCATTTTAATAAATAACCCATATTTGAAATATTTAATTTAGAATTTATGTTTTATCATGCTCTCTACACTAATAATGATTGTTTTAATTTTTGGATATTTATGAGAAGATAATTGGTTTCAAATATTTGGATGATTTAAACTACTTTTGTACCATTTTCTTCTTAATCAAAAATAAATAAGAAATCAGCTTTGTTAACTTAGCTAGGTATGTTTATCTTAAAAGATGAGTAAAACATTACCCTATTTTATCTTATCTTGCAGATTTAAGATTATAAATATATGTTTATCAGCTCTTTCTTTTCATTTTCTTCCTGGAAATCCACATTTCCACTATGTTATTCATAAGGAAATCACTATAGATCAAGCAATTATTATATAGATGACACAAAAAGATGTGGATGAACAAACAGATTTGTCAGAAAAATGTGTAATAATTAAATATTTGAATGCAAATGACTACAGAGAAATGTTTCGGAGGCATTCTTTGTGGAGTTCATAGGCAGTTTATTCCATGGATTTGAAGAAATCAAACTTGTATCAATTTTAATTTCTAAAGCAAATCGAGTACAATTTGGAAAAATAAGGAAAAATTATTATTGTGAAAAATATGTCTGATGGAAATCTTAGAATTTTCGTACCTTACTTAGAAACAGTAACATGTTATTTCAGCTTTTTATTTTTCTACTTTCTTTTTCATGAGATATAACCAAAACTATTTCTAAAAAACAAACATGTAAACACAACGTCAACCACACAGACTTTCATCATCACCAAGTAACGTGACTTGCAAGAAAGACACTTGAAGTCCTCATAATTAAAATAGATAATAAGCCAACTGGAAGTTCTTATTACTTTCCACCAATTCATGTTCCTTGTGAAGTTAAGAAATATATTGGAAATGTGATATCCAATCTATGTTCTTTTGAAAGACAAAGTTATAACATTTGAAAGTCACATTTGTAAAAGTTAATGTGAAGTTTCACATGTAATAATAGGACAGAATCTGATCTGTAAATATAAGTGTGTTTACTCAGGGTAACTGCAATATTAGTCTCCTGTAATTCCTGACTGTTTCACTGTCCATTCCTCTTTAAAATATATCTGAATTCCAGGGATAATTAAGATATCTTTACAATTTAAACTTTTTTTTTTCCAACGGGCAAAATTTATTGACAAGCGGATATCTAACTTATACATGCAAGTCCACAAGTTTGTTTCCATTTCTTCAATAAATGTTAAATATAGATGCACTATTGAACAGAGAATATACTAATTCCTTGTTATTTGATGATATGCCTATCTAACTAAGAGCCAGACATCCTGGTTAGCAGTGCTTAGCTAAAGTAAATTTGATCATTTATTTT
Organism: Homo sapiens; assembly: GCF_000001405.40. NCBI lineage: Eukaryota > Metazoa > Chordata > Mammalia > Primates > Hominidae > Homo > Homo sapiens. The sequence continues at coordinate 16,797,934 of NC_000024.10, forward strand.
ATTCCTTACATACACATAAAATAATTTAAAGTCTTCAACTATCTGAGAATAGCATAAAATAAAAGAGTTTAGTTTCTTGGGGAATGTCATTTGTTCTACCCACAGGCATGCCCAAGAAGTTTATACAGAGCTTTGCAATTATTTTTTATGTAAGTCTTATGAATTTATGCTGCAGGGTGGGTTAAAAATAAACTAAAAATTAATGGAGAGGTAAAGAAAGTCCAATTGATGAAGAGAGTTCCAGAAAATGTAAGATTTGGAAATGAGAGGAAGTTCTTGGATAATTGAAAAGAGACAGAATTTGCACATATCAGGAGCACAGGAAGTAAAAGTTCTGTGTTGATGATAAATCTTGACAGAATGACGGAGGATAAGACTGAGCATCTTTTCAGGGTATGTGGAGAAAATTTAACTTTACATTTGATGGCATTGGCATACTAAAAATTTTACAAAGGAGAACACATGCCATAATCATTACAGCAATTATTGCTGCATTATAAAGAACAAATAGGAGACTGGTAGCCCAGAAAGATACAGAAATACTATAGAACTAGTCCAGTGTCAAAACATGAGAGCTGATAGGAGCTTAGGCTTGTGGAGACAGTTGGCTGGGAGATAAGAGGAGAGATTTAAAATGGAATGATCAAGAAAATTCAGAAGCATTTGAAGAGTGAATAGCTGTGGAATGTGAGGAAGACCATGAAGACATGATTCTACCATTTCAAAGTGTTCATTTGAGTATATGCAGGAATCATCTCCCCAAATGCACTTTGGTAAGATTAGGAGAAAGTTGAAAGGGACTTAGTTTTTTTAGTCTTACTTATATTAAATTTAAGATTAATTTTGAGAACATCCAATGCAATTTGTTGTATTAGTCCACCTACATGCTGCTAATAAAGACATTCCCGACACTGGGAGGAAAAAAGAGGTTTACTGGAGTCAGTTCCGTGTGGCTGGGGAAGCCTCACAATCATGGCAGAAGGCAAGGAGAAGCAAGTCACGTCTTACGTGGATGGTGGCAGGCAAAAAGAGAGCTTGCTCAGGGAAGCTCTCCCTTATAAAACTGTTAGAATCATCAAAGGCTGAAGAAAATGATAATGGAAATAAGTTATGTGGAGAATTGATAACTACTGAATGAGGTCTGTGGATTACAAATGTGGATTTCATGAGGCACATCAAGCAGAGCTGTTTCAGAGGCACAGTGTGTGAACGGAAAATATATTGGGCACCCAAAATCACTAAACTAAAGGGAAAAGTCAAGCTGGGAACTCCTTAGGGCAAATCTGTCTCCCATTCTATTCAAAGTCACCCCTCTGCTCACTGAGATAAATGCGTATCTGATTGCTTCCTGTATTAGTCCATCTTCACCCTGCTGATAAAGACATACCCAAGACAGAAGAAAGAAGTTTAATTGGACTTACAGTACCACGTGGCTAAGGAAGCCTCAGACACATAGCAGGAGGCAAAATACACTTCTTACATGGTAGCAACAAGAGAAAATGAGTAGGAAGCAAAAGCAGAAAGCCCTGATAAAACCATCAGATCTTGTGAGATTTCTTCACAACCAGGAGAACAGTATGGAGGCAACTGCCCCAATAATTCAAATTATCTCCTACTGGGTCCCTCCCACAACAGGTGGGAATTCTAGGACATGAAATTCTAGTTGAGATTTGGGTGGGGACACAGCCAAACCATATCACCTCCTCTGGAGAGGCTAATCAGAAACTCAAAAGAACACAACTGTTTGTCTCTTATCTACCTATGAACTGGAAGCCCCCTCCCCACTTTGAATTGTCCTGCCTTTCCAGATAGAACCAATGTTCTTCTTACATATGTTGATTGATGTCTCATATCTCCTTAAAATGTATAAAATCAAACTATGCTCTGGCGAACTTGGGAACATGTCATCAAGGGACCTCCTGTGGCTATATCATGGGCACGTGTCCTCAATCTTGGCAAAATAAACTTTTAAATTAATTGAGACATATCTCAGATTTTTGGGGTTCACAGGTGACAACTGATAGACTTCTCAGCATTTCCTGATACTGTAGTATCCATCATACTTATTAATTTGCTGTCTTCTTCATCACACCAAAACTTACAAGGAGCAGAAGCACGGTTTTTATTCATCCAAAACAAAATTTAGGTCTCATCAGAGTTTCTTCCTACCGTGTCTGTTAAAAAGTGTTTAGGGAGTGTTGCACTATGAGGGGGAGTTTATGCATGTCTACCTACTTATTCCCTTAAATTCTTCTCTCACAATGAGGTCTTTCATTAGTGAGTGTATCCAGGGTTTTACTGATGGAGAGCTTATGCTCAGTTTGAGTTCCCAATTTGGAAGTAGGGAGTTGGCTGAAAAGTGAACCACAGAGACTCCCAAAATTCCACATCTGCATTTGCTGGCAAGTTGGCGTAACAGGTACCACAAGGAGACAAACTCTAAGATGAAAGAAACACGATGAAAAAAAATCAAACCCACATTATTTTGTCATAATTTTGGAGATAGTTTGCATTTATTTTTTCTTTTTTGAATTTGGATGTATCCGTAAATGCTCATAATGGGGGTGCTAATTAATTTGTATCAATTGTTTGATAAATGGGAGACACTGATGTCTCAGTTGTTATGGTTTTTGGTGATGTTTTTGTACCCTGGGATTAAAATATAGCCTTGCTGTGAATTGTTGTGTTGTGTTACAAATGGCCTTTAAATCATTTAGCCTTTTCTTCTATTAAGTCTTGCTGTGAGTTGGTTTATTGTGTTACAAATGGCTCCAAAGACAAGATCTCTCTCTCTCTCTTTCTCTCTTCTTTTTCTCTCCTCTCTTTCTCTTTCTCTCTCTCTCTCTGTTTCTTTTCTTTCTCTGACTCATATCCTTGGCCTTTTCTTAAGTCTGTTGAGTCTTGCTGTGGACTGGTTCATTGTGTTACAAATGGTTCCAAAGACAAGGTTTCTCTCTCTCTCTCTTTTTCTCTCTCCCTTCCTCCACCCTTTCTTTGTCTTGCTCTCTCTCCCTCTTCTTTCTCTCTCTGAATCATATCACTGGACTTTTCCCATGTTTATTGCTTTGAAGTTCCACTTTCCATACCTCAGGACATTCATCTTAACAATTTGTCTTTAAATAATTGTGGGAGATACCAACCAAATATCCAAAGCATGCTGGCATGTGTTTGCTCATCTTCTCCACTTGGTCCTCCATCTCTATGTGCTCCGAGTTCTTTTCCTGATATCTTTTTATCCTTTGCTATCACTTCAGATTAATCTTCAGCTTTGCAATCTGATTTTTTTTTTTTTTAATCAAATAGAGTCAGCATGATTCTGGAGAGAGAATATCACCATGAAAATATATTGAGAAAATACAAATGCTATCACTTACCTAGTTTATAGTAAGTGCACTTATAGTTTGAATAATGCAGAAAAAACTTTACACAGATTCAAAAACAATGTATATGTATAGCCCAGTAGTTTTTCATGTTGATATATAAAAATACTATCTTTCATGTGATTCAGAATTTTAAACTGTCAAAATATTGGTCAAATTAGAATTTCATTAAAATATTTGAGTCTACAACAAAATAGGTATTGTGGATCAAACTACTCATTAAAAGATGACTCATGTTAAGTGTATTCTAGCTTTTAAAAATAAAATAAAAACAAATAAGTACCTATTAGAAATTCAAATTTACTGATGCTGTTTAGTAGTAAATTATACCAAAATGATAAAAAAGTATGCCAAAATTAAATAATCATTGTAGTTTCATTGTTGTAGATAGAAGATCACTAAAACAATCAATTTATGTTAAAACATTACCTTGGGTTTAATACTTTGTTCTGTTTTGTGGGATGTGTCAAATGTGAATTTACAAGGAAGATAAATTAGATAAATAATAGCCACCTAGTTACCTAATGTCTATATAATTTAGTTAGCTAGCTATCTAGATAGATGGAAGATAGATAGATGGATAGGTGAATTGATGAATGAATAAGTAGTGATCGATAGATGGATAGATAGTTAAGATAGGTGAGTGGATGAATGGAGACAGATAGATCGATAGATAGATAGATAGATAGATAGGAAATGTGGATGGATGAATGGATAAGCAGAGAGTAGATGGATGGATGGATGAATGGATGGATGGATGGATAGATAGATAAGTAGATAGATAAATGGATAGGTAGATACATAGATACATAGGCTAGATGGATGGATGAATGAATAGGTAGATAGTAGGTCGATGGATGGTTGAAAGGATAGGTAGGTAGATAGATGGATAGGTGGGTAGACAGACAGATACCTACATGCATACATCTGTACATAGATGGGATAAATTAAATAAATGATATATATATGTGTATATATATATATATACACACACACACACACACACACACACAAAGACACGAAGATAGACACATAGATGATAATTATTATTTTAAAGTTCAAGGTAAGATAAAATAACACATTGATGTACCCGTAGACAAGAGTTTAATTTTGGTTTTTATTGTGTTTTTTTATGTTCCACACAATTTTTGCAAAGTTAGGTGCAAACTTGCTATAAAAGCTGCTCATACATTTTGTGGTATTTATAAAAGTGCAGACGTAGCATATAAATAGGTAAGAGAAACTCCTTAAAAACGTCAGCCATTCATCCATTTCTTTTCTAATTGGTATTGCTTCTCTTTATGTACCTACAATGTCTTTTCATCTGCATTTAATTTTGTCTGTGGAGAATCACATGTGTTTCAGAGTGTGTTTCAGAGATATTTGGGAGATTCTAAAGCCTTTCTGCTCTTCTGCTATAACTAACTGTAACTACACTTGGAATAATAGTTTATTTATCGTCCATGTCACCCTCTTTAAGACAATCAAATAGTAATTGATACCAGTGATTATGTTCTCTATGCAGCAACCAACTTCTTTACAGTGAATTAGGGTCAAGGTATACAAACTTTCAGTTGTAAAATGTACAATTTCTGGGCATCTGAAGTATAGTATTGTAGTGATGGATTGGCATAATAATTTGATTGTAATAGCCATTACAAATATATATATGTTCATTATAGTCATTACAACATTATATATATTATATTCCTTACACTACATACATAGAATAGTGATTATACTGTATATATAGTAGTCATTACACTATATATAATAGTCTTTACAATATATACAATAATCGTTACACTATTACATATGTAACAGTCATTACATTATATATATTTTATAGTCCTTTACAATATGTATATTATACTCATTACACTATATACTTATTATAGTTGTTACACTTTTATATATAGTATACATAGACACCCACTATTATATGCTATTAAATTACCTGCCTTTTCAATTTAAGTCAATACATTATTATATGTAATAGTGTAATGATAATACACTATATTATCAATATATAAAAAGCATTACACTATTTCATGTATATGAAGTAATCATTACACTATTCTCTCTATATAAAATAGTCTTTACACTATTATATATTATAGTCATTACACTATATTATACTTATTACACTATATATTATTGTCATTACACTATTTTATGTATTGTAGTCATTACACCATGTGACAGTCTTTACACTATATATAAATATTTTATAGTTATTACACTATATATAATAGTGATTACACCATATTTTAATAATCTTACACTATAGGTAGTGTAATAGTCATATATAATAGTCAATAACTGTATGATAGTCATTACACTATATATAATAGCCATTAAACTACATATACATAATAGTCATTACACTATAAAGCAGTCAATACATTATATAATAGTAATTCTGCTATTATGCATATATTATAATCATTATACTATATATAATAGCCATTACGCTATGTATATATAATAGTCATTATACATATGTCATTACAGTCTATATATTATAGTTGTTATACAATATAGGTAATAGTGATTACACTATATATTTGTAGTTATTACACTATACGAGTTCAGCTGACCCATCGCTTGTTTTTTTAAATAAAATTTTATTGGAACACAGCCTCTCCCATTTGCTGACATATTGTCCATGACTGCTTCCACATGTTATCTTAAATTTAGCATAAAGCTGCTTCCTTACATGTTTTAAGTTCAGCCTAAAGATTTTTTTGTAAGTGAACTGTAACAGAACTCATTGTGCAGACTCTAACCTACTTGTTTTTTTTTTTTTTCTTTTAGTATGGAGGAGACAAGGTCTCACTCCATCTCCCAGGCTGGAGTGCAGTGGTGCAATCATGGCTCACCATAGGTACATGCCAGCATGCCCACTTAATGCTTTTTTGAAATACCTGTAGACATAGGTTCCAACTATGTTGCCCAGGCTGGTCTTGAACTCCTGGGCTCAAGCAATCCTCCCACTTTTGCCTCCCAAAGCGCTGAGATTATAGTTGTGGGCCACCATGCCCAGCCACCTACTTTTGTGCCAATCCAGCTCTTTGTAACTCACCTCTGTCATCTGTGAATTGCTTTCAATTTCCTGTCCATACATATTATGTGACCATAAGGCAGCCACAGAGTCACTCTGAATCTATTCTGGTCTGGGGGTCCGTTCATGAATCATTCTCTGCTCAGTGAAACTGTTAAATTCACGTTGTCTAAAATTTTTCTTTTAACCCACATTGCAATGGGAAAGTTGATTATCGTGATAGAGATGTGTAGCCCACAAAGTTAAAAAGATTTACTGTTTGGCTTTTTACAGAAAAAAAAAAAAGGAGGTAGAAAAGCCGGAAGAGAGATGAGATGTTCCTAACCTTAATGTTTATGTTTTCAGTGTCCTTCCTTCCCTCTCCCCTTCTCTGTCATTCCTTCTAACTCCTGGGATAGAAATTGGTTGTAGAGTAGTTCATTTTTTAGCACTCTGATAACACAGTTCTTTCTATGTCCTTTCCAATGTCCCTGGCATTTTGTTATTAAAAGTTAGGAATTTGTCTCCAAATTCTGCTAACTTCTGATATAAAAGCAACCGTGTTCCATGGCTTTAAGTGGTAACCACTCTTTTCCTTTTATAGCACTTCTTCTTTTTTTTTTTTTTAATGTATGTGGACATTCCTTGGTATTCAGGAAATGGACGACAGGAAGGACCCCATGACAGCTGCTTCTCACGTTTGTCACACTGAAAATAAAAATAGCTTCTTAAATTGATATTAGTTCATCAATTCTGCTCATGATATTCTTTAAGATTCCTATGCAGGTAAATATAACATAAAACATATGGCATGTGCAATTTTCTGAAGGGACAAGGACTGCAAGCATAGCTTGTTAAGAAGAAAGCATTGTGTGAGATTTTCAGGAAGTAACACATCTCCAATCTGATGTGGCATTGCACAACACCTAAATAAATGGTCCTCTTGTATAATACATATTTTTGTACATTTTGAGTCACTGTTTTTCTATACTTATGTGAACTCCTAAAAATCCTATATAATTTTAAATGTCACTATAAAGCTCATGTTTTTAAAGGACACAAATGTTCATTACCATGCATAGAAAGTGTATTTTTTTTCAAAAAAAACTCATAAACTTTAAATACAGAATTTGCACTATGCAATTAAGCTTCCTGCCTGATGAACAAATTGCAATATTATAATGCTGACTTTTATTATTAGTTTTACCTGAAATTTGAGTTTCAATTAAAACACATATAACTTAAGTAGGTACAGTGCTAACTATTCTCAAAGTAGGTGCAGTGCTACATTTTTGATAAAACAGAACAAAGACATTAAAATTTTACTGGAAAATTAGTTTTTTTTGTCAGTGGCAACGTTATATTAATCTAATTTCTTTGCTAGTTTTTGTTTCCTGGCAGATAGAAATGGTAACATTTCTTTGGATGTTACTGATAGTCCCTACTATGAAGCCAATTGCAGCCTCTTCCCCAAAGAAGGGTCATTAAAGGCATAATCTCACTGAAACTATCCTCAACCGTCCCTGTAGAAAGCATATTCCTATTTTTTGCTCAACAGCAGACATTAGCTCTTCAAACTACCTTTTGAAATGGCCAGCAATAACCTGATTTTACCTTTTCTACATTTACCTATTGCCCTTCCTATAAAGTCTCTGCTGCTTTGTGTCTCTTTTCTCTTCATTTTTTTTTGTTCATTCATTCAACATTTGAGCATTTGAGGAAATATTTTATATCACATCTTATATAGGCTATCTGCAATTCAGAGAGAAAAACACAAATTAATTCCCTTTCGGTACTCTCAAAGTTTGGTTCTCCTTACTAAAATAAATTCATGTTGTTTAATAATTACATAAAAAGAAAAAAATCCCATATGCTAACCACCAGACACAAAAATTGCTACTCTCCTGGAAGAAATATTTCTTTCCAGGATTTTTGCATATTTTGCAAAGTGAATATGGTAGATTAGTTGCACTAATAGCCCAAATTTGTGGCCTAGGACATTTGCATATGACTTTTCTTCACCACCTTCTCCCACCTCCATCAATAAGTGGAATCTATTTATCTATATTCTTTGAACATTCTTTGTAACATGCTTTAAGCCAGGGGTCCCCAACCCGCCAGTCTGTGGCCTCGTAGGAACTGGCCACACAACAGAAGATGAGCAGCAGGACAGCCAGTGAAGCTTCATCTGTATTTACAGCCACTCCCCATTGCTACCATTACTACCTAAGCTCCGCCTCTTATCACATCAGTGGCAGCATTAGATTCCCGTAAGTGGTGTGAACCTGTTGCAAACTGCACTTATGAGAGAGGGATATAGATTGTATGCTCCTTATGAAAATGTAATGCCAGGTGATCTATCACTGTCTCCCACGACCCCCAGATAGGACTGTCTAGTTGCGGGAAAACAAGCTCAGGGATCCCACTGATTCTAATTATGGTAAGTTGTATAATTATTTTTTTATATATTACAATATAATAATAGTAGAAATAAAGTGCACAATAAATGTAATGCCCTTGGATCATCCTGAAACCATTGCCTCTGCCCTGGTCCATGGAATAATAGTCTTCCATGACACTGGTCCCTTGTGCCAAAAAGGTTGAGGACTTCTGCTTTAAGCAATAGGATATCAGTAGGCAGATGATGTAAGCAGACCTATTAAAAAGCACTTTTCTGTTTCCACATCTTCTCCGGGATGCTCCTACTACCAGCGCTAACCTACCGCAGGATGAGAGACCACAGGAAGGAGAGTTCACTTGTTGTAGTAGAGGCCGTATTTCACCAACTTGCCTGTGGGCAACTCAACGCCTGACCACAAACAGATGGGATCAGATCTTGACCTGAAAAATATCAAAGATAGACAATAAGTAGGAAAAAAAAATATTAAAATGCTGTAATTGGGACAAACCCAAGTATTTGTGAAATTATTGGCTCATATTATAATTTTCTAGAAAAGTATTATGATGATTCATTGTAGGCATCTACTTGACTGGGCTAAGGGATATCCTGATTGCTAGTAAAACATCACTTCTGAGTGTGTCTGTGAGAGTGATTCCAGGAGAGAGGAACACTTGAGTTGGTAGACTGAGTAAAGCAGATCTTCCCTCACCCATGTGGATTGCTATCATCCAAACTCCTGAGGGCCACCATAGAATAAGAAGCATGACAGCATCTTTGCAAAATAATGGCTGAGACAGTGAAAGACACCTATCCTAACTGACTCCATCTTTCTTCTAAACTTTAAGCACTCCTTGTTTCTTTTTGGCATAGATTGAACTAACTTTGGGAGGGACTTCGTTTATAGTTTCTAGTTTAAAACAAAGACGATAACATCCCTTTTCCAAAACAAACCCCCTTCTTACCTGGGAATTAGACTGCTTTTGTAAGACTAATGAATTAGCCACAAGATTCAAAATTAAGGTTTAGATATTATGCAGCTGGAAGCTAGAAGATTCTGACACTTGCTAAACTGCTCCTATGAAGAGTGCCTGAGATATTTTGCACAGCCTGCACTTGATGGATCAGCTGCCACCACCTACATCAATAAACTGACTCATCCTATCTTGTGCCCCCCACCCAGGGACTGACTCAGCACAACAGGACAGCTTCAACTTTCCATGATTTAATCTCTGACCTAACAAATTAACACTCTTGACACACTGGCCTTCCCCCATCCAGCAGGTTTTCCTTAAAAACTCTGCTTCCCAAATGATTAATAATAAAACTCCAGTCTCCTGCACAACTGGATCTGCATGAATTACTCTTTCTCTATTGCAATTCCCCTGTCTTTATAAATTGGCTCTGTCTAGGCAGTGGGCAAGGCAGTGTCTAGGCAGTAGGCCATTGGGCAGTTAGAGGCAGAGGAAGCTACGCTTGATTTGTGACTTCTGCCTTCTTCTACCCTCAGATATCAGAGCCCCTGCTTCTCAGGCATTGCAGACTCCAGGGATTACAGCAGTGTCTCTCTAGGTACCTCGGGCTTTTGGACTCAGACTGAATGAGACTACTGGCTATCCTGGATGTCCACCTTGCGAGGGAGGATTACAGAAATTTGCTGATTCCATAATCTTAGGCTTAAGCAATCCTCCCACCTCAGCCTCCCAAAAGGCTGGGATTACAGGCATGAGACACCAAGCCGGGTCAGCCACGTGGTTTTCATCTCAACCAGTCAACTGCTGTTGCAGTGAGAATGCCGCCAAAGAAAGGACATTAAAAATGATTGTGGCCATGTACAAATAAAAGTTTATATCACAAACAATTGGAAGGCTTATGCCCATAGTTTGACAGCTTTGGTTTTAGACATCCACAGCTATTATTATAGCATGTGTGTGACACTTCTTTGTAAGGAGAAACCTGAATATCGGTGCTTGGAACTTAATTGTCAGGATTCTATCTACCAGACATTACTATTTGCTCCAGGCAATGTTTACAAACAATTAAAGCTTGTTAACCAATGGGTAACTTCATAGCTAAATTCAGGCACTTTCTGCAAAATCTGTGTATTGTAGCATCAGATGATTTATTTGGAAAACCAGCCCACTTCTGAAGACAACTGATAACTTAGAGCAGCAAATTCTCATGTTTGTTAATTATTTATTCTTCAGGAGTCATTTCATAGTCTTCTGTTGCAAGCCAAGCCCAAGTTACCATACCCAACTTTGCCCACATTTAATCCAATATCCACAGCAAAAAACCAGTCTGAAAGCATGTGAACCTAGAACAGTATTCAGCCAAAGACTTAAGGAAATCTCTTAGCCAAAATTGCATTTTGCTATTTCTTTTCTTTGCTGTTCTGCCTTGCAAAAGCTAGCTGCCCTGACCTCCTCAAGCTCCATGTTTTGTCTCTTGAACTCAAGGAGACCTCTGTGCTCTGGTTGTATCCTCATTTCCTGAAGAACCCTGACCTAAATCTTTCTCTCCTAGGGCTCAGCTGTTTCTTTCTAATCTCTCAGAGACTGCCTTCCTGTGCCTAATGTCTTACATGTTGGGGAAAACTGTTATTTAGTATACTTTTAATTTTTCTAATTTTTTAAGGTGCTCTTGTTCTGGTAAACCTTTCATATCCATAAGAAGTAAACTCTGACTTTTTTATGTTGCCAAATTCCTGTCTGAGGAGTTTCAGGAGTCACGTCCTAAGTCGATATATCATCATATCATCACTTACTTTCCAATCTGACTCTGGCATAGCATTATGAGACAAGGAAAAATTAGAATATTTTACCCCAGACATGTTTCTTTGACATATCTTGAAATGGCTATGCAAAGCTGTCCTTTGTGTGAGAAATTTTGCATCTGGAAAGAATCTCTGTTAACATAGCCAGATCTTTTTCTTCCAAACACCTGTAATGATTAAATAAGAGTCTAGTACCTTTTTAAAGATCTGAATAGGAAACATTTGTAATCTATTGTCTTTAAGGGCAGCCACTATAAGACTTCAAAAGAACATTGATCTTCACAATATTTTTTCTTAACCTGAACATTTCCTTTCTATTAATCCGAGGTCTTTAGACAAACTGAACCAATCCTCAAGCAGAAGATGTTTAAATTTACCTATAGCCTGGAAGCATCCCCTCTCCCCTACCAGAGAGAGCTTTGAGATGTCTCTCCTTTCTGGAGCAAACCAATATATTTCTTAAATGAATTTGACTGATGTCTCATACCTTCCTAAAATGTATAAAACCAAGCTGCACCAAGACCACCTTGGGCACATGTTCTTAGAGCATCCTGAGGACTGTGTCAAGAGCCGTGGTCACTCATACTAGGCTCAGAATAAATGTCTTCAAATATTCTGCAAAGTTTGGCTCTTCATTGACATGCAGAAAGATAATTTTGGATATTTAATTGGGAGTGTTAGGTTGAAATTTCATTCAACTTCAAGATTAAGGGTTAGATGTGAGTGGGGTTGGGATTTGTATTTGCTTAAATGTTCTGATTCCGATTTTTCATGTTCTTTCCACATGATGACTATTTTGGTCTAGGCACTATGTACACAGGGTGGATGACAAAGAATTTAACCAAACCATTTTCTGCCACTGTAGAAAGGTGAAATTTCTTCAGTTAGTGGTGTCATATGTTTGTGTATGTGGGGAGGAAATGTATTTGGGGGTAACATTATGTATTCTTGATTTTTTTCTTCTGTGAAATGTTCTGAGTGTCTCTTACTTTCCATTTGTTTTCACCACATTATCTCCAAAGATAGAATTTCATTTTTTTCAAACTGACTCCCCAAAACTTGTCAAGTTGTTACCAGAAAGCACTGCTGATTCAGACTCCACAAGGGGGTTCTTGGATCTCACACACAAAAAAACTGGGTGTGAGTCCATAAATAAAGTGAAAGCAAGTTTATTAAGAAAGTGAAGGAATAAAAGGATGGTTACTTCATAGGCAAAGCAGTTCTGAGGGCTCCTGTTTTCTCATTTTTATGATTATTTGTTGATTCTATGCTAAACAAGGGGTGGAGTATTCATGCCTCCCCTTTTTTAGACCATATAGGGTAACTTCTTGAGTCTGTCATGGAACTTGTTAACTTCCATAGTGGGAGTGTAGCAGTAAGGATGACCAGAGGTCACTCTGGTCACCATCTTGGTTTTGGTGGGTTTTGGCTTCTTTACTGCAACCTGTTTTATCAGCAAGGTCTTTATGAAATGTTTCTTGTATCAACTTGTTTTCTCATCTTGTGAGTTAGAATGCTGAACCTCCTAGTAATGCAGCCCAGTAGGTTTCAGCTTTATTTTACCCAGCCGCCATTCAAGATGGATTTGCTCTTGTTCCAACACCTCTGACAAAGTGACAAGCACCTTGAAACCTTCCAGTTTCATCTTAATAGTCAGTGATCTGATATTCAAGACACCTTTATGACTCTTTTTGAAGTTCATGTAGATTTTCTATTTTTAGGAGTGTACTGGGTGGATCCTTAAACTGTTTTCCCAATTTTTGCCTTACTTTTTCTTTTGTTTTTGAGACAGGGTCTCTGCATGCTGGCCAGGCTGGAGTGCAGTAGTGGAATCATAGCTCACTGCAGCTCTAATTCCTGGGTTCAAGCAATCCTCCTGCCTCAGCCTTCTGAGTGGCTGGAAGTACAGGCATGCACCAGCACATTAGGCTGTTTTTTTTTTTTTTTTTTGGTTGGTTGGTGGAGAGATGTGGTTTCACTATGTTGCCCAGGCTGGTCTCAACATCCCGGGCTTAAATCCTCCCACGTTGGCTTCCCAAAGCACTGGGATTATAGGTTTGAACCACCACATCTAGCTTTTACCCTTTTTGAATATTGCATAGAACCCCCTAGTTTCTGACAAAGATGTTTGCAGATACTGTGTGCAAGCTTAGGAGATGGCTCCTCTAGAATTGTTTTAAAAAAATTTTTCTTCTTACAAATTATTTGAAGTTTACAGTTTTTTTTAATACACTATACTGAAAGCATAGGATTTGCTTTGTTTCATTTTATATATTAATTTTATCTATTGGCAGGCACGGTGGCTCAAGCCTGTAATCCTAGCACTTTGGGAGGCGGAGGTGGGCAGATCACGAGTTCAGGAGTTTGAGACCATCCTGGCTAACACGGTGAAACCCCGTCTCTACTAAAAATACGAAAAATTAGCTGGGCATGGTGGCGGGCGCCTGTAGTCCCAGCTACTCCGGAGGCTGAGGCAGGAGAATGGCGTGAACCCGGGAGGCGGAGCTTGAGGTGAGCCGAGATGGCGCCACTGCACTCCAGCCTGGGTGACAGAGCAAGGCTCTGTCTCAAAGAAAAAAAAAAAAAAAAAAAAAATTATCTATTGACCTGTAACATTTTATTTTGGGAGGCTGTGTTAAAAGATACTGGTTAAAAGATTTGTGTTAAAAGATACTGCGGGGCTAGAGCCCAAAGTGTTCACCCAAGCTCCTGCACCTGCCTGTGTATGTAGAGCTTTGAGCTTACAGCAGTAGAACAGAGAGCCACACCCCTGTTGCACACACTGCAAGGGGAGCCCGTGAATTCTCTCATCTCATTACTACTGACATTAGGGGCCAGATGATTATTTGTTGTGGGGTACTTTCCAGTGCAATGTAGGATGTTGAGCAGCATCCCTGGTCTCCACCCACTAGATCTGAAGAGCAACTACACGCCACAAGTTAGGACAACCCCAAAAGTCACCAGATAATCGTCAAATGTCTGGGGGACAGGCAGAAATTGCCCCCATTTGAGAATGACTTCACAGAGAGACAGACAAATACAAACACACACACACACACTCACTAACTTATCTTTTGTTATACAAAACTAACACAAAAATAGAGGAAAATTTATAATGAACTAATTTTACCCTTCAGTTATCAATGCATGTTTTTCTACGTGTGTATCCACTAACCCGCATGCATATTATTTATTCATTCATTCATTCATTCATTCATTCATTCATTCATTTATTTTAACAGGGCTGGGGACACAGGGTCTCTCACTCTTGCCCAGGCTGGAGTGCAGTGGTGCAATCATGGCTCACTGCAGCCTCAACCTCTCAGGTTCAAACCATCCTCCTGCCTCAGCCTCCTGAGACCCTGGGAACATAGGTGCATACCACAACACCTGGCAAATATTTAAGTTTTTGTAGAGATGGGGTCTCATTTTGTTGCCCAGGCTGGTCTAATACTCCTGGTCTTAAATGATCCTCCCTCTTTGTCCTCCTAAATCACTGTGATTACAGGCGTGAGCCACTGCACTGGACACTACCCTATTTACTGATGCAATTTCTGCCTACCGCAAAATATCATCTGTAAATATTTTGATATTAATCTCAAAAAGATGAGAACCCTTTTTATATAGAACCACAACACTATCATACTATTTTAAATGTTAACAAAAAATATGTACATATTAAATATTAAAAACTATTATTTAATATTTTCATAATCTAATAAGCATTTCAAATGCTACGATAGTATCAAATATATGTATACTACTAATTTGTTTCAGTTGCAAACCAATTAAACTCCATGTATTGCATTATTTGATATAGTTTTAAGGTCTCTTTAAATATTTAGAATCTCTTTATTTACTTTTTTGCAATGTAGTTTTCATTTATTTATTTATTTATTTATTTATTGATTGATTGATTTATTGTTTGAGATGAAGTCTCACTCTGTCACCCAGGCTGGAGTGCAATGGTGTGATCTTGGTCACTGCAACCTTTGCCTTCCAGGTTCAAACAATTCCCCTGCCTCAGCCTCCTGAGTAGCTGGGATTACAGGCATATTCCACCACACCCAGATAATTTTTGTATTTTTAGTAGAGATGGGGTTTCCCCATGTTGGTCAGGCTGGTCTCGAACTCTTGACCTTGAGATGTGCCTGCTTCGGCCTCCCAAAATGCTGTGATTACAGGTATGAGCCACCATTTCCGGCCTGTACTTGTTTTTTAAAAGACCATTTGTCCTATAGTTTTTATCCAGTATGAAATTTGTTTATTGCATATACAGAGAAACCTTGCCTTTTTTTTTTCATTCTAAGTTAGTAGTAGAGGCTTGAAGATTTAAAGTTTTATTTTTTTATTTTTTATAGAAAATAGTTTATAGGTATATACCATCACCAAAATTGCCTCTCTTTTGGTCAACAACCATGAATGATCACTACCTAGAAATGCCATTATCATATTATTTATTTTCACATTATGCTGTTTCACTATTTTGTAATTGGTTTCAAAATGGTGAATTGGTTTCAAAATGGTGAAATTTCAGTTTTTTTTGTCTTTCTTTTTCTATTAGCTGGATTATTTATATTAATTACCTCCCACCAGGTCTCTCCCATGACACATGGAGATTATGAGAGCTATAATTCAAGGTAAGGTATGGGTGGGGACACAGCCAAACTGTATCAGAGGACTTCACTGTATGCATTTTAGGAGAGACCCAAACATTGAGCCCATAGCAATGCTGTTGTACAATAAGCCACCTCAGCATCCAACGACTTCTAAAAAAGATACTGATTCTCACTCATGTCTTGTGTTTCTGCTAGAAATTGTTATGGAATTAGCTGTCCTGGACTTGGGGTTGATTCCAAGCTACAGATTACTTCCATAGTAAACCCACATATCTCTTACCTACTTGAAACAGTGGACTATGTCTTCTTATTATAGCAATGGCAGAATTATAGGAGGGCATATTTTATTATGCAAGCTCCCTTTGAGCAAGCTTATTTGTGCCACATCCAATTATACCTTGTCTACGTTACATAACACGATTTAGAAAATATGATTAAGAATAGTTTATTAGAGCACAAATCTGGGATTTGCCACCCAGGAAACACTGACTCCAGAGAAACAGGGCCAGTGCTCTGAAGTTAAAATTAAGTTCTTGCTTCTATAGGTTTAAAAACAAAAGAAGGCTGGGTGCGGTGGCTCACGCCTGTAATCCCGGCACGTTGGGATGCTGAGGCGGGTGGATCACGAGGTCAGGAGATCGAGACCATCCTGGCTAACATGGTGAAACCTAGTCTCTACTAAAAATACAAAAAATTAGCCAGGTGCGGTGGTGGATGCCTCTAGTCCCAGCTACTCAGGAGGCTGAGGCAGGAGAATAGTGTGAACCCAGGAGGCGGAGCTTGCAGTGAGCCAAGATAGTGCCACTGCACTCCAGCCTGGGCAAAAGAGCAAGATTCCATCTCAAAAAAAAAAAAAAAAAGAAAAAAGAAAAAAAGTTTAGTAGAATTATACAACATTCGAGACAAAGCTTGTTTATGAGTTACAACAATTTAACTAGCAATAGTTTTGTTTTTTCTGTAGAGCTTATTTTCTTTTCTCTACAACTTATTTTCATTTCCTTTCCAAATTAAAATAATATATTTAAATTTTCATCTCAATGTGATAGCCGTGAAGCCTTTGTGTGAGGAAGGTAAGAGGAAAGTTAACCTAAAATAAAGATCTACAGTGAATAGGGAAGGAGGGTTCCCTGTAGCCCTTTAAATGTACAATAGCTTACAAAACTATACAGTTAAAGAGATAGCTTAATCTATAATCAAAGAAGAAAACACTACACTTGCCTAAGTTACACTGCCTATCACATGATTCAGTTCCTCTGCTCACATGCCTTTAAGTCTCAAAATAAAATTTCAGGCTAGACACAATGCCTGTAATCTCAGCACTTTGGGAGACAAAGGCAGGCGGATCACATGAGGCCAGGAGTTCCATATCAGCCTGGCCACCATAGCAAAACCCTGTCTCTACTAAAAATGCAAAAAATTATCCAGGTGTGGTGGCAAGTGCCTGTAATCCCAGCTATTCAGGAGGCCGAGGCAGGAGAATTGCTTGAACCCACAAGGCCAAGGGTGTAGTGAGCAAAGATCATGTCACTGCACTCCAACCTGGGCGACCGAGCAAGACTCTGTCTCAAAACTAAAATAAAATAAAATAAAATTCCAATAGTTTAGGTGTTTGAATTACATATTTGTCAATCCCATTGGATAAAGCAAGTTTATGGCTACACTAACATAAGTGCAGAGAAGAAGTTAGTATCTGCTACATAACATTTCTAAACTCTAATAATTCGTAGAACCCAACAAAAGGGAAGTATAAAGACTTTTTTGATCTTTTATTCCTTGAGGAGGGTAGGATATGTGTACCATTATTAATCCTTTAAATCTGTTTTGATCCACTGCAGTCATTATTCTTCTTTCAAATTGTATTGCTCTTGGTCATCATCCCTAATGCTGAGAGTGGCCTTGAAACTTGTATTTCCAGTAGGATGTTAATGGACATGATGACAATAATCTTGCTTGAAGGACAAAAAATCAAACACCGCATGTTCTCACTCACAGGTGGGAACTGAACAATGAGAACACATGCACACAGGAAGGGGAATATCACACATGGGGGCCTGTTTTGGGTGGGGGAAGGGGGAAGGATAACATTAGGAAATATACCTAATGTTAAATGACGAGTTAATGGGTGCAGCACACCAACACAGCACATGTATACATACGTAACAAACCTGCACGTTGTGCACATGTACCCTAAAACTTAAAGTATAATAAAAAAAAAGAAAATAATCTTGCTTGAAGTATGGGCTCCTTCCTGTTGTCTAAGAAGTCCTTTACACAGACCCCAGTCATGTTTAAGAGCTTTGTTTCTTTTTGCTGTGATCCAGTGTACAGGTTCTTCCTGCAGGTTTCTACATGCTATAACAATGGTCCACTGGAGTTTCTGCTTTCCTCAGCCAAGAAGAAAAAGAAAAAGCAGTAGGCTGGGCACAGTGGCTCACACCTGTAATCCCAGAACTTTGGGAGACCGAGGCGGGCGGATCACTAGGTCAGGAGATCGAGATCATTCTGGCTAACAGGGTGAAACCTCGCCTGTGCTAAAAATACAAAAAAAAAAAAAAAAAAAAAAAAAAAAGCCAGGCATGGTGGCAGGCGGCTGTAGTCGCAGCTACTCGGGAGACTGAGGCAGGAGAATGATGTGAACCCGGGAGGTGGGGCTTGCAGTGAGCAGTGGGCCGAGATCGCGCCATGGCCCTCCAGCCTGGGTGACACAGCGAGACTCTGTCTCAGAAAAAAAAAGAAAAAGAAAAAGAAAAAGTAATGGGCACAGGCAGGAAGATCACCTGAGGTTAGGAGTTTGAGACCGGCCTAGCCAAAATGGCAAAACCCATCTCTAACAAAATAAAAATAAAAATTTAGCTGGGCATGATGGCACACATGTACCCGTAATCACAACTACTTGGGGGACTGAGACGGGAAAATTGTTTGATTCCAGTAGGCAGAGTTTACATTGAGCTGAGATTCTGTTACTGCACTCCAGCCTGGGCAACAGAACAAGACTCCATCTCAAAGAAATGAATAGATACATACATACATACATAAAAATTTAAAAAATTAAAAAGGAGAATAAGATAAGAAAATTAGAATAACACAGTAGGATTATAGAAGACTATGGTGAAATCATGGCATTTTGGGGGACTTTCTGTGTGTTTTGTGTTTGTTTTAAAAACTAGCTCTACTTGCAATTCTAGAGGAAACAACCCCTGCAAAAAAATTAAATAACAACCACCAAATATTTTCAAGTGCCTTGAGTATGAATCCCCTTAGCAAATAATGCTTAAAAAGGAATTTAACAATTTCAGCAAAAAGAAAACTGACTTAAACAATAAATGTAGTAGATTCATTTTAATATGGTCATACATTGTTTTGCTTAAAAAATGCTTGCTTCAAAAAATAGAAAAGATTCCTAGCATTTGTATTACTTTCTGCTGTAGTTTGGATGTGTTAATCTCTGCCATCATCATATTAAAATTTGATTGCAATGTTGAAAGTGGAGCACAATGGGAGGTATTTGGGTCATGGGGGTGTGTCCCTCATGAACAGATTAATGTCTTTCCTGGATGGGAGAGGAGTGAGTTCTTCTCTATTCATTGCCACTAAAGTTGGTTGTTATAAAGAGCCTGACATTTTCCCCTCTTTCACTCATTTCTTCTCTTCCTGTGATCACATGCCAGCTCCCATTCCCTTTCCACCATGAGTGGAAGCTACCTAAGGCATCCTCAAAGCAGATGCTGATGAAATGGCAAAAGTTCCATTATTCCCCTAACAGGGCATCTGATGAGGGTGTGGCTAGGTTCTTTGGTGCCCTGCAGCTCAAACCCCATAGAGGCAGCATGCAGACAGGCAGGTTGTGGGGAGTCTGGGATCTAATCCCATGGCAGCATGTAGGGTTGAGAGTTTACAGCTCCTGAAGCCCCAGTGAGCACATGTTACAGTGTGCTCTTTCAGCTTTGCCATATGCAGGCAGTTTACGTAAATCAGCCCAATTAGACCCTCTGCATTATCATAAGGATAGAGGGCTTTCTGTATCCTGGGATTCTTACCCTAGTGTACTGGAAAAAATCAGATTACACATGGGCTTGGAGAATAAGTGCAAGGTTTTATTGAGTGGTGGAAGTAGCTCTCAGCAGATGTATGGGGACTTAGAAGGCGGATGGAATGGGAAGGTGGTCTTTCCCTGGAGTTGGGCTGTTCAGGAGCCAGCCTCTCCTCCAACCACCCTTGGCCAAATTTCCCTCACTGTCTGTTGTTCCACCGTCAATGGTCTGCCAGCATCTGTTGATGTGTTCTTCTGCAGGTGTGTTCCTCTCAATGTCCAGCCACTTGTGTCTGTGCCCACTAGGGTTTCAGGGTTTTCATAGGCACAGGACTGGAGACATGGTGGGCCAGAGTGGTCTTGGGAAATGCAACATTTGGGCATAAAAACAGGAGTGCCTGTCCTTACCTAGGTCTGTGGGCACAGGCCAGAGGGTGAAGCCCTCTCCAGGGACCCTGCCTCTTCTCTGTCCAACACTTCCCTGCTCCCCCTACTTGTATCATTGGCACCATGCTTCTTGTGCAGCCTGCACAATCATAATCCAAGTAAGTCTCTTTTCTTTATAAGTTACCCAGCTTCTGGCTGGGTGCAGTACCTTACACCTATAATCCCAGCACTTTGGGAGGCCAAGATTGAAGGATCACATGAGGCCAAGGGGTCAAGAGCAGCCTGGCCAGCATGGTGACACTGCACCTCTACTAAAAATACAAAAATTATTACAGTTGGTGCACACCTGTAATCCCAGCTATGCAAGAGGTTGAGGCAGAAGAATCACTTGAACTCAGTAGGCAAGGAGGAGCTTGTAGTGAGCTGCAATTGTGCCACTGCACTCCAGCCTAACTCTAAAAAATTAAATAAAAATGAACATTTTCCTCAAGTTTTCCTTCATAGCAATGAAAAATGCACGAAGACATCCTCTTATGAGACAGGAGTGGGAAATGATTAAAAGCTTTAACTTCAGATTCTCACTAAAAGGCTTCAAAGAAGAACACACAAGACTATATATCCCCAGGCACTGGAAACTGGAAAGTGGAGTTAGTTGCCTATTTTACAAAAATTATACTAGGTACAGAAAAAAAAAAGTTTAAATATGAGGAAAACTAGGGCAATTCTCACAAAGTTTTTTTTTTTTCAAAAACAAGAAAAAAAAGGACAAAAAAGCAGATAAAAGTAATCTTGGGTTCCTCTTATTCCTAAGGTGCTAAAAAGCAAAAAGATGGGTAGGTCACTGTGTCAGAAAAAGATATTCCTGATGATATTAACACTGTTACACCTACGTAGACCAAGATATTTATTTTCTCTATTGACATTGGCCTCCAACTTCAGGTGATGGAGAAAAACTTACAAAATAGAATAAGTCTCCATTGCATGCTTGACTTAAAAGACAAGTATCAAAGCTCTCTTGCAGTCTACACTGACTGGTGGTACAGTGCCTTGTGAACTATAGAAACAAAGCTCTGATGTGGAAAGTATACAAGTAGCTACATCCACTGAACTCATCCTTTTTTATGGCTTCATAGTATTTTGTGCTGTATATTTACCCCATTTTCTTTATCCAGTCTGTCATTGATGGCCATTTGGGTTGGTTACAAGTCTTTGCTATTGTTAACAGTGCCACAATAAACATATGTGTGTATGTGTCTTTATAGAAGAATGATTTATGCTACTTTTGATATACACCCAGTAATGGGATTGCTGGGTCAAATGGTATTTCTGGTTCTAGATCCCTGAGGAATCACCACACTGTCTTCCACAATGGTTGAACTAATTTACACTCCCACCAACTGTGTAAAAGTGTTACTATTTCTCGACATCTTCTCCAGCATGTGTTATTTCCTGACTTTTTAATGATCTCCATTATACCTGGCATGAGATGGTATCTCATTGTGGTTATGATTTGCATTTCTCTAATGACCAGTGATGATGAGCTTTTTTTCACATGTTTGTTGGCTGAATAAATGTCTTCTTTTGAGAAGTGTCTGTTCATATCCTTCACCCACTTTTTGATGTTTTTTTTCTTGTAAATTTGTTTAAGTACGTTGTAGATTCTGGATATTAGCCCTTTATCAGATGGATAGATTGCAAAAGTTTTATCCCATCATGTAGGTTGCCTGTTCACTCTCATAACAGTTTCTATTGATGTGCAGAAGTTCTTTAGTTTAATTAAATCCCATTTGTCAATGGTGGATTTTGTTGCCATTGCTTTTGGTGTTTTAGACATGAAGTCTTTGCCCATGCCTATGTCCTGAATGATGTCTCCTAGGTTTTCTTCTAGGATTTTTATGGTTCTAGCTCTTACCTTTAAGTCTTTAATCCGTCTTGAGTTAATTTTTATATAAGGTTTAAGGAAGGTGTCCACTTTTAGTTTTCTGCCTAAGGCTAGACAGTTTTCCCAACACCATTTATTAAATAGGAAATCCCTTCCCCATTGCTTGTTTTTGTCAGGTTTGTCAAAGATCAGATGGTTGTATATGTGTGGTGTTATTTCTGAGGTCCCTGTTCTGTTCCATTGGTCTATATATCTGTTTTGGTACCAGTACCATGCTGTTTTGTTTACTGTAGCTTTGTAGTATAGTTCGAAGTCAGGTAGCATGATGCCTCTACCTTTGTTCTTTTAGCTTAGGTCTTTGCTATGCAGGCTCTTTTTTGGTTCCATATGAAATTTAAAGTCATTTTTTCTACTTCTGTGAAGAAAGTCAATGGTAACTTGATGGGGATAGTATTAAATCTATAAATTAATTTGGGCAGCATGGCCATATTCATGATATTGATTCTTCCTATCCATGAGCATGGAATATTTTTCCATTTGCTTGTGCCCTCTCTTATTTCCTTGAGCAGTGGTTTGTAGGCACTTAAAGTATAATAAAAACAAAAATTAAAAAAAAAAATAAGGTACTAGAACTTTGAAAGTCTGAGGAGTTGACTTGGAAAAATACAAAACTCTGCAATAAGAGGTAGAGGTCTGAACATATAAATGCATAATTAAGAAATTATGTACATAATCCTGATTAAAATTCAGGAAAAATATAACTACATTAAAAGCAATATCTAATAGTATTTTGACTAGAAATATCAAAAGTTATATTATTTAGTTTGAAGAAAATAGGATTTAAGGATTCCCATCAAAATTGTGAAAAATGTCATGCATGTATTTAAAAAATATATATATAAAAAAAGAGAAGCAGAGTTAAAGTGCAACAAAGAGAAAAGTTTGAATAAAGTACAAACAAACAAATATACCCTACCATGTACTTTGCAGAAACAAGAAAAGTATCTAAAATTTAAGGATATAAAAGGTTTATATAAAACAGATAGGTGAGCAATAAGTAACCAAATAAAAAGTAATATAACTACATTAATATGAGATGAATAACTTTTGGAGAAAAAGCTTCCTGTGTAATGATATAAAATGGTGTTGTTTGTGGGATCCCAAATTTACATGCAATTTTAATTTATTCTTAACCTAAGCCTTCAATTGAAACCTAGACATCTCCCTGTCTCCAATTTACATGCATATAGCTGTAAAATACAGAGACAAAATGAAAATTATTATGGTGTCTCATTTATGGAAAGAAAAATTTGAAAATACTTTTTAAAGTGAACAGCAAAATTAACAAGCTTGATCTAATTGATAAAGGTAAAACTACCATCAGAATCCTTTACAAGCAGAGAGACAGAATTTTTAAAATTCAAGTAAATTAGGACACAAATCAAATCTCAACAAACACCTGGATACAGGTATATTACAGATTATATTCTGAAACATAAAATGTCATTGCATTAGATATAAATATAAATTTTAATGAATGAAAGATAATAACTAAATAAATATCTGTCTGGAATTTTAAACTATATGTTCAAAATAAAATGGGTTGCATAAGAAATAAAAATGAAAGTTTAACAATTAAAACTTGTTTCATGTACCTGGAGAAAATAAGTATTGTACTTATAAAACAGGCAATAAGTTCTAAAAAATAAATTATGCAAACATACAACTTAAGAAGTGTATCTCTTAAAAAAAAAGAAGTTAAGGAAAGTTAAAGAGAAGAAACAAAAGAAAGAAAAATTAGTAACAAACCTAAGAGCCTGATTTAATTAAAGTGAAATAGAAATACATGGAAAATGTCAGCCATACCACACATTGATTCTGTGGTAAGAGGTATGCATCAAAAATGCCGTTTGTTCAGAAGAATTAGATATAAAGGAAGAAAAATGGACTGATGAAGCAAAAATGTACACACCAGAGGAGAAAAACAAGACATACTGTGAACTTTTAAAAAATTATATTGTAATAACTGATTTTATACTGATAAATATAAAAATAGATGAAATGGATACTCGGAGAGTACTGAAATTACTCAAGAAGAAATAGAAATCTTCAATAGACCTACAATCAGAAGAGAAATAAAATCAGTGACTAAATGTTATTTACACCTATTGCTGAAAGAAATTTTAAAAGATGGATGTGCCTAGAGAGATAAGGTCACAATCTAACTCTCAAACCCTAAATGGCTTTCCTTCCTCAGAGTAGAAGTCAAGCACTTACCATCGCTAACACCCACGAGGTCTCACCCCTATTTTTTTCTCCAGCACCTTATATCAAAATTACTCCTGCCTACTCCCCTCAAGTCACATTGAACTTCTATATAATCCTGCCTCCAAACTTTATTCTTGTTGTCCTTAGTCTATGATGTACTTTTAAAATACTTGTTTTTTTTTTACTGACACAGAATGTGGTATATGTTTCCAGTGTGCACTGAGATGTTTTGATATAGGATTCATTTTCCAATGATTAAATCAAGCTGATTAATGTATACATCACTTCATATACTTGTTTTTTTGTGGTTAGGATTTTGGAACTTGATGTTTTCTCTGCTTTGACCATGCCCTCCAGAGATGTATTTGTCTTCTTTCATCACTTTCCGTGCTCAAATATCCCTTCAATTACCCATTTCCTTATATTCCAACACAATAATTCATCTCTGGCATGCAAAGTACTCTTCATCATGCTTTTTTTCTAAAGTAAAATTGTCAAGTTTGTAAGACAACATCCAGTACAAGCTATGTATGTTTTTAGGTTAGAAAGAGATGTATTAAATCATTAAAAACATAATCCACAAAGGAGAATATACATCGATTTCAAAACATAAGGATTACAAAACTTTTTGCTCTAGAAGAATTCTTAAACAGAGAGAAGTTAAAAAAAACCTCTCATATTATATTGAATGCATACCAATAAATTATCCTATGTATCTAAATCCTAGGATGAAAAAAGTAAAAATCAATAAGAAAACTTAAGGGATCCCAAAAATGCTTACATATTATTAACAAATACATTATAAAGACTCCATACCAGGGAGCTGAATGAAGAGTCTTTTACTTTAACAATATTTGACTAAAATTGTCAATCAGTCAATGGACAAAATTTTCACTCTACAAGCTAACAGCTTATTAATATGTGAAAATATTTACCCATTTATGCTTGTGATTTATTATGCAAGACAACTTCTTCATAGAAAAATCCAACTGTTATATTTTTCCAGCTTGTGTCCTACAATTAACTTTATATCTTTAATCCCTAAATAAAAGGATAAAACAGTCATTCTTCACCGTTAATCACTTTGGTCTCATGTAAAGGGGAAACTTTCTGTGCACCTTAAATAATGAAGAGTTCTTTGAAGTTTATTTAATTTACTTTATTTTTTTGATAAGGAACCTTCCTCTGTCTCCCTGGCTGAAGTGCAATGGTGCAATCTCAGCTCACTGTAACGCCACCTCCAGGGTTCAAGTGCCATGCCTCAGCCTCCCAAGTAGCTGTGATTACAGGCATGCACAACCACACCTGGCCAATTTTTGTATTTTCAGTTGGGTTTCCCCATGTTGGCCAGGCTGGTCTCGAACTCCTGATCTCAAGTAATCCACCATCTGGGCCTCCCAAAGTGCTGAGATTACAGAAGTGAGCCCCTTTGCCCAGCTAGTGAAGGGCTTTTTAAAGACATCTTTAAATATTTTAAGTAAGCATGTCTTGCCATTTTCTTCTTTAAATGAACAGAAATAGTCTGAATTTAGGCTTATGGGATCTATAGGAGGGATATCCTAGAAAATACCTGCTTAAGGAGGCTGTACACTGAATCCATGCTTTTCTATGCTTTTTTTTCCCTGTTGCTAGAGTGTTTGTTTAAAAGTTATTTTTTTAAATTCATTGTAAAGGTTAGCCTCTCCAAAGTTTATTTCTCAGGTGATACAGAATTGGATTTTAAAATACAAGTTGTTTGTAATGACCATGCAAAGGATATGATCAGAATTTCATTAATAAACTATTTGGAGTAGCAGATAATTCTTGGTGTTGAAGGTATCACCATGTTCAATAGTTAATTATGGGAAATTACGTTTATTTACTGTAGTGGTTTCGAAGCTAAAAAACCTAAACAAATGTTGCCAGATTAAAATAGAAAATTAATAAATAGTGAAACATAAAGAGTGACTTTGTGCAGAGCTTCAATCTTTGAGCATTTAAACATTTATTTGAGATTCAGTAGCTTACTATGGCAAAGAAAATCCTCAAATGTACTAATATGTGGAATAACAGATACTAAAAAAACACCTATTTTACTTTCGCATAATCTTACTGAGAAACTGTGATAGGCTTTGTATTTATGTATGAATATAACATTATTTTGATACAATATGTTAAGCATGTTAACATTTATATATAAACAATATATATATAGAATATATTATACCTTTTCATTATCTTATTAAATTCTCTATTATTGAATTGATTGCTAGTAAATTCCAGTCAATTTGGCAAGGAAAATATTCTATACATAGGTACAAAATATATATAGGTATTCTATACATAATATTCTGTATATAGATATACAATCTTCACAGATTTGGAAAAAGTTCAATAAATATTTGGAAAACTGTAGATTACAGATAAGCTTCTAGGATTAATAAAATACTGTATGGGCCGGACGCAGTTGCTCAAGCCCGTAATCCTAAGATTTTGGGAGGCAGAGGCATGTAGATTGTCAAGTCAGGAGCTCGAGAACAGTCTGGCCAATATGGTGAAACCTTTTCTCTATTAAAAATACAAAAATTAGGCTGGGTGCAGTGGCTCACGCCTGTAATCCCCGCACTTTGGGAACCAAGGCAGGAGGATCACGAAGTCAGGAGATCGAGACCATTCTGTCTAAAACGGTGAAATCCGGTATCTACCAGAAAATACAAAAGAATTAGTCAGGCGTGGTGGCGAGCGCCTGTAGTCTCAGCTACTCAGGAGGCTGAGGCAGGAGAATGACGCCAACCTGGGAGGCGGAGCTTGCAGTGGGCAGAGATTGTGCCACTGCCCTCCAGCCTGGGAGACAGAGCCAGACTCCGTCTCAAAAAAACAAAAACAAACAAACAAACAAACAAACAAATTAGCCAGGTGTGATGGCGCATACCTGTAATCCCAGCCATTCAGGAGTCTGAGGCAGGAGAATTGCTTGAACCTGGGAGGCAGAGGGTGCAGTGAGCCAAGATCACACCAAGGTCCCCCAGCCTGGGTGACAGAGCAAGTATCTGTCTAAAATACAATTCAATGCAATACAATACAATACAATACAATACAATACAATACAATACAATACAATACAATACAATACAATACTTTGGGTGATAAGTTCTGTTAGATCATATATTCCTCAATGGAAGGTTTTCAAATGAAGAGTCGATAATTTCCAATAGTTTTTAAGAGATATTTATTTGTATTTAAAAAAAATTTAAGACAGAGATATGTTATGTGATCCACACAAATGGAAATAAATTAGAAAATGATAAAGTCATTTAAACATAGTAGAAATCTATAGATTTCAAAGCAAGCGGAACACTTAGTTACAGCTGATGGTACCATATACCAGTAAATAAAGGGAGTACTTATAAATTGCACATTTTTAAAAAATTAAAGATGAAGGACCCAATTTTAGCATTTTATCAGATAGTTCTGTGAAAATTTCCCTTTTAGAACTTTATGAACTAGAGCTTTAAGTCAGCTTGATAAATCTGTGTTTACTGGGTATGGATGTATTCAACTGTCGCTTTACTGGCATATTTTTTTTCCTCCTTTGATTCCATACTTACCAAGTTATTGAGAGTCTAATACAGCAAGAGGAGATGGTATATATGTCACAACTTCCAGTAAATCTCTGACATTTTCATCTATATCTCTAAGTTTGTCCTCTGGTTGGAATTATTTCAGACATTTAAGAGAAGAGATTGGTTAGAGTTAGCATTTGGGAGTTTAGTCATGCCTGGATCACAACTGGATTAAGTTTTAAACCTTACAGCTCTGGGTAGTAAAATTCCTAAACTGATGACATTTTGTTGTTTTTTCGGGTGACCATGGATGGTAGCTATTTTAACACCCCCATGATTTTAATCTTAGTGGCCATCACTAATTATATAAGTAAAAGCAGGAGTGTAAGTGTGAGTTGACAACCACAAAAATTAGGCATCTTCCACTCATAACTGTTAGAAATTACATGTTATATATTAGGTAAGAAATACTGTATAGCAGTTGACTAAATTGATGTTAGATAAAATGTGAGAGTGGAAAAAAATAGACGATTGCATAATTTTGAAAGGTTTAGCTCAACATGTTGCTGCCATTTTAAACACAAATAATGACATTAAAGAAAGACACTAAGTAATTTTAATCAAATTATGTTAAAGTTCTTAAAACTGATGGAGCAACTACCTAAAAATAGGGGATTCTGTAATTACATATTTGTAATTACTGAATAACTTTCTTTGTCATTTTAGAACACATCGAGGTCTCTACTACCTTTTTCTCTCTCTCTTCCTCTTTCTCCCCCTCTCTTCTGTCCATTTCCCCCTTCCTCTTCCTCCCATTTCTGCCATCTTCTCTCTCTCACACACACACTTTAATGATAGCTCAATTTCACAAGACCAGTTAGCAAGACACTTTATATATTTTTCTCTTAAGTCTTCTCTATATGCCCCATTCACAGCTTCTAAAAATACGGGCATCTGTCTTCTTCCAAATTGCAAAAGGAGAGAAAAGTATATTTTGATCCATGCCCAGAGCAATGGTCTCAGTGCCACATGAAGTCCTCTGAACACTTGATCTGGACTGATTAATAGGGTGTGAGTTAGTTACTATTCCAGGAAGCACAAACACCAATTTAGTATGTCTAAATACTAAGATCTGAATATAAATTCTGCATCAACGGAAGACTCTTCTCAAATTAACTCCCCCCAGTTCTATGAACTCTCATGTTGCACCTGGCTCACCAAACTAAGCTTATTTTCTTTCCATAAGTTATTGTGTTTGGGATTCACTGTTCCCCTCCGCTAACTGCAGGACTTGATTGAAGACAACAACCTTCAAGTATTTTTGTCCTTGGTCTTCTAAAACTACATAAGCTTTCTTGCAAAGGTATTTCTTCCAACCTTATGGTCCTCTCAGGTTAAGGCAACCTAGACTACATCATAAGAAGCCCAGATAGTCTCGTTTTTCTCTCTCCTATGCAATAGATATTCATCCCCTTTTCATTAGTATAACTAAGTGGAGTCATTCAACTATAAATAAGGACAACTTTCCATGTTAAATGATTTTGTCTTCTCTCCTATAGACAGGGAAGCAGCTGACAAAAAAAAATTAACCTTACTTCAACATGTACCTATTTCATATTTGCACCTGATTAAATGTATGTAATAGTGCAAACACAATAATGCTTTCTAGATCTTCATTCCATTTATCAAGGTAAATATCAGAGGCATTTGTTCCACACAGTGAGAAGAACTGAGACATGAGCATGGACAATTGACTTTGTGATCACTGAAAATGTTATAGGCATTGCTTACAAATTCAGAATATGATGAACCACTCAGAAAAGGGAGAATGATTCTTATAATGATAATGACCACTAGTTTTGTTATATCTTACATCCAAAAGGATCATAAATTGCTTAACAACTCCACAACTACAAATCAATATGAGAATCATTTTGTATACAATTAAAATATGTCAGCTGTCTCATGGAGTACGGCAAAATTAATCAACAGTTTAGGGCCGGAATTGGAAAAAAAAAAAGTTAAAGCAAAAATGACTGAGATAGGCATGAGGTAATTATACAGTCTGTGAGTAATCCATGCATCTAGGAGGGAGAGTGAAGTTTCCCCCACGTGCTAAGGAAACAGAATTTAATAACATAAACACACACGTGCCTGCACACACTCACACATACACACATTTATTCCTTCAGAACTGAGGCTTGAAAATAAACTGAGAACATGAAAAAAAATAAAGTCATCTTAAATGTATTGGATGGTCCCCATTTCAATCTGTAACTATATTTAGTTTCTCCACCTATTTAAAGACATTATATGTCTATCAGAAGGAAAACCAGGCTGGGCACAATGGCTCATGCCTGTTATTCCAGCATTTCAGGAGTCCAAGGTGGGCAGATCACTTGCGGCCAGGAGGTCAAGACCAGACTGGCCAACATGGCAAAACCCCTTCTGTACCAAAAATACAAAAAAAGGTATACAGACATGGTGGCATATGCCTGTAATCCCACATAGTCAGGAGGCTAAGACAGGAAAATCTCTTGAATCTGGGAGGTGAAACAGAGCTGAGATTGTGCCACGGCACTCCAGCCTGGGCAACAGAGAGAAACTGTGTCTCAAAAGGAAGAAAGAAAGAAAAGAAAGAAAGGAAAGAAAGGGAAGAGAGAAAGAGAGAAAGAGAGGAAGAGAGGAAGGGAGGAAGGGAGGAAGGGAGAGAGAGAAAGAGAAAAAGAAAGAGAGAAAGAGAGAGAAGGAGGGAGGGGAGACAGAGAAGGAAAGGGAGGAAGGAAGGAAGAAAAATAAAAGAAAAAGAAAAAAGAGAAGACAAAACAAGAAAAGAAAAGAGAGAGGAGAGACTGAGGGAGGGAGGGAAGAACGGAGGGAGGGATTGAGGGACAGAGGAAGGAAGGAAAACTGTGCTGATTGGTAAATTAGAATAGAAAACAAATAGCCAGTACCAGCCACTATTTCTGCAACAACCAGGATATAGACAGTTGATATCATAATCCCACTCAGTAAACCATTGTTCTTTTGGAGGAGGAGAGATTAAATTATTTTGGTTTGGTAACATAATTTAGTTCACCTTCTCCACTCTTTGCTCACAAAAACAAACAGAAAACCTAAATTATCATTTTGCTTGCCATGTAGGTCTACACACATGGATAGAGAATACACTAGTTTTATATATCTCTTAATAACCTAGCTTCAGTGAGATATGTACGTTGTAAATTAATAATGTGATGTGCTAGTATTGTCAGTCTTGAATTTGGGTTGTTTTGCATCTCCTGCCTCTGAGCAACAAATCAACTCACCATGCATTCATAAGCTCAAGTTTCTGAATCTTCATTTTTAAGATACAGAACCTGGAAGGTCACAAAATCATCTCTTAGGACATGTCTAATAAACAAGGAAAATGTTAACAAAGTATGTATATATTTGTTTGTGCAGTAAAAACAACCTACATGATACATTTAATAAGTGTTATTATAGTGCTAGGCTCTCCAAGAATGAAGTCCACCTGCCCAAAATGAGATTGAAATTTGATAAGTGTTTAAACTGTGTTTAGGCTAGAAAATTCCCTACAATTTTTGATATAAGCATTACATTCCAAATTTTATGCACACACATAAACTCAGAAAATGTGTAATTTTAAAATACACCTAAGTAATTCAATGGGGAAAATAAAATGCATTGATTTATGCTGATGAGGATTTCTTAAGAAACATTTTTCTCTGTAGATATATACTCAACACTGCTAATTGTTTAATAAGGACAATTTCTTCACATATCATGAGGTACTTGTATGTAATTTCTTGTCCTAATCATTACAAAGTTGTGCACTAGCTGTGAAGTTCTCTAATTTCCCCACACCAAATAGCAATTGTTAGACTTATCTATCAAATACCTTTAACTACTGCCTTTATCTATTTTCTGTCATCAAACTATTGCTATTTCCCCATAATTATAGCTTTCTTTTTATTATTGCTTTTTTAAAATCATTTGTTTTCTCATAGCCGTTGCTTGGTGCCTTTGCAGAAAATAAATAGACTATACTTAGGTGGGTCGATATCTATACTTTCTATGCAAATGTCATATTTTTATTGCTTACACTAGTTTATTATGGTTGTTTTAGAGATGAGGTCTTGCTATGTTGCCCAGGTTAGACTCCAGTTCCTGGAGTCAAGTGATCCTCCTGCCTCAGCCTCCAGAGAACCTGGGACTACAGGTACATGCCACCAAGTGCAGCTCATTTACTCTAATATTAAAGTAAGTAATAAAATTAGGTAAAGTCCTCTAACTTCACTCTTTCAAAACTTGTCTTAGCTGTTCTAGATGCTCCGACCCCAAGAAAAGTCCTGCTTTAAAAAAAATCCTGACTTTCATTTGGATTAAGCTGAAGGTACAGATCAATTTTACAAAATTGGAAATTATTACACTACTGAGTCTTCCAGACTACAAACATGTGACTTATCTGTTTATTCAGGTTTTTTGATATCCTTCCATCAAGGATATATATTTTTTTGATATAGAGACTTGCATGTTTTCTTTAGATTTAGTCCCAAGAATTTTATGGATTGTATAGTCCTGTAAACAATTCCATTTTTCATTTTGATTTTCTACTTGTGTATATGCATGCATAAAGGTAATCCACCAGAAGGTATGATTTTGAGTTCTTTTTTATTATACAGTCTCTTTATCATATATAGGAGGGTTACTTATTTTTCTAATGTGCTGAGAGCTTTTATCATGAAGATAGGAAGATTTTTGTCAAATGCTTTCTCTTTTACATCTGAGATGAGTGTACATTGTTTCTTCAATTAATGAGGTATATGAGATGTACATTTATTCATTGAAAAATGTGAATGCTCAGTGATTTAACTAATTCACATTTATTGATATCTATGTAGAATAATTTCTACCAAGAATTTTGTTTTCTAATTTAACTTTATTATAATTAACTAATTATAATTACTATAACTAATAATTAACTTTATTATAATTAACTATTATAATAGAAATATTAGTTAAATCCTGGGGGGAATTTCTGTTACTTCTGTCAGCGTAACTTTGAAAACTAGATTAAAGTCTTTAAATACAAATGGTTTTGAGAGGAGAGAAAGACCCTCTCGCATTGTTTTATATTGTTTCATATTCAGTAAAAACAACAGGGAAGTAAAACCAAAGACAGGCAGCCCAGTGCCAGGCCCGAAACCAGGCCTGGGCCCACCTGGCCTAAACCCAGTAGTTAAAAATCAACTTATGATTTAGAAGCTGGTGTTATTCATAAATTCCTTACACTGTGTAAAAGAACATTGTGAGACTCCCTGCCCTGTTCTCTTCCTCCCTGACCACCAGTGCATGCAGCCCCTGTCACGTACCCCTTGCTTGCTCAAATCAATCACGACCCTTTCATGTGAAATCTTTAGTGTTGTGAGCCCTTAAAATGGACAGAAATTGTGCACTCAGGGAGCTTGGATTTTAAGGCAGTAGCTTGCTGATGCTCACAGCTGAATAAAGTCCTCCCTTCTACAGCTCAGTGTCTGAGAGGTTTTGTCTGCGGCTGGTCCGGCTACATTTCTGGCTTTCCTGACCAAGAGGGAAATAAGGTAATTGATGGACAGCCAAGGCAGCCCCTTAGGCAGCTTAGGCCTGCCCTGTGGAGCCTCCCTGCGGGGGACTCCGGCCAGCCTGAGTGACTCGATCCAAAAAGCTCTCCCAGGTAGGAAATTGCCCCAGTGGAATGCCTCACCAGAGCAGCACATAGCAGGCACCCACAGAGGATTAACACAGTGGCTGAACACCAGGAAGGAAGTGGCAGTTGGAGTCTGGATATCTAAAACTTGGTAAGACTAGTTTTTTGAACTTGCCCCACTCCACCTGAGTGGAAGCGTGGCCTGACCACCAACAGAATGCCTGTATTGGCACCTTTGTTTCGGTTTTGACTTGGCTTGACTTGGTGAGACTAGTCTTTTGAACTTGCCCCACTCCACCTGAGTGGAAGCATGGCCTGATCACCCATGGTGTGCCTGTACTGGCACCTTTGTTCTGGTTTTGACTTGACTTGAATTGCTGGATACTTTGGTTTCAGTTTTTGACCTGGCTTAGATTTCTAGATACTCTGATTTTAGTTTTGATTTTGGTTTGATGTAAACTGCAAAAGTGTGTGTGTGCCCCTTTTACCTGTTCTTGTTTTATGGTGTGTGTGTGTGGTGTGAGTGTGATGTTTTGTCTCAAAACAAAAACAAAACAAAACAAAACAAAACAAAACAAAACAAAAAAAAAACATAGGTCAGGCGCAAAGTAAGCCCACCCCACTGGGAACTACGTTAAAAAAATTTCAAGGAGGATTTAATAAAGACTATGGAGTCTCTATGACTCCAAGAAAACTTAAAACTTTGTGTGAAATAGACTGGCCAGCATTAGATGTAGGTTGGCTATCAGAAGGAAGCCCAGATAGGTCTTTAGTTTCTAAGGTATGGCACAAAGTAACTGGCAAGCCGGGACACCCAGATCAATTTCCATATATAGATTCCTGGTTACAGCTAGTATTAGATCTTCCACAGTGGTTAAGGGGACAGACAGGCAGCAGCAGTACTAGCAGCAAAAGGACAGTTAGTTAAGGAAGGTTCTTACTCCACTGGCCAAAAGAAACCAGCACATAAAATTCTGTTTGACCCAGAGTCCGAGGACTCAGGGCAGGAGATGGCACCAACAGTGTCCCACCCCACTTATCAAGCCAGGAGCCCCCCTTCTCCTAGGCTCACAGCCCCTAGATCACCAAGAGTAGACAAGAAAGAAAGTGAAGCTGCAGGAAAAACTCCTCCCCTGGTGGCCCGCTTATGGCCCAAGACTGGAATTCAAATGCCTCTGAAAGAGCAGTGATATACTAGGATAGAGGAGAATGGACACATGGTGGAAAGGCATGCCTTTGTGTATCACCCTTTTACCTCTGCTGATCTTCTCAATTGGAAAAATAATACTCTATCTTACACTGAAAAGCCTCAAGCCCTAATTAACTTGCTTCAAATAATTATCCAGACTCATAATCCTATTTGGGCTGATTGCCACCAGCTACTCATGTACCTCTTTAACACAGATGAAAGGCGAAAGGTAATGGCTAGAGGAGCACATCCCAGCCAATTACCAAAATCCCCAGGAATATATAAGAATTCAGCTGCCAGGAACGGACCCTCAATAGGATCCAAATGAAGGACTAGATATGGAGAGGCTACGATGGTACTGAGAGACATTAATTGAAAGGTTGAAAAAAGGGGCTGAAAAGGTTGCCTATGTAAATAAAGTTTCTGAAGTCATCCAAGGAAAGGAGGAAAGCCCAGCCCAGTCCTATGAAAGACAGTATGAGGCCTATCTTATGTACACTCCTTTCGATCTGGAGAGTCCTGAGAATCAGAGTATGATGAATATGGCCTTAGTTAGTCACAGCATGGAATATATCCAGAGAAAATTGCAAAAACAGTTAAGTTTTCAAGAATGAATACCTCGCAGTTACTGGAAATAGCTAATCAAGTATTTGTAAACAGAGATACAACAAGCCACCGAGAAAGCCTTAAGGAAGGCGAACGCCAGGCCAGGCAAAACGCTGGTTTGCTGCCGGTGGCATTTAGAGGAATTCCCCCGAAAAGGCAGAGAAAGAGGGGTTCCAGGAGGAATGCCCAGTCCAATCACTCACGTCTGCAGCATGACCAATATGCCTACTGTAAAGAAATAGGACATTGGAAAGATAAATGTCCCCAACTAAAACACAGAGTGATGCAGAACAAAAAACCTCAAACCAAGATGAAAGAACTTTGTTCAATCTAGCTGAGGGGCTGCTAGAATGAAGGGGACTGGGCTCAAATACCCGCAAGAAGCGCATAGTCAGGACAACAATAGGGCGCAAGGACATTAAGTTTTTGGTTGATACCAGAGCTGAACACTCAGTAGTAACCACTCCAGTTGGCCCCCTTATCTAAAAAGACCATTGATATAATTGGAGCAACAGGAGTCTTTGCCAAGCAGGCTTTCTGCCTACTGCAGACCTGCTCGGTGGGAGGACACAATGTGATTCATCAATTTCTGTAAATGCCTGACTGCCCCTTGCCTTTGTTCGGAAAAGACTTGCTTAGCAAGCTGAAAGCCACCATTTCCTTTACTAAACAAGGCTCTTTACAGCTGGAGTTGCCAGAAACAGGAGACATTATGGCCCTTACAATCCCCCAGGAAGAAAAGTAGAGACTTTTTCTAACTGAGTCAGGTCAGGAAATAAAACTGGCTGTAGCTAAGAGATGGCCTCGAGTATAGGCAGAGGACAATCCAGGACTGGCTATCAATCAAGCCCCTGTACTCATAGAAGTTTAGCCTAAGACCCAGCCAATCAGACAAAAGCAGTATCCTGTTCCCTGGGAAGCTCTTAAAGGAATACAAACTAATCTTAAATGCTTAAAAGCCTTTGGAATTATAGTTCCTTGTCATTCTCCATGGAACACCCCTGTGCTACCTGTCTCTAAACCAGGGATGAAAGACTATCGATCCGTACAGGACTTACGCTTAGTAAACTAAGTCACAGTGACTCTGCACCCAACAATTCCTAACCCTTACACATTGCTAGGATTGCTGCCAGCTGAGGATGGTGGTTTACTTGCCTGGACTTGAAAGATGCTTTCTTTAGCATCAGGCTAGCTCCTGAGAGCCAAAAGCTGTTTATCTTTCAGTAGGAAGATGTGGAGTCAGGTGTCACCACTCAATACACTTGGACTCGGCTTCCCCAACGGTTCAAAAATTCCCCCACCATCTTCAGGGAGGCATTGCCTCGAAACCTCCAAAAGTTTCCTGCTAAAGACCTAGGCTGCATCTTACTCCAGTACATAGACAACCTTCTGCTAGGATACTCCACAGCAGTCGGGTGTGCAAGAAGGATGGATGCCTTGCTTCGACACCTGGAGGACTGTGGGTATAAGGTGTCCAAGAAGAAAGCTCAGATCTGCAGACAGCAGGTACACTACCTGAGATTCACTATTTGAAAAGGGAAGTGCAGCCTAAGGTCAGAAAGAAGGCTGGTCATCTGCAGCCTACCGGAACCTAAATCCAGGGGGCAAGTAAGAGAATTTCTAAGAGCTGTGAGGTTTTACAGATGGTAGATTCCAAACTTGGCGGTGCTAGCCAAACCATTGTATAGGGTTACAAAGGAAGGTGACAGAGAGCCTTTTGAATGGAGGCCTCTACAACAGCAAGTCTTTAATAAGTTAAAGGAAAACCTTATGTCAGCCCCAGCTTTAAGATTACCAGATTTGACAAAGCTCTTCACACTCTGTGTGTCAGAAAGAGAAAACATGGCAGTAGGAGTTTTAACTCAAACTGTAGGTTCCTGGCCAAGACCAGTGGCCTGCCTCTCAAAACAGCTAGATGGGGTTTCTAAAGGCTGGCATCCATGTCTGAGAGCCTTGGTGGCAATGGTCCTGTTAGCACAAGAAGCGGATAAGCTAACCCTTAGACAGAACCTAAATATAAAAGCCCCCCATGTGGTGGTAACTCTAATGAACACCAAACGACACCATTGGCTAACAAATGCTAGATTAACTAAATAGCAAAGCTTGTTATGTGAGAACCCCGCATAACCATAGAAGTCTGTAACACTTTAAATCCTGCCACTTTGCTCCCAGTATTTGACAGCTCTGTTAAACATAACTGTGTAGAGGTGTTAGATTCTGTCTATTCTAGCAGACCAGATCTTTGAGACCAGCCATAGGCATTGGTATATTAGGAGTTATATGTGGACAGGAGCAGCTTCATCAACCCACAAGGAGAAAGGTGCACAGGATATGTGGTAGTAACCTTAGGTGATGTTGTTGAAGCTAAGCCATTGCCTCAGGGCACTTTGGCCTAAAAGACAGAACTCTTTGCTCTAACTCAGGCTCCAGAACTCAGTGAAGGTAAGACTGTAAACATCTATACTGATTCTCGATATGCCTTTCTAACCCTTCAAGTACGTGGAGCATTGTATAGAGAAAAAGGCCTGTTAAATTCTGGAAGAAAAGACATAAAATATCAACAAGAAATTCTACAATTATTAGAAGCAGTGTAGAAACCCCAAAGTGTGGCAGTGATGCATTGTAAGGGACATCAGAGACTTTACACCTCGGTGAGCCAAGAAAACTCCCAAGCAGACACAGAGGCATGAAAAGCAGCATCTACTACTTACCGGGCATCAGTCACAGCCCTGCTCCTCCTTCAAATGCTTGATCTGGTGCCAACTTATTCTAAACAGGAACAAAATTTTTTTTCAGACAGAGGGAGAACAAACAATAAGAGAAAGATGGATAAAGTTATCAGATGGAAGAATAGCTGTGCCACAGCTGCTAGGAGCTGCAGTTGTGCTTGCTGTACATAAAACTATCCATTTAGGCCAAGAATCACTTGAAAAACTGTTAGGCCAGTATTTCTACATCTCACACTTGCCAGCTCTTGCTAAAACAGTAGCACAGCAATGTGTTACCTGTCAACAACGCCATGCAAAGCAAGGCCCCTCTGTTCCTCCTGGCATACAAGCCTATAGAGTGGCTTCTTTTGAAAATCTTCAAGTAGACTTCACAGAGATGCCTAAATGTGGAGGTAACAAGTATGTACTGGTTCTAATGTGTACTTATTCTAGGTAAGTGGAGGCTTATCCTACACAAACTGAAAAAGCTCACGAAGTAACCCATGTGCTTCTTCAAGATCTCATCCCTAGGTTTAGACTGCCTCTATGAATTGGCTCACATAATAGGTCAACATTTGTAGCTGACTTGGTACAGAAAACAGCAAAGGTATTAAGAATCTCAAAGAAGTTACATGCCGCTTACCAACCACAGAGATCCGGAAAGGTAGAGTGAAAGAATTGAACTATCAAACTTAGTTTAAGGAAAGTATGTCAGGAGATGGGATTCAAATAGATACAAGTCCTTCCTATAGTATTGTTTAAAATTAGGTGTACCTCCTCTAAGAGAACAGGATACTCCCCCTGTGAAATTCGGTATCATAGGCCTCCTCCCATACCGTGAGGACTTCCAGGTACCCCCCAAGAGTTAGGTGAGATTGAATGACAGTAGCAGCTACAGGACTTAAGGAAAATTTCTCAGACTATCTCAACTTAAATAAATGAGAGGTGCCTAGTCAGCTTATTCTCCCCCATTCACCTTTTTTCTCCACGTGACCATGTGTAGATCAAGGACTAGAACGTGGCTCCACTGTGGCCTTGGTAGAAGGGACCCCAGATCATTATCCTGACCACTCCCACAGCTATAAAGGTAGAAGGAATCCCAAACTAGATTCACACAGCTGCGTGAAGCCTGCAACCGCTAAGACCTAGGAGGCCAGACCAAGCCTGGACAATATCTGCAAAGTGACCTTGAAGACAACAAGAAGCCCTGCTTCAGTCACACCTGGAAGCTGACTGGTCTATGCATGGCCGAAGCATGAGGAAAATCATCATGGGACTTATTTTCCTTATAACATGGACCTGTGTGGAAAAAGCTTCCACTGCTTCTTCCCACACAGAGAACTACCTTCAGTGCATACAACAGGTCACTGAGGTAAGACAAGTTAAGACAATCTTTTTATTTTACAGCCATTATGAATGCCTAGGAACTCCAAAAGGAACCTGTTTGTATAATAACACCCAGTACAAAGTATGTAATCCAGGAAGTTACCAGCCTGATGTGTGCTATGACCCCTCTGAACCCTCCATAATCACAGTCTTTGAAGTAAGACTAAGAACTGGTCATTCTCTAATTGACACAAGTAAAGTAATAGCTAGAATAGAAGAAAGAAAAGTCCCCAAAAATGTAACCTTAAAATTTGGCACCTGTGCCACTATTAATAGTAAACAGCATAGGATAAGATGCAGTTCTCTAGATTAGGAAAAAATTACACAGAAGAAAATAAGTTTATCTGTCAAGAATAATATTTATGTAAGATATGTCAATACTGGTCTTGTGTCATTTAGGCTACTTAGAAAAAAGATTAAAAAGATCCTGTTTAGCTCCAAAAAAGAAAAGTTCAGCCCCTCCAGCATGAGTAGGAGCTGCAACCCTTTGGAATTGATAATCATAAACCCCTCAGACCTGAAGTGAAATAAAAGAGAATATGTAACATTAGGCATTGATAGAAAAAGATTAGATCCTATTGGAAGTATCCTAATGAAAGGAGAGGTTCAAAAATGTTCTCCAGAACCAATATTTCAGACTTTCTATGATGAACTAAATTTGCCAGTACCTGAGATTCCAGAAAAAACTAACAATTTGTTTTTGCAATTAGCTGAACATGTAGCCCAGTCTCTACAAGTCACTTCATGTTATGTTTCTAGAAGGACCATAACAGGAGATCAATGGCCATAGGAAGCTCTAGAATTGGTTCCTACAGACCCAGTTCCTGAATTCCTAGCCCAAAAGAACCACCCTGACAATTTTAAGTTCTAAAAGTCTCAATTATTAGACAGTGTTGCATAGCTAGAGAAGGAAAAAAATTTATTCATCCTGTAAGGCGGCTTAGTTGTCTTAGGCAAAAACTGTATACTAGTACCACAAAAACAGTTACATAGTAGAGTTCCAATTACATAGAAAGAAGTCCATTCAATACATTTCCAAAGTTGCAGACTGTTTAGGCCCATCCAGAATTCCACCAAGACTGGACAGTCCCCACCAGGTTATACTGAATATGTAGATACAAAGCTTATGCTAAGCTGCCTGACCAGTAGGCAGGTAGCTGTGTAATTGGCACCATTAAGCCATCTTTCTTCTTACTGCCCATAAAAACAGGTGAAATTCTAGGCTTCCTAGTCTATGCTTCCCAGGAAAAACAAA
Source organism: Homo sapiens (assembly GCF_000001405.40). Lineage (NCBI taxonomy): Eukaryota > Metazoa > Chordata > Mammalia > Primates > Hominidae > Homo > Homo sapiens. The sequence continues at coordinate 16,839,092 of NC_000024.10, forward strand.
GCATAGCTATAGGTGATTAGAAAGATGATGAATGTCCCCCTGAAAGAATCATACAATACTATGGACCCACCACTTAGGCACAAGATGGCTCATGAGGATATCAAACCTACATCTACATGCTCAACCGAATCATATGGTTACGAGCTGTTTTAGAAATTATTACTAATAAAACTGGTCAAGCCTTGACTGTTCTTGCCCAGCAAGAAACTCAAATGATAAATGCTATCTATCAAAATAGACTAGCTCTTGACTATTTGCTAGCAGCTAAAGGAAGAGTTTGTAGAAAATTCAACCTTACTAATTGTTGTCTACACATAGATGATCAAGGACAAGTAGTTAAAGATATGATTAAAGATACAACAAAACTGGCCCATGTACCCATGCAAGTGTGGCACAGACTCAATCCAGGAGCCATGTTTAGAAATTAGTTCCTGGCCACAACAGTGGCTCAAGCCTGTAATCCCAGCATTTTGGGAGGCCAAGGTGGGCAGATCACAAGATCAGGAGATCAAGAGCATCCTGGCTAACACGGTGAAACCCCATCTCTACTAAAAATACAAAAAATTAGCCAGGAGTGGTGGTGGGCACCTGCAGTCCCAGTTACTCAGGAGGCTGAGGCAGGAGAATGTTGTGAACCTGGGAGGCGGAGCTTGCAGTGAGCCGAGATTGCACCACTGCACTCCAGCCTGGGCGATAGAGCAGGACTCTGTCTCAAAAAAATAAATAAATAAAAAATAATAAATAAATAAATAAAAATAAAAGAAATTAGTTCCCAGAAAACAAAGATTTAAAACTCCTTTAATAGGAGTAATAATAATAATAAGAACCTGCTTACTGCTCCCTTGTCTGATACCCGTATTTCTCCAAATAATAAAAAACTTCATCACTACCTTAGTTCACCAAAAGGCTTCAGCACAAGCATACTATATAAATCACTATCAGTTGATTACACAGGAAAACATAAATAATAAAAGTGAAAGCTCGCACTAATAAAAATTAGTGAAAGTCTCAAAGAGGGGAAATGAGAAGAGAGAAAGACCCTCTTGCATTGTTTTATATTGTTTCATATTCAGTAAAAACAACAAGGAAGTAAAACCAAAGACCCGCAGCCCAGTGACCGCCCGAAACCAGGCCTGGGCCCACCTGGCCTAAACCCAGTAGTTAAAAATCAACTTATGATTTAGAAGCTGATGTTATTCATAAATTCCTTACATTGTGTAAAAGAACATTGTGAGACTCCCTGCCCTGTTCTGATCCTCCCTGACCACCAGTGCAAGCAGCCCCTGTCATGTACCCCTTGCTTGCTCAAATCAATCACGACCCTTTCATGTGAAATCTTTAGTGTTGTGAGTCCTTAAAAAGGACAGAAATTGTGCACTCAGGGAGCTTGGATTTTAAGGCAGTAGCTTGCTGATGCTCCCAGCTGAATAAAGCCCTTCCTTCTACAACTAGGTGTCTGAGAAGTTTTGTCTGCAGCTCATCCTGCTACAGTATGTTTGAAAGGATTACAATAGCTCAACAATAAAAATAATTACCTCTATTCTATTCTAAGAGAAAAATCAGGGCTGGGCACAGTGGCTGATGACTGTAATCCTAGTATTTTGGGAGACTGATATAGGAGGATCACTTGAGCCTGGGATTTCCAGACCAGCCTGAGCAAATAAGAGACGCCCCCATATCTACCAAAATATTAGCAAATTAGCTGATGTGGTGGTGCATGTCTGTAGTCCTTGCTGCTCCAGAGGCTGAGGTGTGAAGATTGGTTGAGCTCAGCATTTCCAGGCTGCAGAGAACTCTGTTTGTCCCACTGCACCCAAGGCTGCATTACTGTAACTCTAAAAAGAAAGAAAGGAGGAAAGAAAGGAAAAATAGAAGGAAGAAGGGAAGGAAGCAAGGAAGGAAGGAAGGAATGAGGGACGGAGGTAGAGTAAAGAAGGAGAGAAAGGAAGGAAGGAAAGAAGGAAGGAAGGGAGGAAGGAAGGAAGGAAGAGAGGGAGTGAGGGAGGGGAAAGTGAGGGAAGGGAAGAAAGAAAAAGAAAGAAAGAAAGAGAGAAAGGAAGGAAGGAAGGGGGGGAGGGAGGGAGGGAAGGGGGGGGAGAAATTTTCTTATTGGACTAGAATTATGCAAATGATTTGCTAATTTTATATATATAGTGATAGTGATAGGCTTTGTATTTATATATGAACATAGCATTATTTTAATACAATATGTTAAGCAGGTTAACATATTTTTATATAAACAACAGACATATAGAATATATTATACCTTTTCATTACCTTATTAAACTCTCTATTATTCAATTGATTGCCAGTAAATTCCAGTCAATTTGGCAAGGAAAATATTCTATACATAGATATCAAATATATATAGGTATTCTATACATAATATTCTGTATATAGATATAGAATCTTCACAGATTTGGAAAAAAGTTCAATAAATATTTGGAAAATGTAGATTTCTGATAAAGCTCTAGGATTAATAAAATACTGTATGGGCAGGGCATAGTGGCTTATACCTGTAATCCCAACACTTTGAGAGGCAGAGGCATGTGGATTATGAAGTCAGGAGCTGGAGACAGGCCTGTCCTGGTTGGGGAGGAGATAACATCATAGGAAATTTAAGCTGTCCTCTGAGTCACTTCTGGGTGGGGCCATAGGAGCAGGGTTGGCAGTGGAGGTGCAGTCATGTGTGTCAGACATGCAAAAATCCTGGAAAGATATTTCAAAAGGCCATTCTTAAGTTGTACAATAGTGATGTTATTCACAGGCATAATGTTGCATATCTTATAAACTCTGGAATATTGTCTGACAATCATTTATGTCTGACAATCATTTATGTCTGTACCTTAGTAAAACTCCAGGGCTTCTCTCCTAACCCCAGCCTGATGGCCTGCCATTAGCTTTACAAAAGCAGTTGAGTTTCAGGGCAAGACTGTTATCATTTAAGCTACACCTTAAATATCTTTCCAAGTTAGCTTGGCCCAACAGTCCAGGAATAATTAAGAAAAAGGCAAGATGGGGGGTGACTCAGCTTAGTTTAGTGTTATAATTCTGTCTTCTGCTACAGTGTTTTGCATTTCATATGTTTTCATAATACTGTGGCCGAGGCATAGATATAGATATAGATAGATGATATAGATATAGATAGAGGATATAGATATAGATTAGATATAGATACAGATACCTGTACAGAATGATTGCTAGTTTGGATAAGCATGTTGTCCCACTAAAATTGAAATTTGATAGATGCTTTTCCTACTCTGATTTTTAATTAGGGATGATTAAATATGTTTTTATTTGAAATCTGGCTTCTGAGAAAGGTTGTGAGAAAGAAATAAATCTTGTGGTCCTAACTTCACTAAGCTAAAGGGAAAAGTCAAGCAAGGAATGAGGTCATGCAAACCTGCCTCCCCTTTTGGTTCCTAAGATGGCTACAACATGAAAAGCTATATACCTCTCCCATATTTTTCCCACAAGGAAATTTGTAGTGAGCTCCAAGATCTTTACCCTAAGATGTTTCTGTTAAAATTTCACCATGGTGATATAAATTGATAGTTGATCTTTACAGGCCCAGTCACCCTGCTGCCCACCAGACAAAAAATGCATATCTGATTGCTTCCATGCCCCATTTTGTCTATGTTATGCAGAGTGCAGATTCCCTGCACTTTTTGCTCTGTGCCATTTGTCTACATTATCTTATCTTTTAAAAAATGCAGATTCACTGAGCCAAAGACATAAATAACTATTTTTCCCTATCCCCCCTTATATGTAAATTGTATACTTCTCAATATCATGCCATTTCCTCTTTAAATTTGGAGCCCTCAAAATCATCTTCAGAGAAAAGAATATAGACCTATCTCCTGGGCATACATTCTTAATTTTGGAAAATAAACCCCTAAAATGATTGAGATTTGTCTCATCATTTTTCTTGATTGATAGTAGTAATGGAGATAGTAAACGTTAGTTAGAACCTCTAGCTGAAAAGACAGATCTGTTTCTTGTGACTGTGTCCCTGAAAATGCAAAATGAATCCTTTATTGATGTGGTGAAATTAAATTTAGTTTATACACAGTGACTTTTACAAAACTATGAAGGTTCTGAGTCACCTGCAATTGTTTCTTTTCATTTTCCAATTCACCCTCTCAGTCCTGACAACACTGTTTACCATCAAAATAAAATGCTTCTGTTTGTAAATAAACTATACATTAGAAAAAGAAGAAATAAAATGATTGTTGTTTCCAGTTTCAGAAATCTACGTTTGCTATTACTGCATCTTATTTATAATGTCTCTTTATCACTATCTTTGCTTTTGATTCTCTTTGAATTCCTGCACCTCACTCCTGCAAAAAAGTGGTATAATATAGAGAATATAAGGAAGTAAGAATGCTTTTTGGGATTAGGGAGGAATTTGATTAGATGAATTAATGTTGTTTGTCTTATTCATATGTCTTAAGACTTTTTTAAGAAAAATCTTTAAAATATCTGCTTAAAATTTATTTTTTGTGTAGATGAAGATTTTTCACAGTGGCTAGTCATTTTTTTCCCTTAAAAGTAGAGGGCTGACCAGACATGGTAGCTCACACCTGTAGCCCCAGCAGTTTGGGAAGCCATGGCAGGTGAATCATGAGTTCAGGAGATTGAGACCATCCAGGCCAACATTGTGAAGCTCCATCTCTACTAAAAATACAAAAATTAGCTGGGCACGGTGGGGTGCACCTGTAATCCCAGCAGCTCGGGAGGCTGAGGCAGGGGAATCCCTTCAACCTGGGAGGCTCAGGTTGCAATAAGCCAACATTGTGCCACTGCACTCCAAGCTGACAACACAGCAAGACTTGTATCAAAAAGAAGAAAAAAAAAGTAGAGAGCTATATTTGATGCAACTTGCTAAAAAAAAAATAAAAATGTGTTTTTTTAAAAAAATGAAAGATGACGTTTGAATATGTGCCCTGCACAAAGGGGAGCTTGCAACATAATTAATTATCAGGGAAATGCAAATTAAAACCACAATGTGATACAACCTAATGCCAGCAAGAATGACCATAATCAAAAAATCCAAAAATAATGGATGTTGGCATGGATGTGGTGAAAAGGGAACACTTTTCCACTGTTGGTAGGAATGTAAACTAGTACAACCTACTATGGAAAACAGCATGGAGTTTCCTTAAATCCCTAAAAGTGGATCTACTTAATCCAGCAGTCCCACTCCAGAGTATCTACCCAGAGGAAAAGAAGTCGTTACGTAAAAAAGATACTTGCACATGCATGTTTATGGTAGCAAAATTTATAATTGCAAAAATGTGGAACCAGCCCAAATGCTCATCAATCAACAAATGGATTAAAAAAACATGATAGGTATATATGATGGAATACTACACAGCTGTAAAAAGGAATGAAATAATGGCATTGGCAACAACCTGGATGGCACTGGATAATATTACTCTAAGTGAAGTAACTCAGAAATGGAAAATCAAACATTGTGTGTTCTCACTCATAATTGGCAGCAAAGCTATGAAGACACAAGGGTATAAGAATGAAATAATGGACTCTGGGGATTGTGGGGAAAGTGTGGGAGATAGTGAGGGATAAAAGCATACACATCTGGCACAGTATACAGTGTTCATTTGGGTACACCAAAATCTCAGAAATCACCGTTAACAAACTTATTTACGTAACCAAACACCAACTTGTTCCCCAAAAACATGTTGAAATGAAAATAAAAGAATAGAAGAGTTTGGATTGTATTTGGTTATTTACACTGGCAGAATAGAAAAGAAAGATTTGGAAGCAGAAGTTTCTCCAGAGAATCAATTTATTTTTATATTTTTTAAAAGGTGATTCTGTGATTTATATATATAGATATATACATGCATATATACATGCACATGGATCTATACATGAGCATACATTTATATAGGTCGACAGGCATGTGTGCATGTCTTTTTCCCCTAAGTTGCCTATAAAAATATGATATAAAGGGAACTCTGAATTAAATTTTTGTGGTGCTAAATATAGCATGGGATAATATGAATGTTGTTGTCATGTTGACCACAAAAATAAAAGCACAGAAGATTTCTATGGAGGGATTATCTCCGAAGAATTAGAGTTACCAACTCTCAGAAGGCAAATTATGTTGAAATATTGCTTTTCTAATATTACTGCTAACTGGTTCATTTTCTTCTTACAGTTAAAAGCTTTTCTAAATGTGATATGCTAGTTGAAAATAATTGCTAATAATGCTAATTCAAACACTGGAATTCATAGGACTGGAAAAAATCCTTGACTTAAACTGAATTAAGACAAATAAGTAAACCAAGCTTCTTGCTTTGAAGATTTTCACAGCCTGTGATCATAGATCCATGCAACTAAAAGTCTCTAACTTCTGCAATAGAAACCTCAATGTAGGGCAGATAAAGAGAGTAAAAGGAGCAATTAAGTTTACTTAATACTGAGATGGGCTTCATGGAAGTACAGGAATTAAGGGCCATCATTTACAGTTTGTTTTAGATAGAGAATGCAGGGATTTGTTTTCTGAGCAGACTCTGGCTAGTCATGTTTGATATGTTGCAGACATAGGTAGATGTTTGAGATATTGAATAAGCTGTTTGAGCATCAGCCATGTACAGTTGCTTAAAAAGACAATGAAGCAATTATTTCTGGAGTCTACGATTCTCACTCTTCTCTCCCAATTTAGTCATGGCATAAGTAATAGAGACACATGGACTTCTGAAACATGGTCATTGTATGATTCACACCCTTGTGTCATTGTTCCTGTGCAATGACACTGATTTTTTTTTCATTATTTCAATAGTTTGGGGAAAACAGATGGTGTTTGGTTACATGGATAAGTTCTTGAGTAATGATTTCTGAGATGTTGGTGCACCCATAAACCAAACAATGTACCCTGAACCCAATGTGTAGTAGTTTCTTATCCATCACCCCTCTCCCTCCCTTCCCCCTGAATCACCAGAGTTCACTGTGTCATTTTTACACCTTTGCATCTTCATAGCTTAGCACCCACTTGTGAAAACATATGGTATTTGGCCACACACCATGGTAATGAAAATGTGAGATAGATAGATAGATAGATAGATAGATAGATAGATAGATAGATTAGATAGATAGGCAAATTTTCTTCCTATGATGGGTATTTGGGCTGGTTTTATATTTTTGCAATTGCGAACTGTGCTGCTTTAAACATGCATGCGCAAGTGTCTTTTTCATATAATTATTTCTTTTCCTCTGGGTAGATACTCAGTAGTGGGATTGCTGAATCAAATGGTAGTTCTCCTTATAGTTCCTCAAGGAATTTGCATACCGTTTTCCATAGTGATTGCATTAGTTTACATTTCCATCAGCAGTGTAAAAATGCACTGATATAATTATATGTTAATGGTCTAAAGATGTCAGACATCTGAGTTAATCCCACATGATAGACAGTTAGAAGATTCCCCAACCTCTTCTATTAAATTGGAGCAGAAAACAAAAAAAGGTAAATCTTAATAGATGAGCTATTTTATAGGCATGCCAAACCAGCAGGCAAAAATTGGGCATGTAAGAAGTTGAATTCTCTCATCTGTCTTCACTTTTCACTCTAGCAGCCCCGTTCATTCTTTAGTTATGGGATCATATGCTCATATTTGCATTTGTAAATGACAAGTGGCTTCCTTGTGACCTTACTGTAATTCAGAGCCTTCAAATTCCCAGTTCACAATATGTCACATAATAATGAAGGGATACCCTTAAATTATGCTTGTAGATATTTTAACATTGTATACATTCTAGTAACAATACTTCCTTTTTTTAGGTTGTTTTTTTAAATCTTCTGTCTAACTCTCATTTGTTTTCACCCTCTTACATTCTTTTCATCCTGGTCAGAGTTAAGTTCATAAACACCGGACTGTTAACACATCTCCAATATCCACCAAGAACAGAAGCTTTAGTGGACATGTTTCCATGTGTTTTTGATAAAGATAACATTACTATATTTAAAAAAAATATTGCTAGGGAGGCCGAGGCGGGCGGATCACGAGGTCAGGAGATCGAGACCATCCCGGCTAAAACGGTGAAACCCCGTCTCTACTAAAACTACAAAAAATAGCCGGGCGTAGTGGCGGGCGCCTGTAATCCTAGCTACTTGGGAGGCTGAGGCAGGAGAATGGCGTGAACCCGGGAGGCGGAGCTTGCAGTGAGCCGAGATCCCGCCACTGCACTCCAGCCTGGGCGACAGAGCGAGACTCCGTCTCAAAAAAAAAAAAAAAAAAAAAAAAAAATATTGCTCAAGCAGGAATCTTTGACTAGGCCCTGTAAGTAGGACAGTAGGATGGATTAAAAAAAAAAAAAAAAAAAAAAACTGGGTATGTAATTATTTTATTTTCTCTTTAAAAAAACTAAAATAATAATTGTATTACCTTAAATATCAGACAAAGGAATAATATATACTAAAGGCACAGAAAAATGAGCATATAATTAAAATAAAAAACCTTTGAATTTGGTTTGTTCTAAACAGCTATATTGGAAAGAAACATCACAAATAGAAATGTTTGGATAGTGAATTAAAGCACAAAATTAAAAGGAACATGAGTTTACCAACATCACAGAGTGTTCAGTGGAATTTCTTCATATTTTTCATTTTCTCATCTTGTAGCAACTTTGCTAAACTGTGAAAACATTATATGTAGGAACTAACCATTTCTGTCTTTGAACCACCTTGAGACTCAATAAATTTCTCTCATTTCTGCATAGCGATACATCACAACAATTTTTACTTTGAAGAATCATGATTGCTATAAACTGAAATAATGGAAAGAGACATTTGCTCTCTTTATATTCTATATATGATTCTATATATCTTTTATCTATATAATTATATATATTGATTCTATATATCTCAATTTAAAGAGTGTTATAATTCTTAGTGGAAAGATGAGATTAACATTGTCTAATTACATGTACTTTACAAAGAGAAGAAACCCAATAAGCAACTTAATCAAGTCATCAAGTTTAAAATTTTAGCAGTGAGATACCCTGAGAAGGACAAAGTATGACTCCTGTGGTAATAGCACCAAAAATTTGTAATATCAAGGGGATCACTTACAACCTGCCAATGGAAGTGAAAATTATTTAAAACTTGCATACCTCTACTGAAATTGAAAATGGTTAACACATACCATAACAGTCTGTAATTTTGGTTCTAGGCATGTAACCTAAAGACAATTTTTCTTATGGTGTGCCAAGTGGATAAATAAGATAAGGTTCATTCATGACAACTGTGTTGATATATTATGAAGAGTAAATCAGTCAAGATTTTTACCCAGAGCGGAATGTGCAATACAATGCAATAAAATCAAGCGGTTGAAATAATGGACATTAGCTATTATAATAACACTGATAGATGTAAAACACTTTGCATAAAAAGTAGGAAAAACAAACCCATATCCCTAGTATATAATTTATATAAAGTTTATAACGTCTGCATCCCTTGGGGATATACAATTTTAATATAAAACTGTAATACCTGAATGGGCAGAATCCACAACAAAGCTATGTTGTTGGTTGCTCTTTGTGAGGGTGTTAGATTGTAATGAGATGGAGAAGGCTTGGAAAGTAGAAAAGACAAGAAATTTATAATTGATATTCTGTTTATTTTTATTTTGTAAGACTGAAAAAGATTTACCTGCAGCATTTATCATTAATAGTTGTTCATGTGTTTACAGTGCTGATATAGACATACACACATATATTTATGCTAGAATCAGCTCATTGTCAATTGAAAATACTTTGAAAGTGCAAAAAAAATTCAAGTGTTTGCACATCTACATGAAATATCACATGACCTGTTCAGAAAAATGAAGCAGCTACTGTGTAGATGTGTTTTTCCTTCATGCTAGGTGCTTTGTGACACACTTTGCATGCATGTTTCCCTTTAACTGCCATGATTAGTCTTGGAAGTGTGTGCTATTAACTGTATGTAGCCCAAGCCATATAGAGTTCACGTAAGTATTGGATTGTTAGAGAGGAGTCAGAATTTGGAGACAAGTACCTGTACTCCTCCTAGCTACACTACATTGACATCGTTTTTCAGAATTTTAAAGTCTTGCTTCTCAGTAGGTTGAGTTTGAAGGATTGTCACCGAGAGAAAACAAAAGCAAAAACTAGGAGCAGTAGAGAAACAACAACTAACTGAATGTAACCCTTCTCAATGAAAAAGGAGTGGAATTAGCCTGGCTTGTATCATATTCCTACATGGGAAGACTGTTCAGATGCCACTGCTTGGCACAGAATCATAACAGCACTGATCTCATTGCCTCTTCTGTGTTAGGTATCAAGACATAACAGAGTTATAAGAGGCTGAGATTTAAATGCAAACATTAACAAAGATATGATGAAATGAAGTGGGCAGCAATTGTAAATAAACACACTCATAAAAACTGAGAGCCTATGTATGTCCCTAAAACATTCACAAATAGAGTGGTCACTTATATTCTTCAACCCAATTTACCCCACCATAAAATTGGCTTTTTTTATTCCAAAGCTGCTTCTCAACAAAGACAAATTCCTTTATAATTTTTGTTCTGCCTCTTCTATTTTGCACACTACTCTTGTTGTTGCTGTTGCTTCTGGATTTGCTTTGTTTTTATGATAAGTTAATTACCCTCTTGTTTTAAGCATGATATACTTATTGCAAAGTATACTACAATAAGTATACTTTTATACTTACTATGATACTTATTTTTATACTTTTCATTCTTATGCTGAATAAAGTTAGACTTTGATGAAAACACGTTTTCATTATCATTTATTTAGCCCTTTCATTTTTTAATTAAAAACTTGAAATTAAAGTTTAATTTTAATTTGAAAATTTACTTCAAAAAGTAATGTATTTTAGGACCAACTTTCCATGACATGTTATTGTGAAGACCTTTTCTCTACTATAATTTTTTCCAAATTTATATAAGAAAATATACATATCATCTTATTCATTTTTTAGTGTACAGTTCAGTGATATTAAATACTTTCTTAATGTTGTAGAAGCATAATGACCATTCATATTCAGAGTGTTTTCTTCTACCCAAACTAAAATTCTGTCCCCATTAAACATTATTTCACTATTTCTCCCTTCCCAATCCCGAGGTGTTCAACATCCTGTGACAGGTTGGGTGTCACTAAAGCAGGTCTCCCTAACAACATTTTCAGCACTGATTGAATGGTGAAGTTACATATTAAAAGCTGAAACAACAAATGCTCTTATGCAAAGGCTGGAATGTAACAAAAGCCCACCAAGAGCTTTGCCCAGGCTTCTCCAGGGCCTTGAAGCATAACAAGGAATTCTTAACAGGTCCTGTTAAGGAATTCTTAACAGGACCCATTTAGGATGGAACAAGTTTTATTGGGGGTCAGAAGAAAATCCCCAGACCTCCACAAACAAGCTTTATTTGAAACTAAAGGAATTCCCCAAACTTCCACAATTTAGCAGGAGACTAGATAAAGGTAATTACCCTAGCACCTGGGCCCATTTAGATTAAGGAAATTTACTGATGCTGCAGAGGAAGGTCTTCAGGACTCAGACCTTATTTGTAGATTAGAAGTTAATCGCTTATGTCTTTAAGTGCACACACACTTACATGTAGAGATATAGCTTAGAAGGTACAGAAGCTCTGGAAGACTTTGTAATTTTGAACTGGCCTGGTGATAATTTCCAGGACTTCTCACTGTGACCAGATACAGAAATAAAAATTCTCTTCCTCCTCAGTGAATCTGCATCTTGTTTTTCGTCCACAGGAAGAAGCAGCCCCACCCTCAGTTTGGTTCGGGAACAATTCTACTTTCTGTCTCCATGAATTTGACTACACTTGTGACCTCACAAAACTGGAATTATACAGTATTTATCATTTTGTTCCTGGCTTTTTTCACTGAGCATAAAGTCTTCAAGGTTCTTCCATGTTGTAGCCTGTGTTAGGATTTCCTCCCTTCTATGGCTAATAACACTTTGTATGAATATGCTATACTTTGTTTATCCATGCATCCACAATGGACACTTAGTTTGCTTCCACCCTTTCACTACTCTGAATAATGATACTATGAACATGGGAACAAATATTTCTTAGAGACATTGCTTTCTATTCTTTTGGATATTTACACAGAAATGCAATTGCAGAATCATATGGTAGTTCTGTTATAAAGTTTTTTAGGAAGGACCATACTGTTTTTCACAGCAGCCTTACCATTTTACAATCCCACCAACAGTGCACAAGTCTTTCAGTTTCCCCACATCCTGTCCAACACTTGTTATTTTCTGTTTTTTGAAATTATGCTTATCCCAATAAGTGTGTCAATACCTTTATTTCTAAAGATATATTTTACCCCAGGCATGGTAGCTCATGCCTGTAATCCCAGAACTTTGGGAGGCGGAGGCAGGCAGATCACTGGAGATCAGGAGTTTGATACCAGCATGGCCAATATGGCAAAATCCTGTCTCTACTATAAATAAGAAAAAAATGGTCAAATATGGTGGTATGCACCTGTAATTACAGCTACTCTGGAGGCTGAGGCATGAGAATCACTTGAACCAGGGAGGTGGAAGTTGCAGTGATCTGAGATCTTGCCACTGTACTCCATCCAGCCTGGGCAACAGAGTGACACTCCATTTCATAAAATAAAATAAAATAAAATAAAATAAGAGAAGATATATTTTAATTTTGTTGTAACAACTTTCATTCACATCTGTGTGAAGAGACCACCAAATAGACTCTGTGTGAGCAGTAAAGCTTTTTAATCACCTAGGTGCAGGTGGGCTGAGTCCAAGGGAGATAGGGGTGGGGCCGTTTTATAAGATTTGGGTGGGTAGTGGAAAATTACAGTTAAAGGGGGTTTTTCTCTGGCAGGCAGGGGCAGGGGTCACAAGGTGCTTAGTGGCGGAACTTTTGAGCCAGGATGAGCCAGGAGAAGGAATTTCACAAGGTAATCTCATCAGTTAAGTCAGGAAACAGCCATTTTCACTCCTTTTGTGGTGGAATGTCATCAGCTAAGGCATGAACAGGCCATTTTCACTTCTTTTCTTATTCTTCAGTTATGTCAGGCTATCTGGATATATACGTGCAGGTCACAGGGAATATGATGGCTTAGCGTGGGCTCAGAGGCCTGACAACCACCTTCTGCCTTCCTCCCTGAAGTATGGACTCTGTGTGTGTGTGTGTGTGTGTATGTGTGTATGTGTGTGTATCTGTGTGTGTGTGGTGTGTGTGTCTATGTGTTTACAACTTGATGTGAGGCAGAATAAAAAGAGCAAGTTTTCGTATATTTATCTTTTAATCCATGAAACTACCAACTAAGTTTACTTTCTCCAACTGTAGATATAGAAAGCACTAATGTTTAACAATTTCAGGCTCATTTTCATGTAGCCTAAACCCATATTTAGGGAGAGAAGTCCAGAACGTACTAGAGATAACTGACATATTTTGTTGTTGGAATTGCTACCTATTCTTGCTGCAAAGTTGTTATAAAATTTTCTCGCCTAGAGTCTCCTTCATTCCAGCAATTCAGAGAAGCTGGATAAAATTGTATCTCATGAGGACAGATGTCATTAGAAATGCACAGGCTTTTGTCTAAATTTGGCTTTCATTCATTCTTTCATCAAATATTTATTGAGTCTATACTATATTCCAGTTGCTTGGCATAAGAGTAAAGTTGTGAAGCTGTGCAGCAGAATTAATGCCACCTTCTTCCTGCTCCCACAAAGGTGCACATCCTGCCTTTCATTCCTTCAAACTCAAGAGGGTTTGTACTACACAGTGCATGGTTCACCACACAATAGGCAATGTGGAGCACTGGTGTAAAGCTGACTGGAAGTAAGAGGCTTTGATGAGTGATCTAATGGAGGATGTTTATTTCCTGCTTAATTGAAATACTGAGACCAAGCAACTCTGGCACACCTTGCAGAGGAAAAAACAAACAAACAAACAAAGAACATGAAGATGCTATGGTCTGGGTGGAGTACCTCAGGCCTGTTATCACAGTGCTTTAGGAGGCTGAGAAGGGAGGATCACTTGAGCCCAAGAGTTCAGCACTAGCCTGGGTGGTAGCCTAGGGAGACTCTGTCTCTACAAAAACTAAATAATAATAACAATAATTAGATGGGCATGGTGGCACATGTCTGTATTCCCAGCTACTTGAGAGGCTAAGGCAGGAGAAACACTTGAGCCCAGAAGTTGGAGGCTGTGGTGAGCCACTACTGCACTCCAGCCTGGGTGACACAGGCTGTCACTCAGACTCGTTCTCAAAAAAAGTGTACATATATACAATATATACATAATTTAAAAGGTGCTATAGCCAGCTCAAGACGATTAATTCCAATACTCCTCTGTAAGTAAATGTGACTAAAACAATTTCTCAGATTCTCACCCATCTCCTCAGCAGCCAGTCCCTACAACAATTTAGGAAATAGCTGAGCAAAGGCCACATGCCTTAGGTGGTGGAAACAAAATTGAACAATTACACACAACCCCATGCCCTCAAGAGTTTGGGATCCCTTGGAGAGGAAACTCAACATTTGACATTTCAAATATCCACTCATCTTTCAGTCTTCCTAACAGGCATACAGCCTTCTTCTGGGAACTTTTTAAAAGAGTTCATACAAGTGATATTTGCATTTTATTGTAGATTTAACTTGTATGCCTTTTTTTTTTTTTTTTTTTGAGAAGAGGGGGTCTCAATCTGTGATCCAGACTGGATTGCAGTAGCATAATCTTGACTTACTGCAACCTCTGCCTCCCAGGTTCAAGTGATTCATCTGCCTCAGCCTTCTGAGTAGCTGGGATTATAGGCACACACAACCATGTCCAGATAATTTTTGTATTTCAGTAGATATGGTGTTTCACAATGTTGACCAGGCTGGTCTCAAACCCCTGAACTTGACTCATCTGCCCGTCTCAGCCTCCCAAAGTGTTAGGATTACAGGCAGGAACCACTGTACCTGGCCAGTTTGCATTCTTAAAAACTACTGATTTCAAGCCTTCCTTCCTTCCTTCCTTCCTTCCTTCCTTCCTTCCTTCCTTCCTTCCTTCCTGCTTTCCTGTCTTCCTGCCTTCCTCCCTCCCTTCCTCCCCTCCTTCCTCCCTCCCTCCATAACTCCCTCCCCTTCCTTCCCCTCCCCCCTCCTTCCTTCCTTCCTTCATTCCTTCCTTCCTTCCATTCTCTCTCTTTCTTTCTCTTTCTCTCCTTCCTTCCTTCCTTCCTTCCTTCCTTCCTTCCTTCCTTCCTTCCTTCCCTCCATCCTTCCTGTTTGACAGTGTCTCTCTCTGTTGCCCAGGCTAGAGTGCAGTGGCATGATATTGGTGCACTGCAACTTCTGCCTCCTGGGGTTCAAGCAATTTTCCTGCATCAGCCAAGTGAGTAGTTGGGATAACAAATGCCCGCCAACATGCCTGGCTAATTTTTGTGTTTTTTTTAGAGACAGGGTTCTTGAACTCTTTACCTCAAGTGATCTGCATACCTTGGCTTTGCAAATCACTGGGATTACAAGTGTGAGCCATAGCACCTTGATGATGTTAAGTATCTTTACATATCCATAGGCACAGGTGTTTCTCACAGCTTACAGGCTATCAGAGGAATATAAGTGTTTCACATACATACGTGACATTTATTTTCATGGTTGCCTCTTTGGGCAGATTTTTAAAAGTAAAACGATTCCTCATTGGATACTTAAAACATCTCTTTCTGCCATTCTTCTCCAAGAAGCAGTAATTATCTTCCATATGTACAGCCTAGCATTTTATAATTGTACTAAATGTGAGTATATCCATAAAACTTTAGTAGATTTTATGATATTAGAATCTATAAATAATGCAAAGACTTCAACTCATAGGTTTTTAAGAAATATTCACATTGTTTTTGGTTCTGTTTATATGCTGGATTACATTTATTGATTTGTGTATATTGAACCAGCCTTGCATCCCAGGGATGAGGCCCACTTGATCATAGTGGATAAGCTTTTTGATGTGCTGCTGGATTCGGTTTGCCAGTATTTTATTGAGGATTTTTCCATCAATGTTCATCAAGGATATTGGTCTAAAATTCTCTTTTTTGGTTGTGTCTCTGCCCGGGTTTGGTATCAGGATGATGCTGGCCTCATAAAATGAGTTAGGGAGGATTCCCTCTTTTTCTATTGATTAGAATAGTTTCAGAAGGAATGGTAGCAGTTCCTCCTTGTACCTTTGGTAGAATTTGGCTGTGAATCCATCTGGTCCTGGACTCTTTGTGGTTGGTAAGCTATTGATTATTGCCACAATTTCAGATCCTGTTATTGGTCTGTTCAGAGATTCAACTTCTTCCTGGTTTAGTCTTGGGAGAGTGTATGTGTTGAGGAATTTATCCATTTCTTCTAGATTTTCTAGTTCATTTGTCTAGAGGTGTTTGTAATAATCTCTGATGGTAGTTTGTATTTCTGTGGGATTGGTGGTGATATCCCCTTTATCATTTTTTATTGCATCTATTTGATTCTTCTCTCTTTTTTTCTTTACTAGTCTTGCTAGAGGTCTGTCAAGTTTGTTGATCCTTTCAAAAAACCAGCTCCTGGATTCATTAATTTTTTGAAGGGTTTTCTGTGTCTCTATTTCCTTCAGTTCTGCTCTGATTTTAGTTATTTCTTGCCTTCTGCTAGCTTTTGAATGTGTTTGCTCTTGCTTTTCTAGTTCTTTTAACTGTGATGTTAGGGTGTCAACTTTGGATCTTTCCTGCTTCCTCTTATGGGCATTTGTTGCTATAAATTTCCCTCTACACACTGCTTTGAATGTGTCCCAGAGATTCTGGTATGTTGTGTCTTTGTTCTCGTTGGTTTCAAAGAACATCTTTATTTCTGCCTTCATTTCGTTATGTACCCAGTAGTCGTTCAGGAGCAGGTTGTTTGGTTTCCACGTAGTTGAGCAGTTTTGAGTGAGATTCTTAATCCTGAATTCTAGTTTGATTGCACTGTGGTCTGAGAGATAGTTTGTTATAATTTCTGTTCTTTTACATTTGCTGAGGAGAGGTTTACTTCCAAGTATGGGGTCAATTTTGGAATAGGTGTGGTGTGATGCTGAAAAAAATGTTTATTCTGTTGATTTGGGGTGGAGAGTTCTGTAGATGTCTATTAGGTCCACTTGGTGCAGAGCTGAGTTCAATTCCTGGATGTCCTTGTTAACTTTCTGTCTCGTTGACCTGTCTAATGTTGACAGTGGGGTGTTAAAGTCTCCCATTATTAATGTGTGGGGATCTAAGTCTCTTTGTAGGTCACTCAGGACTTGCTTTATGAATCTGGGTGCTCCTGTATTGGGTGCATATGTATTTAGGATAGTTAGCTCTTCTTGTTGAATTGATCCCTTTACCATTAAGTAATGACCTTCTTTGTCTCTTTTGATCTTTGTTGGTTTAAAGTCTGTTTTATCAGAGACTAGGATTGAAACCCCTGCCTTTTTTTGTTTTCCATTTGCTTGGTAGATCTTCCAGCATCTTTCTAGTATGAGTGTATGTTTGTCTCTGCACATTAGATGGGTTTCCTGAATACAGCATACTGATGGGTCTTGACTCTTTATCCAATTTTCCAGTCTGTGTCTTTTAATTGGAGAATTTAGTCCATTTACATTTAAAGTTAATATTGTTATGTGTGAATTTTATCCTGTCATTATGATGTTGGTTGGTTATTTTGCTCGTTACTTGATGCAGTTTCTTCCTAGTCTCAGTGGCCTTTACATTTTGGCATGATTTTGCAGCGGCTGGTACCGGTTGTTCCTTTCCATGTTTAGTGCTTCCTTCAGGAGCTATTTAAGTCAGGCCTGGTGGTGACAAAATTTCTCAGCATTAGCTTCTCTGTAAAGTATTTTATTTCTCCTTCACTTATGAAGCTTAGTTTGGCTGGATATGAAATTCTGCACTGAAAATTCTTTTCTTTAAGAATGTTGAATATCAGCCCCCACTCTCTTCTGGCTTGTAGAGTTTCTGCTGAGAGATCCGCTGTTAGTCTGATGGGCTTCCCTTTGTGGGTAACCTGACCTTTCTCTCTGGCGGCCCTTAACATTTTTTCCTTCATTTCAACTTTGGTGAATCTGACAATTATGTGTCTTGGAGTTGCTCTTCTCGAGGAATATCTTTGTGGTGTTTTCCGTATTTCCTGAATCTGAATGTTGGCCTGCCTTGCTAGATTGGGGAAGTTCTCCTGGATGATGTCCTGCAGAGTGTTTTACAACTTGGTTCCATTCTCCCCATCACTTTCAGGTACACCAATCAGAAGTAGATTTGGTCTTTTCACATAGTCCCACATTTCATGGAGGCTTTGTTCATTTCCTTCTATTCTTTTTTCTCTAAACTTCCCTTCTCACTTCATTTCATTCATTTCATCTTCCATCACTGATACCCTTTCTTCCATTTGATCGCATCAGCTCCTGAGGCATCCGCATTCTTCATGTAGTTCTTGAGCCTTGGTTTTCAGCTCCATCAGCTCCTTTAAGCACTTCTCTGTATTGCTTATTCTAGTGATATATTTGTCTAAATTTTTTTCAAAGTTTTTAACTTCTTTGCCTCTGGTGTGAATTTCCTCCTGTAGCTCATAGTTTGATCGACTGAAGCCTTCTTCTCTCAACTCATCAAAGTCATTCTTGATTATCTCAATAGATGCAGAAAAGGCCTTTGGCAAAATTCAGCAAGTCTTCATGCTAAAAACTCTCAATAAGTTACATACTGATGGGACATATCTCAAAATAATAAGAGCTATCTATGACAAACCCACAGCCAATATCATACTGAATGGACAAAAACTGGAAGCATTCCCTTTCAAAACTGGCACAAGACAGGGATGCCCTCTCTCACCACTCCTATTCAACATATTGTTGAAAGTCCTGGCCAGGGCAGTTTGACAGGAGAAGGAAATAAAGAGTATTCAATCAGGAAAAGAAGAAGTCAAATTGTCCCTGTTTGCAGATGACATGATTGTAAATCTGGAAAACCTCATTGTCTCAGCCCAAAATCTCCTTAAGCTGATAAGCAACTTCAGCAAAGTCTCAGGATATAAAATCAATGTACAAAAATCACAAGCAGGCCGGGCGTGGTGGCTCACGCCTGTAATCCCAGCACTTTGGGAGGCCGAGGCGGGTGGATCATGAGGTCAGGAGATCGAGACCATCCTGGCTAACAAGGTGAAACCCCGTCTCTACTAAAAATACAAAAAATTAGCCGGGCGCGGTGGCGGGCACCTGTAGTCCCAGCTACTCGGGAGGCTGAGGCAGGAGAATGGCGTGAACCCGGGAAGAGGAGCTTGCAGTGAGCCGAGATTGCGCCACTGCAGTCCGCAGTCTGGCCTGGGCGACAGAGCGAGACTCCGTCTCAAAAAAAAAAAAAAAAAAAAAAAAAAAATCACAAGCATTCTTATACACCAATAACAGACAAACAGAGAGCCAAACCATGCGTGAACTCCCATTCACAATTGCTTCAAAGAGAATAAAATATCTAGGAATCCACTTTACAAGGGACGTGAAAGGCCTCTTCAAGGAGAACTACAAACCACTGCTCAATGAAATAAAAGAGGTTACAAAGAAATGGAAGAACATTCCATGCTCATGGGTAGGAAGAATCAATATCATGAAAATGGCCATACTGCCCAAGGTAATTTGTAGATTTAATGCCATCCCCATCAAGCTAGCAATTGCTTTCTTCACATAATTGGAAAAAACTACCTTAAAGTTCTTATGGAACCAAAAAAGAGCCCGCATCACCAAGTCAATCCTAAGCCAAAAGAACAAACCTGGAGGCATCACACTACCTGACTTCAAACTATACTACAAGGCTGCAGTAACCAAAACAGCATGGTACTGGTACCAAAACAGAGATATAGATCAATGGAACAGAACAGAGGTCTCAGAAATAATGCCATATATCTACAATTATCTGATCTTTGACAAACCTGACAAAATCAAGCAATGAGGAAAGGATTCCCTATTTAATAAATGGTGCTGGGGTAACTGGATAGCCATATGTAGAAGGCTGAAACTGGATCACTTCCTTACACTTTATACAAAAATCAATTCAAGATGGATTAAAGACTTAAATGTTAGACCTAAAACCATAAAAACCCTAGAAGAAAACCTAGGCATTACCATTCAGTACATAGGCATGGGCAAGGACTTCATGTCTAAAACAACAAAAACAATGACAACAAAAGACAAAATTGACAAATGGGATCTAATTAAACTAAAGAGTTTCTGCACAGCAAAAAAAAAAACTACCATCAGAGTGATCAGGCAACCCAAAATGGGAGAAAATTTTCACAACCTACTTATCTGTCAAAGGGCTAATATCCAGAATCTACAATGAACTCAAACACATTTAAAAGAAAAAAAACAAACAACCCCATCAAAAAGTGGACAAAGGAAATGAATAGATACTTCTCAAAAGAAGACATTTATGCAGCCAAAAAAACACATGAAAAAATGCTCACCATCACTGGCCATCAGAGAAATGCAAATCAAAACCACAATGAGATATCATCTCACACCAGTTAGAATGGTGATCATTAAAAAGTCAGGAAACAACAGGTGCTGGAGAGGATGTGCAAAAATAGGAACACTTTTACACTGTTGGTGGGACTGTAAACTAGTTCAACCATTGTGGGAGTCAGTGTGGCCATTCCTCAGGATCTAGAACTAGAAATACCATTTGACCCAGCCATCCCATTCCTGGGTATATACCCAAAGGACTATAAATCATGCTGCTATAAAGACACATGCACACGTATGTTTATTGCGGCACTATTCACAATAGCTAAGACTTGGAACCAACCCAAATGTCCAACAATGATAGACTGGATTAAGAAAATGTGGCACATATATACCATGGAATACTATGCAGCTATAAAAAATGATGAGCTCATGTCCTTTGTAGGGACATGGATGAAATTGGAAATCATCATTCTCAGTAAACTATGGCAAGAACAAAAAACCAAACACTGCATGTTCTCACTCATAGGTGGGAATTGAACAATGAGAACACATGGACACAGGAAGGGGAACATCACACTCTGGGGCCTGTTGTGGGGTGGGGGGCAGGGGGAGGGATAGCATTGGGAGATATACCTAATGCTAGATGACGAGTTAGTGGGTGCAGCGCACCAGCATGTCACATGTATACATATGTAACTAACCTGCACATTGTGCACGTGTACCCTAAAACTTAAAGTATAATAATAAATAAATAAATAAATAAATAAATAAATAAATAATTATGCCAAAAAAAAGAAATATTCACATTGTTTCAGGTAAATACAGTTTATATTTTTAAAACATCCATTACTTATCTTATTATGAGAATATATCATGCAGCACAACCCTTTGACATTAATGGGCATTTGGAGTCGTGTGTGTGTGTGTGTGTGTGTGTGTGTGTGTGTGTTCATGTCTGTGTTATATTTTGGTTTTTATTTACTTTCTTCCATGAGATGTTACAATAAAAATCCTTGCTAAACCCTCCTTCAGGGCACTTGCTAGACAGAATTAATAAATATATTAAAAGAAAAAATAGAGGAAGGGGGTTATTTTCATTTTCAACCTATTAAATAATGACATATTTTGTTTCATTTTGTTTTGTTTTGGAGACAGGATCTCACTCTTTCAGTCAGTCTAGAGTGCAGTCATGCAATCATGACTCATTGCAGCCTTGACCTCCAGTATCCAAACCATCCTCCCACTTCAGGCTCCTGTCTAGCTTGGACTATGGGCATGTGCCTTCACACCTGGCTATTTTTCAAAATTTTTTGTAAAGATGATGTCTCCCTGGGCAACCAGCCTATGTTGCCCTGGCTGGTTGTGAACTGTTGCACTCAAACAATCCTCTTGCCTCAGCCTCCCACAGTGCTGGGATTACAGGCTTAGGTCATTGTGCCTGGTCCTCTTTTTATTTTCTCTTTTATTTGATAGCATCTTCTCATGTAGCCAAGGCTGGTCTCAAACTCTGGGCTCAGGTTTTTCTTCCAGCTTAACCTCTTGAGTAGCTAAGATTACAGGCCCTTGCCACAATTCTTGACTAATTTTTTAAATTTTTTGTAGAAATAGGGTCTCCCTGTGTTGCCCAGGCTGGTCTCAAACTCCTTGGTGTCGAGCAATCCTCCTTCTATGACCTCCCAAGCCACTGCGCCCCGCCAAGTCTTTTGTTATTATTTTATTATTATTATTATTGTTGTTGTTGTTGTCATTGTTGTTATTATAATAAAAATGCATACTTCCATCAAAAGTAAAAAGGGAGTGCCTACTCCCCATAAGTTTACCAACTTCCAGGGTTCTGTGACATTAATACTTGATAAGCCATGATGTATAATTAAAATTACTTTTATTATAATTTGTAACTTTCTAATTACAAATTTTATTTATTCACGACCTTGTATTCCCCAGAAAAAAAAATTCATGTATTTTGCCTAATATTCTATGGAAAATCTGTGTTTGCTATAAAAATCAGACATTTCTCTCTGTTTGTTTATTGTACCTGTATCATCTATGTATTACATATGTTGAAAGTAGATGGTTGGAAGGTCAAAATTGCCATCTTATTATGTCTGCGTTGTCTTATTGAAAATAAGCTCCTAATCATTTATCAGCTCTTTTCTTTATTGTACATATAAACTTATATAAAATAAAAATTCCAGTGGGTAACTAGAAGAATTGAAGAATGAAGCCACCAGCAGTACTATCAAGTAAAAAATTATTCCCCATGCACAGATTGCCTGTTTCACATATCATCACAACTGCACTGTTTTTATTAATATTTCACTCATTTCTCATCAGCACCATAAAATATTTCCCATATTTTTGTTTTCATTTTAATTTTTTTGTCTTTGAAGAAAATGCTTTTGAATTTTTAAATTGTTTTCTCATTGTTGAATTGAACACAATATTTCACTTCTTTGGGGTTTTTATTCAAAATTACAGGCTTGAGTCTCTATGCCTGGCCTGTAGCAGCTTTTGAAGGGACAAAAGTTGAGCCCATTCACACTTAGGGAGAAAAAAACATGAATTGAGCAAGAGAACTAGTTTTTTGTTTGGGATACTAACATGTGCTGGAAATCACCACCACTGAAAAAATGTAGGAGGAACAATATTATGGAATTTGGATAAATCATAACAGCCTTACTTACTGTGTTCTGTTTTCTTTGGTTCTTCTCAGTGTCCTAGAAAGTGGCTGAAATCAGCTCAGAGCTATAAACTAAGGACTGACTTCTAGGATGCTGATACCTCTTCACCTTTCCAGCATCCTGAGAGGATGTGATACCAACAAGTGTTCAATTAAGAGGTATGTACCTCTTGGCTTAGGAATGACTTGGGGATGCAGGCTCTTTTTTGATTCCATATGAACTTTAAAATAGTTTTTTCCAGTTCAGTGAAGAAAGTCATTGGTAGCTTGATGGGGATGGCAGTGAATCTATAAATTACCTTGGGCAGTATGGCCATTTTCACGATATTGATTCTTCCTACCCATGAGCATGGAATGTTCTTCCATTTGTTTGTATCCTTTTTTATTTCCTTGAGCAGTGGTTTGTAGTTCTCCTTGAAGAGGTCCTTCACATCCCTTGTAAGGTGGATTCCTAGGTATTTTATTCTCTTTGAAGCAATTGTGAATGGGAGTTCACTCATGATTTGGCTCT
The DNA here is from genome assembly GCF_000001405.40 of Homo sapiens. NCBI lineage: Eukaryota > Metazoa > Chordata > Mammalia > Primates > Hominidae > Homo > Homo sapiens. Next base: position 16,862,742 of record NC_000024.10, read on the forward strand.
CTGTTTGTCTGTTATTGGTGTATAATAATGCTTGTGATTTTTGTCCACTGACTTTGTATCCTGAGACTTTGCTGAAGTTGCTTATCAGCTTAAGGAGATTTTGGGCTGAGACGATGGGGTTTTCCAGATATACAGTCATGTTGTCTGCAAACAGGGACAATTTGACTTCCTCTTTTCCTAGTTGAATACCCTTTATTTCCTTCTCCTGCCTAACTGCCCAGGCCAGAACTTCCAACATTATGTTGAATAGGAGTGGTGAGAGAGGTCATCCCTGTCTTATGCCCATTTTCAAAGGGAATGCTTCCAGTTTTTGCCCATTCAGTATGATATTGGCTGTGGGTTTGTCATAGATAGCTCTTATTATTTTGAGATACTTCCCATCAATACCTAATTTATTGAGAGTTTTTAGCATGAAGTGTTGTTGAATTTTGTCAAAGGTCTTTTCTGCATCTATTGAGATAATCATGTGTTTTTTGCCTTTGGTTCTGTTTATATGCTGGATTACATTTATTGATTTGCGTATATTGAACCAGCCTTGCATCCCAGGGATGAAGCCCACTTGATCATGGTGGACAAGCTTTTTGATGTGCTGCTGGATTTGCTTTGCCAGTATTTTATTGAGGATTTTTGCATCAATGTTCATCAAGGATATTGGTCTAAAATTCTCTTTTTTGGTTTTATGTCTGCCAAGCTTTGGTATCAGGATGATGCTGGCCTCATAGCCAAAAGAGCAAAGTTGGAGGCATAACACTACCTGACTTCAAGCTATACTACAAGGCCACAGTAACCAAAACAGCATGGTACCTGTACCAAAACTGAGATATAGACCAATGGAACAGGACAGAGCTCTCAGAAATAATGCCACATATCTAAAACTATCTGATCTTTGACAAACCCAACAAAAACAAGCAATGGGGAAAGGATTCCCTATTTAATAAATGGTGCTGGGAAAACTGGCTAGCCATATGTAGAAAGCTGATATGGGATCCCTTCCTTACACCTTATACAAAAATTAGTTCAAGATGGATTAAAGACTTAAATGTTAGACCTAAAACCATAAAAACCCTAGAAGAAAACCTAGGCAATACCATTCAGGACATAAGCATGGGCAAGGACTTCATGTCTAAAACACCAAAAGCAATGGCAACAGAAGACAAAATTGACAAATGTGATCTAATTAAAGAGCTTCTGCACAGCAAAAGAAACTACCATCAAAGTGAACAGGCAAGCTAGAGAATGGGAGAAAATTTTTGCAACTTACTCATCTGACAAAGGGCTAATATCCAGAATCTACAATGAATTCAAACAAATTTAAAAGAAAAAAACAAATAACTCCATCAAATATGGGCGAAGTGCAAGAACAGATACTTCTCAAAAGAAGACATTTATGCAGCCAAAAAACACATGAAAAAATGCTCATCATCACTGGCCATCAGAGAAATTCAAATCAAAACCACGATGAGATACCATCTCACACCAGTTAGAATGGCGATCATTAAAACATCAGGAAACAACAGGTGCTGGAGAGGATGTGGAGAAATAGGAACACTTTTATGCTCTTGGTGGGACTGTAAACTAGTTCAACTATTGTGGAAGACAGTGTGGCAATTCCTCAGAGATCTAGAACTAGAAATACCATTTGACTCAGTCATCCCATTACTAGGAATACACACAGAGGATTATAAATCATGCTGCTATAAAGACACATGCACACGTATGTTTATTGCCACAATATTCACAATAGCAAAGACTTGGAACCAACCTAAATGTTCAACAACGATAGACTGGATTAAGAAAATGTGGCACATATACACCATGGAATACTACGCAGCCATAAAAAATGATGAGTTCATGTCCTTTGTAGGGACATGGATGAAACTGGTAACCATCATTCTCAGCAAACTATCACAAGGACAAGAAACCAAACATGGCATGTTCTCACTCATATGTGGGAGTTGAACAATTAGTACACATGGACACAGGAAGCAGAACATCACACACTGGCGCCTGTTGTGGGTGGGGGAGGGGGGAGGAGGGAGGGACAGCATTAGGAGATATACCTAATGCTAAATGATGAGTTAACGGGTGCAGTACACCAACATGGCATATGTAACTAACCTTCACATTGTGTACCTGTACCCTAAAACTTAAAGTATAATAATAATAAAATTAAAAAAAAAAGAAAAAAGAGGTTTGTACCTCTTTATTTTATTCATTGTGTTTGTTCATTAGTACCTTTCAGTTAAATGCAGACTACCTATCTCTCCCCCACCACGTCTAACTGAATTTTTCTCCAGCTACGTAGAATACTTTAAATACGTCCATACTTAAGTAGTCTCCTTCCAGGCTATTGCATTTTCCCTACTGCTGCTGTAAAAAATCAACACTAATTTAGTTGCCCAAAACATGATCCATTTAGAATCTGGCAGTTCTCTAGATCAGAAGTCCAACACAGTTTTCTCTGGGCAAAAATCAATGTCTTGGCAGACTGTGTTCTTTTTTGGAAGCATTTTCAAGGAATTTGTTTTCAGGTTAACTCAAGTTGTTGCCAAACTAACACCTAATTTTGTCGCTGGCTGTCAGTTAAGGGTTATACCCAGATTCTAGAGGCTGCCAACCTTTCTGGGAAAGAGGTCCCCTTCCTCCTCCTAAAAGCGATTAATGCTGCATTCATCCTTCTCAGGTCATATAACTAGGACACCTCCTTAACTGCACATTTTCACCTTGAAAAACTCATGTGATGAGATATGGTTTATCTGGATGAATCACCCCATCTCAAAGTCCTTAATCACATTTACAAAGTCCCGTTTGCCAGGTAACGTCAAATGTTCACCGGTTTCAGGATAGCCACTTCTGGAGGGCCATTCCTGTGCTTACAACAGAAATTGTGTCTCTTAATTTGATAGAAAGCTTTGGATCATCACGCAAGACTTTGTGAAGGATGATGATGCTGGTGATGATGATAGTGATGGTGATAGTGATGGTGCTGAGGCTGATGGCAGTGCTGATGACGATGATGGGGATGATGACAATGAGAGGGTCATGGAGATGATGGGAATGATGATGATGATAATTGTAGGGATGATGGTGATGGTGATAATGATAGCGATGGTGATGATAATGGGAATGATGGTGATAACGATGATAGTGATGGTGATGATGATGGGAGTGATGATAATGATGAGGATGATGATGATAATGGTGATAATAGTGATGATGGTGATGATGATAATGATGGCAAAGATGATGGTGATGATAATGATAATTGCGCTGATGATAATAATAATTGTGGTGATGATAATAATAATGGTGGTGATAAGAATGATGGTGATGGATGATGATGATGGTGATGATGATAATGATGGTGTTGAGGGTGGTGATGATGGTGATGATAGTGAAGACAATGATAGTGATGATCATTGTAATATGGTAGTGATAGTAATTATAAGATTATAAAATCTCATTGCTGTACAGATTTAATCAGATAGAATGTTGTTGAAAAGCATGAGATAATAAAGAAATTGAGGTATTTTTTCTTTCCTACTTATGTACAAATGTCATGTCCAACTTACAAACATATCCAGGACAAGACCACACTTTATGTTATACTTTTAAGGTCTTCCCTGTAGAATAAATTGAGCCTTTTATTATCAAGTTTTCTTATCTTTTCTTAACTCCCTTGGTTGACTGCTTTTCAGATTTAGGTGATGTGTCCCCTGTTAAGGAGTTGAAGCTGGCTAACATAACTGCCCATGATGATTTTCCTAAAGTTCGGTAACTATAAGATCTAAGAACCCTATGGGCTTAGTGACCATACCCAGTCTGAATGTAGCTTTGTTGTTTAGAAAGCTATGAGTAATTTTAGTTCGTACTAGAAAATGAGACATAGTGCCTTATGAAAGTAACACTTTGAGAAAGAATGGAAGGAAATGTACTCTAGCAAATGAACCCACAGCTCAGTTCAAATGGATCAACAGTGCCATTTGTGATGTTTACATTTCTTTGATTTAAAAACACATTTATTTAAAATATATATATTTAAAACCCATTTATATATATTAAATATGTATATACACATATGTTAAATACCCATTTATTAAAATGCACATACACACACGTGCACATGCACACACACACCTATTCTTGGATTTTATTTGAGCAGAGATGAATCCAGCTGATATGGTTTGCTTATGTCCCCACCTAAATCTCATCTTGAATTGTAAATCCCCATGTGTCAAGGATGGGGCCAACTGAATCATGGGGGTGGATTCCACCATACTGTTCTCATGGTCGTGAATAAATCTCACAAGGTCTCATGGTTTTATAAGTGGGAGTTTCTCTGCACAAGCTCTCTTGGCTGCTGCCATGTAAGACACGACTTTGCTCCTCCTTGCCTTACACCCTGAGTGTAAGGCCTCCCAAACTTATGGAACTGTGAGTCCACTAACCTCTTTTGTTTATAAATTACCCTGTTTTGGGTATATATTTATTAGCAGCATGAGAACAGACAAATATGAAATCTCACTCTGTCACCCACGCTGGAGTGCAGTGGCTTGATTTCAGCTCACTGCAACCTCAGCCTCCCAGGTTCAAGTGATTCCTGTGCCTCAGTCCCCCAAGTAGCTGGGAACACAGGTGTGCACTATCAGGCCTGGTGAATTTTTGTATTTTTAGTAGAGACAAGGTTTTACCACGTTGGCCAGGCTGGTCTTAAACTTCTGACCTCCAGTTATCCACCTACATCTGCCTCCCAAAGTGCAGAGATTACAGATTGAGCCAATGTACCAGTCCATTCTCAGGGAATTCCTAAGAGCAAGGATCTGAGTGACTGACTGTAGTATAGCTTATAAAAGATTCCTTAAAGGAAACCAGAATGGGTGGCTCTGTTCTGCTTACGTTGCACTCTTGTTTGGCCAAGTTACTGATCTTCAGTTAAATACACTCCTACTCTATTTGAAAGGGATCCATGGGGTGGTGTTGGTGCTCATTAATTAATTACAGTTTGATTCATTAACGAAGAGTGATGAAGTAAGTGATTTGACCGACTTAGGGAATATTTTCTTTCAAGTTGTAACTTAGAAAACAACCCCATATATCTGATCTCTGCTTCGAAAGGGAAGAAGGGTAAGAGAACACCATGCCCTTTTAAGGAGTTTGTGTCTTGAAAAAAATAGGCAGAAGTGTACACTAGAATTATATTTTGGGTACCAATAAGTGCAAGCATTGGCCTGTTCCCTAAGGGAATATCATAGGCATAGATTCAGGGAGCTGGATGCCATGTCATGGAAGCTTCTGCAAAGTGCCAGAAGAAATCTGCTTTTATCTTTCTTTAATACCAAGTGTATTTATTGGAGAGTAAAACTTCAACATACTGAATAGTTGCTTGAGATATGCCTTAAAATTAAAGGTAAAGGTAAGATGTGTGTGTTTAGTCTTTATGAGAGCTTTCTAACCCTGTCTCACTCCCTCAACATGCCAACAAATCAAAAGTCACAAAATGGAAGGAAGATAATGATTCTCAATACAATTATATGCCCTTGGAAGGTTACAGGACCAAACTATTGGGTCCTTTGATCCAAACATTTGTCTTCAATAACCTCTACTCAGTCACTGCAAATAAATTACTAGACCAGAATCCTTTGCTAAGTTTTAGACTCTAATAAAACATATATTGAATATATTTATATTATATATTAGTTATATAATATAAGTATAAAATATGTCCTTTTTATTTTATTCAATACAAATGTATTAATATTAATATATTTATAAATATATTAAATATTAAACATAATTATATTAAATATCAACATATTAAATATTAAATATGAACATGTTGAATATGTTTAACATATTTAACATAGTAAATAAATATATTCATTAAATATAAACATATTATAAGTTTTTTTTGAGTTGGAGTCTCATTCTATTGCCCAGGTTGAAGTGCTGTGGTGTGATCTCTGCTTACCACAACTTATGCCTTCTAGGTTCAAGCTATTCTCCTTCCTTAGCCTCTAAAGTAGCTGGGCTTTCAGGTGCACACCACCACACTGGGCTAATTTTTGTGTTTTTAGTAGAGATGGGGTTTCACCATGTTGGCCAGGCTAGTCTCAAATTCTTCACCTCAGTTGATCCACCTGCCTTGGCCTCCCAAACTACTGGGATAACAGGTGTGAGCCAAGATATTGGGATTACACCCAGACAAGATATTAAAATATATTTAATAGACACAACTGTACCTCACACATATACATTTGAATATCGCATAAATATCTTTAATATATTTATCCAAAATGAATCTAAAATTAGCTAAAGGATTCCAGATTTATAAGAGGAAGACTGTTATAATTTGTCCAAATTGCATAATATTCTTCCTCCTATATTTCTTATGGGATGATGATTTCCAACACATGTTAATATCCCAAACACAAAAATGAGGGCTCATGGTTCATTCATTGTTGTCTCCTTAATTATTATTGGGCTCAACCTTTATCCCTTCAAAATCTCCTACAGGCCAGCCATAGTGGCTAAAGCCTGTAATCCCAGCACTTCTGGAAACTGAAGTGGGAGGATCATTTGAGCCCAGGAATTTGAGACCACTATGGGCAACATAGTGACACCCAGTCTCTACAAAAAAATCAAAAACTTAGCCAGGTGTGGTGGCATGTGCCTGTGGTATCAGCTACTTGGGAGGCTGAGGTAGGAAGACCTCTTGAGCCCAAGAGATAAAGGCTGAAGTGAACTGTGATCACTTCACTACATTCCACCCTGGATAACAGAGCAAGACCCTGTCTCAGAGGAAAAAAAAATCATATATGGAATTCAAAAGACACCAGGATGCCTAAATAGTTGAAAAGAGATCATTTTGGTGATAATTGGTTTGCAAACTTGGAAGACTTCAAACTTGCAAAATTCTGGGGCTGACTGAAGACACCCTCTTTTTGAAGAGGAGAAGGATATGTTGGTTTTTATACTTCACAATGTCCATATTACATGATAGAATTCACATGTTCATCAGGGTTGGGAAGAAAGCTATTCATATTTATGAGAGGAGCCAAGTACATGCAGATTGGGTAAACATATATGTGACATACATCCCATGTTCACTTTGATGTGAAATTTTAGCATTAAAATGGTGATGGTGGTGGTGATGATGGTGATGGTAATGGTGATGGTAATAATGATGGTAATGGTGGTGCTGATGATGGTTATGACAATGATAAGGTGGAATTAGGCTCTTTTTGTCAAAAAGTGAGCAATAGGACACAAAGACAAGGTCGTGTACAGCTACTGTAAGCTGCTGAAACTGATAGTTAGGTCTGCAGTTGCTTATTGGAAAAGAATGTTTGTGGGGCCAGTCCTCTGTCCAGTTAGAGTTGTAGTGGTCTGGGTTCAAAATCTGAGTTGGAAGGCATTGTATAATTTGCCTGATTGCTGCTATCATAGGGAGTTGGGCCATAGGAATTTAGAAATTTGCCTTCCCAACCAGAGACTGAATGCTTCACCCACAGATAACTTTTGTTTCCTTAATTTTAGGATCCCTCTTTTTTTATGAAAGGGCATTTTTCTTCGATCTGTCAGATCATGTAAGACAGGTGAGTTAAATGACACATCATAAGCATTCATTGAAACAATGGCCAGTGCTTGGCAGTACTGAAACTTAAAAGACAATCAAAGTTGGGCATAACCTCAGCACTTTGGGAGGCTGAGGTGAGTGGATCACTTAAAATCAGGATTTCAACATGGTGAAACCCCATCTCTATGAAAAATACACACCGAAATTTAGCTGGGCTTGGTGGTATGTGCCTGTAATCCCATATACTCGAGAGGCTGAGGCAGGAAAATTCCTTCACCTGGGAGGTGGAGGTTGCAGTGAGCCAAGATTGCACCACTACACTCCTAGGCAATGGAGTGAGACCTTGTCTCAAAAAAAAAAAAAAAAAAAAAAAAAAAAAAAAAAAAAAAGAAAAAAAGAAAAAAAAAAGGAAACCAATAAAATTTCTTGCTGACTACATTTACCAATGAATTAATAATTTTGTTAACTCTGAACGATAGGTTGAAGATATTTTGAGAAGAATTTTATTTCTGGCTATTAAGTTGATGGCCTTATTTAGTAGGAACACAAGGTTATTATTATTTTCAGAGTCTTTTGCAATGGCACATTTGTTCTACTTAATGTGACCACCAGTTATTTTTGCTTACAAAATCCATGGATTATGGCATGTGTCTCAGATATTTATTACTTTTCTCTTCCAGCCACAAACATATCTCAGCATGTTAGATGGTCTGCCTAATTATATTTCAAAGAAAAACCTTTATTTTGAATATTACACTGAATGATTATCAACATGGCATAGATTAAAAAGGATAATTAGGACTGTTTCCATAGCAACTCACTTGTAATAGTAAATTTTAAAAATTCTGCAAAAACAATTTGATACAGGTTATAAATCACACATTTTTAAAACCAGAAATTTTCCACTGTGCATCCTATACTTATTCTAATGTAGTCTTGTTTTCTCTTCAGAAGATAATTTAAATATCAATTCAGCTCAATTTTATTGCATTTATCTTTGCAGTAAGTCAGTCATTTTACAGTCTAAGTTGAGTTTTCAATAAACTATTTAGAATGACAGGAACATTGCCATTTTGATACAGGTATATTTCTGAATATTTCTGCATCTGGTATTTGGAATGTAGTTTTAAAAAGTAATTGTTTTGTCTTGAGAGTAAGTGTTTAGTGTCATACTATTCACTGCATTAGAGACTAAGTGAATAATAAAAATTGTATGTAGCTCATTCTAGAAGAATGTCAAGTCAACCCAGAGGCATTGGAGTTAACTATTCCTAAAATCTTTTGATTTTTTTTCCTGAAGATATTCTGAAAATATGAACAGATTACCTAAATGGTTTAGAGTAATTTTGAAAAATCAACAATTGTAACATTTATATTGGAGAGTGAAGCATATATACTAAGTTGGATTTTATCGAATGATTCTAAATCCTTATAAAAAGTTACCACCTGAAAACAACGATCTTATTTTGGTGTTGATGTTTTATCTTCAAAGAACGTGTGTCATAAATGTTGAATCAAATTCCAGCAGCATTGACGTTTTCTGGCTATTTTTTGGCTTTCTGTGTTTGTTTGCTTGTTTGTTTGTTTCTTTTTGAGACAGAATCTCATTCTGTCACTCATGCTGGAGTACAGTGACAGATCTTGGCTCACTGCAATCTCTACATCCCAGGTTCAAGCAGTTCCTCCGCCTCAGCCTCCCGAGTAGCTGGTACTATAGATACCACCACCATGCCCAGGTTATTTACTTATTTATTTATTTATTCCCAGGCTCATGCCATTCTCCTGCCTCAGCCTCCCGAGTAGCTGGGACTACAGGCACCCGCCACCATACCTAGCTAATTTTTTTTTGTTTTTAATAGAGACAGGGTTTCACCGTGTTAGCCAGGATGGTCTCGATCTCCTGACCTCATGATCCACCCGCTTCGGCCTCGCAGAATGCTGAGATTACAAGCGTGAGCCACCGCACCTGGCCAATTTTTTTTGTGTTGTTATTAGAGACAGGGTTTTGCATGTTGGCCAGATTGGTCTCCAACTGCTGACTTCAAGTGACCTGCCTGTGTCGCCCTCCTAAAATGCTGAGATTACACGCATGGACCATTGCTCCTGGCCTCTCACTTTGAATTTCTATAATTGAGTTGGGAATTTGAGTACACATTTGACAAGTATTTATCTTGTGCCTACTTTGTGTGGCAAACCAGAAAATGCTGGGAATATAGCAACACACACGGAGCTGGAAATCGTGTAGGGAGAGAGGCAATAAACAAACTTATATGATATGGTATCAAGTCCTCATAGTTGCAGGCACTATAACAAAACAATTATAAATATAGCAAAGAGTGTCTGGAAACTACAGCCCATGGGCCAGGTGTTGCTCTCCGCCCATTTTTGTAAATAAAGTTTTATTGGAACACTACCACACTCATTCACTTGTATACAGCATATGAATGCTTTCCCACTAAACAGCAGAGTTAAGCATATGTGACTGAAAGCACTGACCCACAAAGCCTAAAATATCTATTATCTGACCAATTGCAAAACAGTTGGAGACCCCTGGTATAGAGATTTTAGGATTGTTCCATTTTATTACAGGATGGAAAGAGGGTGTCTATGAGGATGTAAATTTTCAGCAGCATGATTTCTTTTGAGAGTCCCCCTACAAAAAAGAAAAAAAAAATCCCAGTCAAGTCACAACATAGAATATTGGATTTTAAAATGTGATGTGTGTTGGAGGTGAAGTGTCCATATTTTCTTTCTTTTTTTTTTTTTTTTTTTTATGATTTTTGTCTCTCTCTATCACCCAGGCTGGAGTGCAGTGGTGTGATCTGGGCTCAGTAAAACCTCCATCTCCAGGTTCAAGATATTTCTTCTGCCTCAGCCTCCCGAGTAGCTGGGACTACAGGCACGTGTCACCAAACCCAGCTAATTGTTTTTATTTTTCACAGAGACAGGGTTCACCATGTTGGCCAGGCTGGTCTCAAACTCCTGATCTCATGTGATCTGCCTGCCTCAGCCTCCCAAAGTTCTGTAATTACACATATTTTATTTAATAGTTACAAGTATCCTTGTGAGTTTAATCTTTTACTTTTTTATTTTGAGATGGTCTCTGAGGAAGTTGCAAAAATAGCAGAGTCCCATATAATGCTTCACCCCATCCGTGTTCAATGATGACACCTTACATAACCGTAATATGTTATAAAAACCAGGAAATTGGCATTGGTAAAATCCTGGTAAGGAAACTACACAACTTATTCAGTTTTTACTACTTTTTATAGTTCCAAAATAATGTATTTTTGTATTTGTGTGTATAATTCTATGCCATTTTATCCCATGTGTAGACTCACATAGCTACACATCAAGATTAAAAAGTGTTCCACTGTAACAAAACATGCCCCTCCTGTTGCTTATGTTAGCACCTGCTGCACCCATGCAATTTTCCTGACAACCAGTTATCTCTCTCTATCTCTGTCATGTCGTCATTTTGAGTATATCTTGTAAATGCAATAATGCAATATATGACCTTTAGAGATGTACATTTTTCATTTTCATTTCACTTCAAAATGCCTTTACATCTACTTTGGTTGTTGAGTGCATCAATATTTAAATATATATTCTTTTCTTTTGTTTACTTTTTTTTTCTTTTTTTGAGACAGTATCTCACTCTGTCACCAGGCTGGAGTGCAGTGGCATGATCTCAGCTCATTGTAACCTCTGTGTCCTGGGTTCAAGTGATTCTTCTGCCTTATCATCCCCAGTAGCTGGGATTACAGGTGCCCACCACCATGCCCAGCTAATTTTTTTTATTGTTTTTAGTAGAGGAGGGCTTTTACTATGTTGGCCAAGATGGCCTCCATCTCCTAATCTTGTGATCCACCTGCCTTGGCCTCCCACAATGCTGGGATTACAGGCTTCAGCCACTGCACCTTGTCAATTATTTATTATTTTCTATTGTTCACTCATATTCCATGGTATGGTAATATGGCAGCTTATTCAACCTTTCACACTTTGAATGACATTTTATTTCTTCCAAAGTTTTTAATCTTTTAAATTTATTTTTATTTTTTAAGGCAGTGTCTCACTCTGTCAACCAGGCTGGAGCATGCAAACACAGTTCACTGAAGCCTTGACCTCTCAGGTTCAAAGGATCCTCCCACCTCAGCCTCCCAAGTAGCTAGGACCACAGCACATACCACCAAGCCATGCAATTTTTTTTCTATTTTTGAAGAGACAGGGTTTCACCATGTTGCCCAAGCTGGTCTCAAAGTCCTGGGCTCATGTGATCCTTCTGCCTTTGCTTCCCAAAGTGCTGGATTACAGGTATTGAGCCATTGTACCTGGTTAGATTTTTCTTTTCCAAATAAAGCTACCATGAACATTCATGTGCAGGTTTTATCTGAACGTTGTTTTTATCTCTCTGGCTTAATTTCCAATGAATACAATTATGAGTTATATGTGTCCATGTATATTACAGTGGTTTCTTTCTTGATATTATTCTTAATCAACTTTTTATATTTTACATGCATTGTTGGCAATAAGATGGACAGGTTGTTAACCTAAATTATTTAGGAAAACCTACACAAACCCATATTAAAATTTTAATTCTTTTAACATTTTTCTTTGCATACCAAATGTAGATTTTCCAGACCTTTTTAGGTATCTCATTTGGTAGAAATGATTGCTTATTTTATGTGTCTACCTTGAGAAATCAAAATGAATTGACTTATAATATTATACTTTTTATTTAAATTTTTAAAGTCCTTTTGGAAATTAAAAAACTGTGTGTTCTAATCACTAAAAGAGTCAGGAGAGCATATAGCACAGCTCCTCATTGTGCCATATGTGGAAATGGGGAAATGTGAAATTAAATTAACAGGAGGATTTGGGAGCACAAATAAAAAAGGCAAAGCAGCTTGTTGGGTAAATCAAATTACTGATAAATGTTAAGCCTCCAGAACCTGTACATTTAAAATGGTTTACAGGTAAGCCAATTTGGGTAGAACAATGGCCACTAAGTAAAGAGAAACTGGAAGCTTTAGAGAAATTAGTTGCTGAACAATTAGAAAATGGGAACATAGCTCCAACATTTTCTCCTTGGAATTCTCCAGTTTTAGTAATTAAGAAAAAATCAGGAAAACAGAGAATGTTAACTGACTTAAGAGCCATCTATTCAGTTATACAACCTATGGGAGCATTACAGCCAGGATTACCTTCTTCTGCTTTAATTCCAAAAAATTGGCCTTTAATTGTCATAGATTTAAAAGATTGTTTCTTTACTATCCCATTAGCTGAACAAGACTGTGAACTGTTTGCGTTTACAATTCCTGCGGTAAACAACCTGCAGCCTGCTAAGCATTATCACTGGAAAGTGTTGCCACAAGACATGTTAAACAGTGCAACAATTTGCCAGACATATGTGAGGCAAGCAATTGAACCTACTCTTAAAAAATTTTCAGTATTACATTATTCATTATACAGATGATATACTTTGTACTGCCCCCACTCGAGAAATACTACTCCAATGTTATGATCACTTACAAAATTCAATTTCTTGTGCTGGTTTAATTACCGATCCTGACAAAATTCAGACTAGTACTCCTTAATCCTACTTGGGGATATTAGTAAATGACACTACCATTGTGCCACAGAAAGTAACCATACATAGGGCTATATTAAAAACATTAAATGACTTTCAGAAATTACTAGGGTATATTAATTGGATAAGACCTGCTCTAGGCATTCCTATCTATGCCATAAGTAATCTGTTTTCTATCCTTAGAAGAAATCCTAGTCTCACTAGCCCTCTGCAATTAACAAAAGAGGCTGAGGCAGAGTTACAACTGATTGAGAAGCAAATCCATAAAGCTCAGATAAATAGAACAGATCCAGAGAAGACTCTGGATTTGTTAATCTTTTCAACTCAGCATTTACCTACTGGTGTTATTGTCCAAGAACTGGACTTAGAAGAGTGTTTTTTCTTCCCCTTCCTAATTCATGGACTCTAACTCCTTATTTAGATCAAATCACTACTATGATAGGGAGTGGGAGAACTCGAATTGTTAAATTACATGTATATGATCCTGGAAAAATTATTGTCCCTCTCATGAAGGCACAAATACAGCAAGCTTTTATAAATAGTCTTACATGGCAAACCCATTTAGCTGACTTTGTGGATATTCTCGATAATCATTTTCCTAAAATGAAGCTGTTTCAGTTGTTGAAATTTACTAATGGGATTCTCCCTAAAATAACTAAATTTAAACCAATTGAAGGTGCTGAGAATGTTTTTACAGTTGGGTCTAGTAATGGTAAAGCTTCCTATTTTGGCTCAAAAAGTAAAGTTTTCCAGACATCCTGTACTTCAGCTCAAAAAGCAGAGCTGGCAGCGGTAATTGAGGTATGGACTTCTTTTGATATGGCTGTTAGTATGATTTCTGATTCTTCATACGTGATTCATTCCACACAGTTAATTGGAAATGCTCAGTTAGGATTTCATACAGACAAACAACGGATGGCTTTATTTACCCAATTGCAAACAGCAGTTAGGAGTAGAATGGACTCTTTTTACATCACTTACATTAGGGTTCACACACTTCTTCCAGGACCTTTGACTGAAAGGAATCAAATGACTGATTGCCTAGTTGATACTGCAATGTCTAATGCCAGACACTTTCACAGTTTAACCAATGATAATGGCTCTGGTCTCAAACCAGATACAGCATTACCTGGAAAGAAGCTAAAGCTATTATCCAGTGATGCCCAACTTGCCAAATGGTACATTCCTCATCTTTTACAGGAGGAGGTAATCCTCAAGGATTGGAACCTAAGTCTAATTGGCAAATGGATGTCACACATGTTCCCTCGTCTGGGAGACTAGCTTATGTACGTGTATGTGCAGACAGCTTTTCTCATGTTGTTTGGGCTATGTGCCAAACAGGAGAGTCTTATGCCTGTGTTAAACTCATCTTTTGCTATGTTTTGTGGTGATGGGCATTCCAGCTTCTATTACAACAGATAATGCCCCAGGCTATACTAGCCAAGCTCTAGCTACCTTCTCTACGTGGAATATTGAACACATTACTGGTACCCCATACAATTCTCAGGGACAAGCCATAGTGGAAAAAATGAATCTCTCCCAAAAACAGCAGTTGCAAAAGCAAAAAGGGAGAAACAATGTTGGAACACGACAGATGCAACTGAACCTAGCATTATTAACTTTAAATTTTTTAAGCCTGCCCAAAGGCCAGATATTATCAGCAGCTGAACAACATTTACAGAAACCAGCTGCAAATACAGAAACAGAACAACTGATTTGGTGGAGAGATCCAATAACAAAAAGTTGGGAAATAGGTAAAATAATAACTTGGGGTAGAGGTTATGCTTATATTTATCCAGGCCAAAATCAACAGCTGATTTAGATACCATCAAGACACCTGAAACCTTATCATGAGCCAGATGATGAAGAAGTGACTCCAGAGGACCCCCCAGTTGCAGCCATGTTGAGACTGATGCTGAGGTGGACCCCAACTGTCATGAGCAACACCCATCAAACACAGCCACCCCCCTTGGGACAGACCAAGAAGCTGCCATAGATGGCAGAAGAAAACCTGAGGGAAGCAGGACAACCAGTCACAATGAATAATTTAATGGTAGCTATGATAGCGGTTATCACCACTGCCGTGAGTATTCCTTCAATAAGGGCTGGTAATAATGTCTGGATGCAATCACTCTCACACAGCTACACATGCTTTCTGATCTCAGTATTTACCATAATAAATCTGCTCCTATAATTGGGGCATACCACCCTCGAAAACCTATTTGTAAACAGGATTGGACCCAGTTTGGAAAAAATGAAAGCACTTGTTTAAGAAGACTGCTTTACAGAACAGGCAGAGGTGTTGCACAACAATTCCTATGGAATCATTATTAATTGGTCCCCTAAGGGGATGTTTAGCTTAAATTGCACATCTCAGTCTGCGTGCCATGATCACACTATGTTCAAATGATCTGAACAAAATGGTCAGATGGTAGAAATGATAAGAAGTGTGGCAAAAGTTCCTATTATCTGGAACCATGGCGGTATAGTGGCACCTCAACCTCAAATGACATGGCCCGCTCTAGGAGCTAAACATAAGGATTTGTGGAAATTATTAAATACTCTTAATAAGATCAAAACTTGGGCAAAAATAAAAAAGCATCTAAAAGGACACTCAACAAACCTGCTTTTGGATATAACAAAATTAAAAGAACAAATATTTAAAGCATCCCAGGCACACATGACCTTAATGCCAGGAATTAAAATACTTAAAGGAGCTGCAGATACATTAGCAACTAGTAAGCCATTTAAATGGATAAAAACACTTGGAAGCTCTGTGATTTCAATGATGATGGTGCTTTTTATCTATGTTGTTTGTATAGTCTGCAGATGCAGATCCCGACTCCTGCGAGAAGTAGCTCACCATGACAAAGCTGCCCTTGCTTTTACCTTTCTGCAAATCAGAGAAGGGAGAAATGTTGGGAGCAAGCCCCCCAAAATCTGGCCATAAACTGGCCCCAAGACTGGCCATAAACAAAATATCTGCAGCACTGTAACATGTTCATAATGGCCTTAATGACCAATCTGGAAGGTTGTGGGTTTATGGGAATGAGGGCAAGGAACACCTGGCCTGCCAGGGTGGAAAAACACTTAAAGGCATTCTTAAGCCACAAACAAAAGCATGAGCTATTCATGCCTTAAGGGCATGTTCCTGCTGCAGTTAACTAGCCCAACCTATTCCTTTAATTCAGCTCATCTCTTCGTTTCCCATAAGGGATACTTTTAGTTAATTTAATATTTATAGAAACAATGCTAATGACTGGTTTGCTGTTAGTAAATACGTGGGTAAATCTCTGTTTGAGGCTCCCAGCTCTGAAGGCTGTGAGACCCCTGATTTCCCACTTCACACCTCTATATTTCTGTGTGTGTGTCTTTAACTCCTCTAGCACCACTGGGTTAGGGTCTCCCCTACCTAGCTGGTCTCAGCAATTCTGAGCCATACATGAGTGACAGAGTCAAGAGTTCCTGAGAACATCTGCCCAAGGTGGTTGGGTTGCAGTTTAGTTTTATACGTTTTAGGTAGACAGAAGTTATACACAAAGTCATAATTCAATAAATGTAATGTATACATTTGTTCAGCCTGGAAATATGAGTCATCTCCAGGCAGGGTTTTCCAGATCATAGGCCAATTCAAAGATGTCCTGATTGACAATTGGTTAAAAGAGTTAAGCTTTTTCTAAAGAGTTGAAATCAGTGGAGAGAAATGCTTGAGTTAAGGGGGTTACAGAAGCCAAGGTTCTTGTTACATAGATGAAATCTGTAAGTAACATGGTTCAGAGAGAATAGGTGGTAAATGTCTCACTTTTCAGGGCTTAAATGTCAGACAGTTAAATCTCTCAGGATCAGGGAAAGAAAGGGAAAGAAATTTCCTAAAAAATGAACATTTGTTTCATGAGCAATGGCTTTGCACAGCCATTTCAAAATATGTCAAAGAAAATCTATTTTGGAATAAAGTACTTTAATTTTATTTAGGGTCTGCAATCTGTCATGTGATGCTATGCCAGAATCACAGTGGAATTTGGCATCTTATTGCCACAAACTGTCCATTTTGTCAGTCTTATGAGCTCTGTTTTAGCCCTAGGTCAATGTATCTAAGCTCCAAAGGGAATGGGTATAACAAGGCCTGTCTGACACCTTCCAATCATGTCCTGAACTCGTTTTTCAGATTTTTTTTGAGGGGTATCCCTTTGGGCAAGAGAAGATGGGGTCTATTCAGTTGATTGAGGATTTAGAATTTCATTTCTGTTTTACAGTAGCAATAGAACCTTAATGACTACTCCATGGTCTGCAAAGTTACAACTCTAATTTGGATGTATCTGGATTCATGTAAGTACTTCCCAAATGAAAAAGTCACTAGGAGAATAGCAGAGGGAATTAGAGGTTGCCATTGATAACAAAGGATGCAGATAGAAATTAGGCAATCTTAGAATATCACAGAATGTCACTGTTTTTTTCAGTAGCTAACTCAATATCTGGCACATACAATGCATGAAATAAATATTTATAAGTTGACATTTAGAAGACTAAATGCTTAACATATTATGCTAATTTTCATAAATCAGAGAAAAATCAAATTGTTATACAAATAAGAACTGCAAAATAAACTGTTTCAAAAATTCTGTATTTTTAACTATCACAATTTTTCTTCAGCACAATAATTTTATGATAAAAGACACTCTATTTATTGATTAGAAAAGTCACAGATTTTTCTTTTTCTGTGTAGCTGTTAATAAGATAAAATAATTTAGCTATTATAATTAACCAAAAAATCTAAGACTGCCACAAACTCTGGACTTATCTGAAGATTATTAATAGGATGCTTATTAATAGTGGAAAAATAGCATCTCTGAATTTACAGATTAGACCTTCAATGTGTGCATTTTCCAAGTTTATTAATTTATATTATAAATTTTGTGTTGAAACAATTCAACGTTAGTGATTATTGCCCCAATGAATGCCTATTTTTGAATATTTTAATGATTTGTAATAGCAAATAAATTTGGAATTATTAACAAATGTAGGATAAACATGTCTCAATTATAAGATTTTGATTATAGCTATGAGTCTATATGATGTTCAGATAATCTCTTTAACTCTTTGGTTCAGTTGGACACAGTGGATTGAACCCCTAATCCTAGCACTTTCGGGGGCCAAGCGGGTGAATTGCTTGGACCCAGGATTTCAAGAGCAGCCTGGACAACAGAGTGAGACCCCATCTCTAAAAATTGATGTTTCTCATAGCTGTTTCTCATGACTGAATATTAACATTAGCAACAAATTGCCAAAAAGTAGATCATTACCAATATTCCCTTCAAGCTCACCAAGTCTCTATTTTCTTCCAGTGACAGTTACAGATAGATACAGAGATACATAAAATATAAAGAATCAAAAGTTACAATCTAAAATGATTTTTATAGATGACTATTAACATTGTTGCTTGCGGACAGGCATGGTGGCTCATGCCTATAATCCCAGTACCCTGGGAGGCTGAGGCAGGTACATAGCTTGAGGCCAGCAGTTTAAGACCAGCCTGCCCCACGTGGTAAAACCTCCTCTCTATTGAAAGTACAAAAATTAGTTGGGTGTGGTGGCATCTGTAGTCCCAGCTACTTGGAGGCTGAGATGGGAGGATCCCTTGAACCCAAGAGGCAGAAGTTGCAGTGAGCTCAGATCATGTCACTGCATTCCAGCCTGGGCAACAGAGCAAGATCCTCTCCTCAAAAAAAATTGCTGCTTGCAAAAATGACACTAATTAACAGTATTAGAAAAGTTTTATATTACAACAGTGTCGTGTGTATATATATTATTTATAGTTTATATATTCTTTATGTTACTTTCCTACACACAGACACAATCAGTCCCATTTGTCTTGTGCGTTCAAGCAGGAAACCTCAGAGCATGTATTAAGAATTAATGATAAAGTCTGTATTAAAAAGCATTAGTCTTCAATCAATTGAATTTAAACTTGGGGTTCACTGGTCGCATTCTAGGAATAACTTATGTAACTAATTGTAAACTTCCAGTGGAAGGGAAGAAAGACAAAAAGACACAAGTTGCATTTATCCTACACATTCAATTAATGTTTGGACACATTTAAAGATCTGAAAAGCAGTATCTTTATTTTGTTTAGAGCTATATCTTCAGTAGCAACAACCATGGTTGGCATTTAGTAGTCCATATATATTTGTTGAAAAGTTGACTAGTTTGAGGTATTAAACTCATGACTTGAGTCACTGGCATAATCTCAGTGTGATGATACATTTTTATCCTCAGTCAGGTGATACCAGAAAGACATAGTGGCATTTATTACCTTACCCATGTTGTTGACTAATTATATGAGTGAAACCTCTCTAGCAGTAATTCATGCTACATTAATAACTGTTGTCATTAATCAAATTGTATTGATTACAAGCATGTTTAGTAAACCTCAGAAGCTAGTTGCTCCCCTACTCCACCATGTTACACAGAGCAGCTGTGTGGTTTCTCTTAGAAAGGTTGAAGAAGTTCAGGTACAGTGGCTCATGCCTGCAATCCCAACATTTTGAGAGGCCCAGATGGGAAGATTGATTGAGGCTAGGAATTTGATATCAGCCTGGACAACATGGAAAAACCCGATCTCTATAAATAAATTAAGAAATTACCTGGATATGGTTGCACAGACCTGTAGTCCTAGCTACCTGGGAGGCTGAGGTAGGGGGACCTCTTGAGCCCAGGACCTTGAGGCTACAACGAATCTTGATTCTGCCACTGCACTCAAGCCTGGCAACAGAGTGAGGCCGAGAGAAGGAGAGAGAGAAAGAGGAGAGAGAGGAGACGGAGAGAGGAGAGAGGAGAGAGAGAGAAGGACAGAGGGAGGGAGGGAGGGAAAAGAGAGAAAAAGAAAGAAAGAAAGAAAGAAGGAAAGGAAGAAAGAAACAAAGAAAGCAAGAAAGAAAGAAGAGAGAGAAAGAAAAAGAAAGAAAGAAAGAAGGAAAGAAAGAAAGTAAGAGAGGGAAAAAAGGAGAAGGAAGGAAGGAAAGAAGTAAGGAAGGAGGGAGGGAAGGAAGGAAGGAAGGAAGGAAAGAAGGAAGGAAGGAAGGAAGGAAGGAAACGGAATAAAAAACACAAACCAACAAATAGTAAACACATTTGTCCAAGGTGTTACAGAACTGAAATGTAGAATCTACATTTACAAGTATACACTTTCAAGTATACAACTGCTTTCCCATGGAGATTTGTTCCTTTACTAAATATGTTGGATTCTGGTGCTAAATGTCAAAGCAATGGCTGTTCTTGTGTTTAATAGCCTTGGTTGAAGGGTAATGTAGTGAGGGAATCCTTTCCAACACAAAAATATAGTTGGTTGACTGCCAACTTCAAAATACATCTTTTCAATCTTGCTCCTTTGTAGGATTTGTTTAGGTTCCATTTGTACCAGCTGGGGAAGGAAAAAAATATTATTAATTAATTAATTTATTTATTTATTTATTTTTTATTTTTTTTGCTTGAAACTGATTTGAAATTCCATATTCTCTGAGGAATATGTGAAATTTCTGTCAAGCAGAGCTATTTCATTCAATCTGTTATCCCTGTGAATTTCTCAGAGAAAAGGGTTAGTTCTTTACCATGTAGAACAGCAGGATTCACAGAAGCATTTTACATGAAAAGTGACATGTTTCATCAAAAAACCACACTGAGACAAGAGCATTCCCTTGACCCCTTCAGCAGGATGAACTTGGAACAGGGGTGTGGCTCCTTTACTCCCGTTTGTAGGAGGAGGAGCACACAGGTGAGCAAGCACAGGAGCCGGGGAGGGTGTTTTTGGCTCCAGCCACACGGCTAAATGTTAGCCAGCTCAGCAAAGAGTCAGGATGACAGACTTTTACACCCTGCCCTCTTGGTACCTGGGTCCTTTTCATGTGTCCAGGAAGAATCAGGACAAACGGACTTGAAAAATAGTGAATGTAGAGGTTTTATTAAACAGTGGAGGTGGCTCTCAGCAGAAGGGGAGCTGGAAAGGGGTGGTTGTGGAAAGGAGGTGAACTTTCCCTGAAGCCTGGACATCTTTGGGCAAGCTCCTCTCCAAAGTTGTGCCATCTGAAGTTAAGCCATGTCTATCTGTATTCTGTCACGCAGTTGCTTCTTCTCCTCTCAATGTTAAGCCACTTGTGTTTCTGCCAGCTGTGGTCTGGAGTTTATACAGGCACAGGACAGGGAGGCAGAGTGGGCCAAAAAAATAACATTTGGGCAGAAAATCAGGAATAACTGTTCTCATGTAGGATTATGGTTTCCAGGCTTGAGAATAAGGCCTTTGCCAGGGAACTCACCTCTTCTATCCAGTATTTCCCTGCCTCCTATCTGTATCACCATGACTAGCATCATATTGCAGTTATTTCCAGGAATCTCACAAGGAAGTAATAATCCATAGTTTAAAAAGACATTGTGGGGCCAGATGTGGTGGCTCATGCCTGTAATCCCAGAACTTTGGGAGGCTGAAGCAGGTAGATCACTTGAGGCCAGGAGTTTGAGACCAGCCTGGCCAACATGGTGAATCCCTGTCTCTACTAAAAACATAAAAATTAGCCAGGCATGTTGGTGGGCATCTGTAAGCTACTCAGAAAGCTGAGACAGGAGAATCACTTGAACCCAGGCAGTGAGTGGAGATCATACCACTGCACTCCAGCTTGGGTAATAGAGCAAGGCACTGTCTCACACACACATTCACAAACCTTATTGAGTCTGGGCACCATGGGTCACACTTGTAATCCCAGCACTTTTGGAGGTCAAGGCAGGTGGATCACCTAGCTTA
This sequence comes from Homo sapiens, assembly GCF_000001405.40. NCBI lineage: Eukaryota > Metazoa > Chordata > Mammalia > Primates > Hominidae > Homo > Homo sapiens. Next base: position 16,884,696 of record NC_000024.10, read on the forward strand.
GGAGTTCAGGACCAGCCTGGGCAACACAGTGAGACCTATTAAAAAATTTATTTAAATAAAGAGTAAATAAGAATACTCATTTGTAAATATGTAAGTAGGCTGTAATTACCATTGCTACCAAGTACTTCTTTAGACAAAATCAACAGTTGGTCCTGAATTCTCACTTCTATAAGGAAAATTTTTAAAGAAAAGAGTTGTTGAAAGTGTATCTTAAAAATTAAAATATCATTAAGTTAGTCAGGGTAGCTAAAAATGAGAACACTTGTTTTGCTTTGGTTTTATGTTTAGTGTACACCAAGAACATTTGTCTTTTTTTTTTTTTAACTTGTTGTTTATTCCCAGTGATATTTTAAACCTGCTTGGATACCATGAGAAGAAAATCTAATTAAATAAAATTGAAAATTATTTTTAAAATATATAGTGTTGTTTTTAGTGTGATTTGGGCATTAAGTTTCTTGTTTTTGCTTCTTTTTTTGTTTTGCTTTAATCTGAAAAGCATGTTAACTCCTCAAAATCAGAGGTCATTTGGAAGGAATTAAAAAAGGCAGGCCAGTTCAATAGCCCACGCTTGTAATCCCAGCATTTTGAGGGGCTGTAATGGGCAGATTGCTAGATCCCAGGAGTCCAAGACAAGCCTAGACAACTTAGTTGGACACTGTATCTACAAAAAAAAAAATGTATATATATATATGAAAATTAGCTGGGTATGGTGGTACGCACTTGTAGTCCTAGCTACTTTGTAGGCTAAGGTGGGAGGATCGCTTGAGACTGGGTGGTTCAGGCTGCAGTGAGCTGAGACTGTGCCACTGCACTCCAGCCTGGGTGACATAATGAGACCTTGACTCAAAAATATAAAAGAAAAAATATAAATATTATGAATAAAAATATAATCTTCAAAAAGAAGAGCAAATGGCTGTGGCTTTCAACTCCAGTGGCTACGGGCTATGAATGGAGAAAACTATGAAAGAGCAGGGAAATTTTATTTGGCTTTGTATCCACACACAATTTGAATCCTTTAAATATATTTAGAGAGGAAAAACATCTACTATAAAACAGTCATTCAAAATGTAGTAACTTCTTTTCTATTTTTATAAAGCCTCTTTTATGTGCATTTATTTTCTACAGCTTACAAAATATTGCTTGAGATTTGAAAAATAAAATATATGTTTCTAAACTTTAGGTATAATTTTAATGCAATTCATATACATTAAAGTCATTTTTTTTTTACTCATTCATATCTTTCCCTCTCTTTGCCTCATACCATATATCTAAAAGTTAACTGCTTATAGAGGCATCTTCACTCTCCCATACCCTAAGTTATTTTTCCAAGAGCTGCACTGTCCAACACAACTATTTGAAATTATTCAAATGTTCTATTTTTGGCTGTCTAATATGGTAGCCCCACTAGCCATGTATGGCTACAGAACACTTGAAATATAGCAATTATAACTCAGATACTGAATGGTTAGTTGTTATTCATTTTAATTAACTTAAATTTAAAATGTAACATATGTCTAATGACCACTGTAAACCAAAAATAAAATTCTAAGGGCACAAACCATCTGAAGGGACTTCCTCCTCAGCTAGAACACCATTAATCTGAAAGATTTGTTCAGGCTCTGATGGAAAGTGGGGGTCAAATATGCCTCATTATACCTCTCTGGCATTAACATCAACAGACCTTAAGTCTGATAAGAAGAATTTACAATCTATTCTTTCTGAAGCCTGCTACTTGGAGGCTTCCTCTACATCATAAACCTTTGGACTCCAGAAGTTCTTATCACAATGCAGACATTTCCTTTCTATTGATCCCAAGTCTTCACATAAGCTCAACCAATTGTCTACCAGAAAAATTTAAATCAGCCTATAACCAGGAAGCACCCCCCTACTGGCCTTGCTTTGAGTTGTCCTGCCTTTCTGGACTGAACAGTTGTCTTTCTTAAATCTATGTGATTGATGTCTAATGTCTCACTAAAATATATAAAACCAAGCTGCAACCCTGCCACCTTGGACACATGTTCTCAGGACTTCTCTGGAGGGCTGTGTCACAGGCCATGGTCACTCATATTTTGCTCTGAATAAATGTTTTCGAATATTTTATAAAGTTGTACTCTTTTCATCAAATCAGCATATTGGGCCCCCAAGTCTGGCCAAGACCTTCCTCCATTTCTTTACTCAATGTTTTGTTTTTATCAGGAATGGCACTGTTACAGTCTCACCAATGCTCCACAATGTAACAGTCTCTTATTGTGAGTTATCACTCAGAGTTCTTTGTCTCATGACTAAGATAATTAAGGATTGTGCACACAAAGAATGAGGTTGAAGTGAAACTTCAGTAAGCAAAAGAGGAAAGCTCTCTGCTGCAGAGAGGAGGCCCACAGGAGTGTTGTCATTTTAACAATTGAATGCAAAGTCTTTTATAGAAAACTAATGAGGGCTGGGCATCTCATTTGCATAGGGCACAAATTTCTGGTAGCTCTATCCCATCCTCTTAATGCACACGTGGGGACTTAGCTCGAGTTACTCCATATTGTTTTGTACCATTTACTAGGCATGTATCAGGGATGGAATTTCCACTGGATGCATGTCTAGGCAAGTCTCCTGTGTAGCCTTTCTTATCTGTGTGGCTGTGAGCATGTCTTTGGCAAGCCCCTGTGCAACTTTCCTTATCTGTGCCTGCAGGCAGTTCTTTCATTTCAAAGAATTCAACTGAGGACCAACCTTAATTGCCTGCCTGACTGTTTTTTCCTTTCTCCTCTTGCACCCCCTTTCATTACTTCACCTACCCAAATAGAGCTTATCTTTAAATATTCCATAGTGTATGTTACCTGCTCCCTATTTATTTTTCTCCTTTGTAGCCCCAAACATTGTCCCTCTCCGACATACACAATTTTTATTTACATTTGTTTTCTCCCTTACATGTATCTTACATCATCTTTTCCCTTCTATACATTAGTTTAGGAAAGGAAGTTTTTGGTACAAATGATAATACTTGTGTCTTTGTAGTGAGTTAGAAAAATATATAATTACATTTTAATGACTAAGGCATGAGATCCTTGGTGAGCCTGCTTGGATTGAGATATCAGAAAAACCACTTACTAATTATATAGCTGTAAAACGGGTTCACCTTGCCCCCTAACTAGACAGAGCCCATTTATAAAGACAGGGGAATTGCAGTGGAGAAGGAGTAATTTATGCAGACCTGGCCATGCAGGAGACCGGAAGTTTCTTTTTACTGATATCAGTCTTCCTGAGCATTAAGGGATCAGGGTTTTGTTTTGTTTTGTTTTGTTTTTTGCTTTTTTGTTTCATTTTGTTTTTTGTTTGCTTGTATGTTTTGAGATGAAGTCTTGCTTTGTCATCCCTGATGGAGTGCAGTGGCATGATCTAGACTTACTGTACCCTCTGCCTCCCAGGTTTAAGGGATTCTTGCACCTCAGCCTCCCAGGTAAGTGGGATTACAGGCATCCACTACATTGCTTTTTTTCCCCTTTGTATTTTAAGTAGAGACAGACTTTCAGCATGTTGGCCTGGCTGGTCTCAAGCTTCTGGCCTCAAGTGGTCAGCATGCCTTGACCTCCCAAAGTGTTGGGATTATAGATGTGAGCCACTGCATCCAGCAAGGATCAGAGCTTTTAAGGATAATTTGGCAGGCAGAGGCTCCAGAAGTGAGGAGTGCTAATTGGTCAAGTTGGAGATGGAATCATGCAGGGTTTCAGTGTGATTTTCTTGCTGTCTTGTGTTCCTGGGTGGGATGGCAGAACTGGTGGAGCCAGATTAACTGTCTGAGTGGTGACAGCTGATCCATCTAGTGGAGGGTCTGCAAAATATCTCAAGCACTGATCTTAGGTTTTACAATAGTGATTTACCACTATGAGCAACTTGGGTAAGTTCAGGCTTTTGGAGCCAGAGGATATATGGCCTCCAAACTGTATTTTCTTTTCTTTTTTTTTTATTATTATACTTTAAGTTTTAGGGTACATGTGCACAATGTGCAGGTTAGTTACATATGTATACATGTGACATGCTGGTGCGCTGCACCCACTAACTCGTCATCTAGCATTAGGTATATCGCCTAATGCTATCCCTCCCCACTCCCCCCACCCCACAACAGTCCCCAGAGTGTGATGTTCCCCTTCCTGTGTCCATGTGATCTCATTGTTCAATTCCCATCTATGAGTGAGAATATGCAGTGTTTGCTTTTTTGTTCTTGCGATAGTTTACTGAGAATGATGATTTCCAATTTCATCCATGTCCCTACAAAGGACATGAACTCATCATTTTTTATGGCTGCATAGTATTCCATGGTGGATATGTGCCACATTTTCTTAATCCAATCTATCATTTTTGGACATTTGGGTTGGTTCCAAGTCTTTGCTATTGTGAATAATGCCACAATAAACATACATGTGCGTGTGTCTTTATAGCAGCATGATTTATAGTCCTTTGCGTATATACCCAGTAATGGGATGGCTGGGTCAAATGGTATTTCTAGTTCTAGATCCCTGAGGAATGGCCACACTGACTTCCACAATGGTTGAACTAGTTTACAGTCCCACCAACAGTGTAAAAGTGTTCCTATTTCTCCACATCCTCTCCAGCACTTGTTGTTTCCTGACTTTTTAATGATCACCATTCTAACTGGTGTGAGATGGCATCTCAGTGTGGTTTTGATTTGCATTTCTCTGATGGCCAGTGATGGTGAGCATTTTTTCATGTGTTTTTTGGCTGCATACATGTCTTCTAATCTTGTAGCTAATTTGTTAATCCTAAAAAGGCAGAATGGTCCCAGGCAAAAAGCATTCTTTGTTCATGAAAGTGCTATTACCAATTTTGTTTCAGGGTCAAACCATAAACTGAATTCCTTCCCAAGACTAGGTTGACCTACACCCCGAAATGAACAAGGACACCTTAAAGATGAGAAGCAAGATGGAGCTGGTTAGGTCCGATCTCTTTCACTGTCATAATTTCCTCAGTTATAGCTTTTGCAAAGGCAGCTTCAGTGAGATGAAAATTTAATGTTGTAAGACTCGATTTTCTCATTCATGAGTTGAAGTAACACCAGTGCCACAGAGGTTGATAGGTAGTTGTTAAGTGAACAGAGTACTTATTGACTGTTTCAGTTAGTCACTGTATAAAAAGTAAACAAATAGGAGCCAAGCTAAGCATTGATTGTGATACTATTTCTAATGGAGCAAACTGTAGTAGTAGCAGGATTTACTTGAATCCATTAAAATTCATAATTATAAAATATGCTACAATGATTTGGCCATAATATTATGCCAGAGGTCCCATTTAAAATGTTATATTAGCTTAGGGAGAATATCTATCTTTGCATTTGATTTTAAGAACTAAGCTCTTCATTTTTTGCATAACTGACAAAAAATCCTAATGTTTTGAATGTCAGTATGTATATGTGGCAGTAGGAAAAGTAAAACACATAGTCAACCATGCAGTTCTGTCTCAAACTATATAGATTTTGTAATAAACACATTACACATGTTGTGGAGAAATAAAAGCGTTCACTTAAGTTGACCTTAAAATTTGCCCCTTCTTCTTGCAATAGTTTAATTTATTGAGTTTCTACAATACTCTATGATGACTCTTAATTAAACCTATTGTACAAAAAATGGATAATATTGCTGCATTTCAAAAATTGTCAGGGAACAGGGCTGTATCTATTCCCTTGTTGGCTAGAATAAGTTTCATTTTAACTTCCAGGATACTTCTTACAGAATTGAGCAATCATTACGAAGCGTTCTTAAAATTAAAAGGATGTAGCATTGTTACTGAGTTATATTGTGTAGGCAAATAGCTTTTCAGAATCATATTTGTTGGTTGTAGCTTTGAGCTACTATTTCATTATGTAGCTAGATAGCTTTTTGGTCATTATATTTCAGTTTTCTTTTATCTTTGGATTGAAAATATAATAAAGAGGCAAATATGCAATGGGACCTTCTAGATTACAATTATATAATTATGTGTATTATATATAAAAGGATCAAGTGTGCTTTTATTATAATATGAAAGAATGCATGATTAACAAGTAGAAATTTTATCTTTCTTTTTAGGTTGTTCAAAGTCAATGTCTGAATTTATCAGAAATAGGGATGCATAATACTTTATAGCTTATAGTCAATACATGTAATTTTGGCCCGGAATGAAGAGGTAGGAAGAACAAACCAAATGAACCAGAGGAGATAATTTATGTAGGCCAAAGGCAATTACCTGAGTGCATGTTTCCCTTTTGGTAGAATGGCACAATGTCTTTGAAGTGCTTTGCCTTTGATAGAATGGCACCTTCATTCCCTTTGTTAGTATGGAACAATGTCTTTATTAAAGACAACAACAAAAAAAGTTAGCTTAGAAAACTTAATGAATAAAGATAATTTAATAAATAAAATTAGATATTCCCAAAACCAAATCCCAAAGCCAAATATGTGTCTATAGAAAGAGGAATTCTAATCTGAATGCTTCACTTCTCAGGATCTACAAGAACCACATTATTTTCTAATAGAATCAATGTTAGAACTGAGAGGCACTTCGTGGTGTTTAAGCAAAGTAAATACAGCCTGAGAAGGACTCTTCATTTCTGTATTTGAGTCCTTGTGGATGAACTGCAACCTAACTTAATAGGTAGACAAGATTGAAAACCTAACATAGAAGTACGCATCTGTAACAATAGCTCAGTGTTGGCCAATCCCAGTGGAGATCCTTCAGCCACTTATAGACTGCTGAATGTTCAAACTACTTTCACATAAGGCAAATGCCAACCTGTAACTAATCCAGTTGTTCTGTACCTCATTTCCAATTTCTGTGGGTCACTTCAATTTTTTTTTTTTTTGGTCAATAAATTTGTTCTGACCATAAGACACCCATGGAGTATCTCTGAATCTTCTGTGATTCTGTGGGCTGCCTGATTTGCAAATCCTTCATTTCTCAGTTAAACTCTTGTATATTTAATTTGGCTGAAGTTTTTCTTTCTTTTTTTAAATTATATTTTAAGTTCTAGGGTACATGTATACATGTGCCAAGTTGGTGTGCTGAATTCATTAACTCGTCATTTACATTAGGTATATCTCCTAATGCTATCCCTCCCCCCTCCTCCCACCCCACAACAGGCCCTGGTGTGTGATGTTCCCTTTCCTGTGTCCAAGTGTTCTCATTGTTCATTTCCCACCTATGAGTGAAAATATTCGTTGTTAGGGTTTTGTCCCTGTGATAGTCAGCTGAGAATGATGGTTTCCAGCTTTATCCAAGTTTTTCTTTTAACAGTGGATTGGCTGGTTGAGGGTTCCTTGTCTTTGTTTGAGATAGACATAATATTCAGACTGGGCAAAGCTGTGATCATCTCACTGAAAAAAAATCATACATGCATATATGGATCATTAAAAGGTCCCTTTAAAGATAATTCATGGAATGGCATCCAAATGATAAAGTCAATCTATCAATTGATTTTGGAATTCAGCAATCCAAATGCCAGGAAAATGAGCTGTGTACAAACTGACAGTCAGTCAGTGACAATGCCAGAGACTGATCTGTTTTACTGTAACAAAGTCTTTCTATGATGCAATATTACCTCCTTTCATTATAATGTTTTAAATAATGATTTTGAAAATATTCTCATTGTAACATGTAGAAGCTGTAAAAGAGCTCTCTTCTTTTTCTCTTCTCTCTTCCCCACATCTGGCCAGTTCATGTATCTTTGCCTCTTAGCAAGAGAGAATGGATCTCTGGAATTTGGAAGATTCTTTTTTCTTTTTAATGCTTACATTTATTTTGAAGAGTGGGCATATTCTATCATAGATTTATCTTGAGAATGGGGTGTCCCGAAGATGCCTTAGTCCTTTTTGCTGTTCTGTGTTGTTTTTGGAGGAAATATTGGGAGATGTATTGACAACTTTCTCCCATTGGTAAGTAGTGAATTTGTAGTTGTTGCTTCTTTGATGGTGTTATTAGAAAAAATGTGCCTTAATTGCTAAGCTTTCAACTTTACATTTTATTTGGATGCTGTTTTATTTGTATTTACTAGTGGAGATAGGCTTTGCCTTGGAAGCTAAGTACTGATTTTTATTCAAGTTTCACTGGTATTTTAAAGAGTAGATTTGTTTATTGAGGCTTATTATTGGAGGTTAAACACTAGCTTTGTTTCATTTATTGCTTTTTAAAAGTAATATTCAATTTATTCAAACATATCTAGCATTTATTGAGAAAATAAATATTTAAATTAACTCTTGGAGAATCTATCTATCCATCTTTCAAGTATCTATCATCAATCAATTAATCAATAACTCTATCATCTATCTTTCCTATCTCTCATCTATCAATCATCTATCAATCATCTATCTCTTTTGTCCATCTGTATCATCTATCTTCATATGTAACACCTATTTATTAATCTATCTATGTAAATAATCAATCATTTTTCTGAAGCATTTCAAAATAAGTTGTAGAAATAATGCTTTTTATCCCTAAGGACATCCATAGATGTCTTTCTCATTTTATACAAATACATGATGATTTATGGTGTATATACACCCTTTTTAGTAAACATAATCTCCTATAGTCAGTTATTTATAAAACTTTCTATATTTTGCAATTACAGACAATGTAGGACTATGTAACTTTGTAAATATGTATATTTGAATTTATGAGGGTATGTTTTCAATGGTAATTTCCCAGAAGTGAGACTGTTGGTGAGGGGTAAAACTACATGTAGCCCTCGAAAAAATTGTTAAATCCTCTTCTATAAACATTGCCCATTTTTAATTAGTACTCTCTGTATATGTGCAAGATATGTTCCACTAGCCTCAAGAATGTGTCAAGCTTTTTAATTTTTCTCATTTAATAATTGAGAAATTGTATCTATTATCTATCTATCTACCTATCTGTCTACCTATGTATCCATCTATACATGCATCCATTCAGCTATCTATCATCTAATTGCATTGGGACTTTGCATCATTTTTAAAAGATTCCTACATATCCAGGTTTTAGAAATATTTTTCATTTTTATTGATAAAATTATACATTTTCAAATTTTTCCACATGACTTATCATTCATTTGGATTTTGTTTTTGTGCATCATGTGGGGTAGGGAATCTATTTGATTCCAGTTTCCCAAAAGTATAATGAACTCTCTATTGTTTGGCAATGTCATCATTTTGTTTGTTAAATTTCCATGTGTGGTTGGATGTATTTCTGGACTTTTTATTATATTGAACTCATTTGTCACTGCATATTTGTAACACTATAATATTTTACTTAAAGATGGTTGTCTGCTGGGCACAGTGGCTCATGCCTGTAATCCCAGCAATTTGGGAGGCTGAAGCAAACTGATCATCTGAGGTCGGGAGTTCTAGACCAGCCTGACCAACCAGAGAAAACCTGTCTCTACTAAAAATACAAAATTAGCCAGGCATGGTGGTGCATGTCTGTAATTCCAGCTATTTAGGAAGGTTGAGGCAGGAGAATCATTTGAACCTGGAAGGCAGAGGTTACAGTGAGCCAAGATTGCACCATTGCACTCAAACCTGGGCAACAATAGTGAAATTCAGTCTCAAAAAAAAAAAAAAAAAAAAATAGAGGGTTGTCAATAAGTTTCAATATGTGGTAGGGCTAGTATCCTTACATAGAACTGCTTGTCAGGTCCTCCGTGGTTCTGTTTAGCACATTGAAACTCTACAGGCACTGGTAAGCATTCCTTTTTTCTTTACTGCCAAGGTTAGTTAAAATTTAATCTTGCTAGTGCAAATGCAAGGGTGCAAATTGCCCAGAGGTTTGAAGAAGTGCAACATTCTATGTTGGAGAATTATCTCCTAGGGCCCATACCTAGGCCAGTTACCCATTTGTTGCTGACTCAAGCCCTTGGCTAGAACACTGTGTTTTCTCAATAGCATTTATGTGACTCTTTCCTTTGTTTTTTTTTCTGTTAGCATTAGACAATTTCTTGAAAAAGGCATAAAGTTTCAATGTTGGAATTTTGGATGTTCCAAATATTGAATTCCAATGAAGGAATTCAAGGCAAGTCCATTACTTTAGCTAACTTGGCTCAACTTAATCCACAAAATGATTTTCTATTGAATTATATTGCATCATTTATATGTGTACAAAGAGCGGTCTTATGGGAAATTGACATCAATCAATATGGCATGGCTCTTTCTATCATTTTTGACTCAAAAGTGTATATATTCATGAGGTACAATATGATGTCTTTATATATGTATGTATTGTGGAATAATAATATTGAGGTAGTTATCATATCTATTACTTCACAGTCTTATACTTTTGTGTTGAGAACAGCAAACGTCTACTCTCTTAACAATTTTGAAGTGATACAAAACATAGTTATTAATTCTAATTATTATATTGTAACGTATATCTTTTGACAGTATTCCCTTAGTCTAATTGAAATTTTCTATCGTTTAGTCAATATTTCCCCAATTCTCTAACCCCAATCCCATCACACCTGGTAATTACCATTCTGTTTTATTTTATTTTTTTCTAATTTCAGTTCTCATTTTCCCTTTTTAGTTCCATCAAGAACACAGTCATAGCAATACACCAAATTCAGGCTCCACATAATACGAAAATTCACATATACTTGGCATAGTCCTTATACATTCATATTTGTGTATCCTTACATGATTGGTAACCAACAGCCTGACTTAGAAGTTTAAAGAAAAATAAAAACTCTAAGGCATCTCTAATGTAAAGCATTTCTTGCTTTGGTGGAAAGACGGCAAAAATGTAATCAGGTTAAAAATAACAGATCATGTTAATAATAGCTCATAGAAAATTGCAGGCCTTTGTTTTGCTTTGTAGGCAGTCCTCTCTAAAGTCTGTGTTCAAATCATTAGCTGTCAGTTCAGCACGGCTGATCCTTTGCTGACTCATCTCCAGTGCTGACCTTCACTAACAAAGCATGACGTCGTTGCGTCTTTGCCGCCATACTAGCTTCAGCTAAGCTGAGGCATATAATGGACAGTTATCTTCTGAAAGGAAAGCAATGGCCTGACTTCCATGTGTGTGTATATATATATGCATATATATATATATATATATACACACACACACACATACACATATATATGTATTTTTTTTTTTGAGATGGAGTCTTCTTTCTCTGTCACCCAGGCTGGAGTGCGGTGGCATGATCTCAGCTCACTGCAAGCTCCACTGCCTGGGTTCATGTCATTCTCCTGCCTCAACCTCCCTGTAGCTAGGACTACAGGTGCCCACCACAACACCTGGCTAATTTTTTGTATTTTTAATAGAGATGAGGTTTCACAGTATTATCCAGTATGGTCTCGATCTCCTGACCTTGTGATCAGCTCACCTTGGCCTCTCAAAGTGCTGGGATTACAGGCATGAGTATTTTTTCAAAGATTATAATATGAGTATTTTTTCAAAGATTATAATAAGATATTCAATCACTTTTTTATGAAGGAATGGATCTAATAAAAGGCTTTCATATGAAATTTGGGAGTGCTCTTTTTCTGAACACCTTCTACACCTAACTAAAAATAGTTGTGCTGAGCCTTATTTGATTCCTTCAGTCTTCTTGTTACCTGAAAAGGTTCCGAATCCAGAACCCCAAGAGTGGGTTCTTAGATCTTGCACAAGAAATTCAAGGCAAGTCCATAGAGTAAAGTGAAAGCAAGTTTATTAAGAAAGTAGAGAAATAAAAGGATGACTACTCCATACACAGAGCAGCTGTGAGAGCTACTAGTTGCCTACTTTTATGGTGATTTCTTGATCATATGCTAAACAAGGGGTGGATTATTTATGCCTCTCCTTTTTAGACCATATAAGGTAACTTCCGGATGTTCCTGTTGTATTTGTAACGTGTCATGGTGCACGTGGTAGTGTAGCAGTGAGGATGGACCTCCATAGGTCACTGTTTGTCACCATCTTGATTTTAGTGGGTTTTGGCCGGCTTCTTTACTGCATTCTGATTTATAAGCCAGCTTTTCATGAGTTTTATCTTGTGCTTACCTCCTGTCTCATCCTGTGACTTAGAATACTTAACCATCTGGGAATGTAGCCTAATTGGTTTCAGCCTTATTTTACCCAGCCCCTATTCAAGATGGAGTTGCTCTGGTTCACATGCATCTGACACTCTAAAGTGTTTCTAGTTGAGAAACAAGCAAACAAACAAAAACTACTTCTCTACACAGAAAATTAAAGGTTATTTTAGTTTTCTTTAAAATTAAAGTATTAGAGCATCATGTGTACTTTTTCTATCACCTTATTAATAGTGCTAAAATTCTCATTATAGTCATATTATTTTAATGTCATCACTATTAAAAATAGAGTGTAAGTCCATTGACTCTTCTCATTATTCTGTTCAGCCAAATAAATTGAATGGGGTATCATATCATCTGAAAATATTTGTTTAGAGCAAGAATTTACTAATTTTTCTGAAAACTTCTTTTTCTGGAAAGAGATAGATGTTAAATCTTTTGGGCTTTGAGTACCTTGTCAATGATGACCCATGGAACAAAAGCAGCCACCAAAAATATGTCAATGAATGGATATGACTGTGTTTCAGTAATTTCTTTGTCTCTCTCTTTCTTTTTTCTGATGAGATGGGGTCTTCTTGTGTTGCCCAGGCTGGTCTCAAACTCCTAGCCTTAAGTTATCCTCCTGCCTTGTCCTCCCAAACTGTTGGCCTCCATGCCCAGGCCTTACAAAATTTTATTTAAAGACACTGAAATTTGAATCTCATATAATTTTGCATGTCATGAAATACAGTTATTTTGAATTTTTCTTTTCAAACATTTGAAAATGTAAGAGAAAGAGAACACTTTTACACTGTTGATGGTAATGTATACTAGTACAGCCACTATGCAAAACAGTATGGAGATTCCTTAAAAAACTAAAAGTAGATATGCCATTTGATCCAGCAGTCCAATTTCTAGCTATCTACCCAGAAGAAAATAAGGTGTTATATGAAAAAGATACTTAAACTCACATGCTTATAGCAGCATAATTCGCAATTACAAAAATTTGGAACCAGCTCAAATGCCCATTAATCAATAAGTGGATAAAGAAAATGTGGTATATATTGTGAACCCTGAATATCTGAGACAGGCCTCAGTCAATTTAAAGAAGTTTATTTTGACAAAGTTAAGGACACAAGCCCATGACACAGCCTTAGGTGGTCCTGAAGACATGTGCCCAAGGTGGTCTGAACAAAGTTTGGTTTTATACATGAGACATGAGACGTCAATCAATAACGTACAGTGAACATTTGTTTGGAAAGGTGAGACAACTCAAAGAAAAGACAGGGCAACTCAAAGTGTAGAGGGGCATTCCAGGTGATAGGTAGATAAGAGACAAATGGTTGCATTCTGTTGAGTTAATTTCTGATTAGCCTTTCCAAAGGAAGCAATCAGATATGCATTTATCTCAGTAAGCAGTGGGATGAGTTTGAATAGACTTGGAAGCAGCTTTGCCATAAGCAGTTCTTAGCTTGAGTTTTCCATTTTGCTTAGTGATTTGGGTTTATTAAGATTTATTTTCCTTTCACAATATATATGATGGAATACTACTCAGCCATAAAAAGAAATTAATGGCATTTGCAGCAACCTGGATGGGACTGGAGATCATTAATCTAAAGGGAAGTAACTCAGAAAGGGAAAATCAAACATTGTACATTCTCACTCATAAATGAGAGCTAAGCTGTGATGACACAGGGCATAAGACTGATAAAAATGACTTTGGGGACCTGGTGAAAAAGGTTGGAAGGCAGGTGAGGGATAAAAGACTACAAATTGGGTATAGTGTATACTGCTCAGATGATGGGTGCACCAAAATCTCAGAAATCACCACTAAAGAACTTATTAAAGTAACCAAACCCCACCTATTCCCCCCAAAACTTACTACAATAAAAAATGATTACCAAAAAAAAAAAAAAGTAAAAGAAAACTTGTAGTCTTCTAGGTGATCAGAAACCAACACCCTAAAATATGGCACTTTGACATGCAGCACTGAAGAAGCCTCAAGGTCTGTCTGATCTTCCTCCTCACCCTTCACCATATCTCTTAAAGAAGCTGAAGATCCAGGCCCCACAAGGAGAACAAGTCTTTTCTCTCTTCCTTTTTACCTCATTGTCTATTGCAGAAAAAAATACCAAGATGTAACCACAGTTGAGCGGATCTTTTTACCTTTAAAATGAGTGTCTATAAGGTCCATTTACTTTCCAACAAAAAACTACTTACAAGTTAATCAAGTAGTTCCCTGATCCAATCATTCTCCCTAGCAATCATTTATTGTTCCTCACTGGAATTCCTCTTCTCCCCATTCCATTACCTGTTTTACTGGGATCCAACACTCCATTCTTTCTGTAACCTCAGGAAGGTATATAAGCTTTGAACTTTATTGGGAGGTTGGGTCTTCATTCTGAAGGCTCCTGTGTCTTCACATTAAACCAATTATTATGCCTTTTCTTGCTCTTAAAAGAAAAACTTCAGCTGAATTAATTTCAAAGGAGTTTGAGCAATGAATGATTCAAGAATCTGACAGCCTCTAGAATCACAGCAGATTCAGAGACTCCAGGGATACCAATCTGTGGGATATGCTAAGGTTTCTCTTCAAATAGCCTGATTAGTCCTTTATTCTGAAATCCACAGTACCCCTCCACCTCCATTTTCTTCTCTTTTCGTTTCTTTCTGCCTTTGCTACATGACCAGGCATGCCACAGCATCCGGAGCTTATCAGTACTAGCTCACATTCGTTTCCATATTTGGGAAGTAAAGTAGCTCCCTAGCTCATCAGAGATGACCTCTTCCCCCTCTCCCTTCTCTCCCTTATGTGCCCAACTTATCTAAGAAAAAATTCAAATGTTTAGCCATTTGGGTCTAGCTTAGATTTTGTGGTTCGAACTCAGCCAATGGGGAAAGGGCACGGGGGCACTGTTTGCATCAAGGATAAAAACTTTCATTGTTCTTTGTTCTATGTGCTCTCGTGGTGACTGGCCAAAAAGAAGCACCCCTCTATGCAGAAGTAAACTTGCTTTGCTGAGAAATTCTTTTTCTGACTGCTCGTTTCCTTAAGACTCCAAACTGTATTTCCAATACAAGTGATCAGAACAAACTTATATAGAAAAAAAGTGGGGGAATGTGATGTACAGAAGTCAGCATGAGGTACAGAAACAGCTAGATTAATTACAGGTTGCATTGGCCTTATTCGAACACAGTGAACACTTTGGAGCCTATGAGAGGTTGAAGTATGGCCACTGGGATTGGTCGAGACTCAGCTATTGTTACAGGTTCATCTTTCCATGTTAAATATTCCAACTTGTCTGCCGATTATGCTAGGTTACAATTCATCCACAAGGACTCAAATACAGAAGTGTGGATTCCTTCTCCAGACATTTTAGTTTGCTTTATCATTGTATTAATCAATACACGGGAGAATGCATGGCTCATTGTAAAATTAAATTGAAGGAAAGTAATAAGTAACAAGTAAAGATCTGGATGCTGTCCACCCAGGGAGAAAGTGCATCTGGGTGCATGAATGTGATGAGCAGATTTAGTTTCCTTCAGTGCAAAACAATTTGATGCATAAAACATGATTTTAGACTTTGTTTTCTTTTGAAAGTTGTAAGCTACAATTATTAACGCAGATGATGTGAATAAATTAAGTGCATACAAAGGGGAAAACAATGGCACAATATCCATATTTTTCAGTCCTATATACACATATCCATATACCCATGTGTATATACAGATATGTAAATGCATATACGTATATAAGAATGAATGTTTTTCCCTCCCTCCTTCCCATTTCCCTCCCTCCCTTCCTCCCTCCCTCCCTTCCTTCCTACCTTTCTTTCTTTTTTCTTCTTTCTATTTTACTTTCTTTCTTCTTATTTATAACAAAAACTTATAATAAAGGAACCATCCCCATCAAGCTACCAATGACTTTCTTCACAGAATTGGAAAAAACTACTTTAAAGTTCATATGGAACCAAAAAAGAGCCCGCATTGCCAAGTCAATCCTAAGCCAAAAGAAGAAAGCTGGAGGCATCACGCTACCTGACTTCAAACTATAATACAAGGCTACAGTAACCAAAACAGCATGGTACTGGTACCAAAACAGAGATATAGATCAATGGAACAGAACAGAGTCCTCAGAAATAATGCCACATATCTACAACTATCTGATCTTTGACAAACCTGAGAAAAACAAGCAATGGGGAAAGGATTCCCTATTTAATAAATGGTGCTGGGAAAACTTCCTAGCCATATGTAGAAAGCTGAAACTGGATCCCTTCCTTACACCTTATACAAAAATTAATTCAAGATGGATTAAAGACTTAAACGTTAGATCTAAAACCATAAAAACCCTAGAAGAAAACCTAGGCATTACCATTCAGGACATAGGCATGGGCAAGGACTTCATGTCTAAAACACCAAAAGCAACGGCAACAAAAGACAAAATTGACAAATGGGATCTAATTAAACTAAAGAGCTCCTGAACAGCAAAAGAAACTACCATCAGAGTGAACAGGCAACCTACAAAATGGGAGAAAATTTTCACAACCTACTCATCTGACAAAGGGCTAATATCTAGAATCCACAATGAATTTAAACAAATTTACAAGACAAAAACTAACAAATCCATCAAAAAGTGGGCGAAGGACATGAGCAGACACTTCTCGAAAGAAGACATTTATGCAGCCAAAAAACACATGAAAAAATGCTCACCATCACTGACCATCAGAGAAATGCAAATCAAAACCACAATGAGATACCATCTCACACCAGTTAGAATGGCAATCATTAAAAAGTCAGGAAACAACAGGTGCTGGAGAGGATGTGGAGAAATAGGAACACTTTTACACTGTTGATGGGACTGTAAACTAATTCAACCCTTGTGGGAGTCAGTGCGGCGGTGATTCCTCAGGGATCTAGAACTAGAAATACCATTTGACCCAGCCAACCCACTACTGGGTATATACCCAAAGGACTATAAATCATGCTGCTATAAAGACACATGCACACGTATGTTTATTGCGGCGGTATTCACAATAACAAAGACTTGGAACCAATCCAAATGTCCAACTATGACAGACTGGATTAAGAAAATGTGGCACATGGTGGGGAGGAGCCAAGATGTCCGAATAGGAACAGCTCCGGTTGACAGCTTTCTGCATTTCCATCAGAGGTATTGGGTTCATCTCACTAGGGAGTTCCAGACAGTGGACGCATGTCAGTGGGTGCATGCACTGTGCACGAGCTGAAGCAGGGCAAGGCATTGCCTCACTCAGGAAGTGCAAGGGGTCAGGAAATTCCCTTTCCTAGTCAAGGAAAGGGGTGATGGATGGCACTTGGAAAATCGGATCACTCCAACCCAAAGACTACACTTTTCCAAAGGGCTTAAAAACCGGTGCACCAGGAGATTATATCCTGCACCTGGCTCGGAGGGTCCTGTGCCCATGGAGTCTCCCTGATTGCTAGCACAGCAGTCTGAGATCAAACTGCAAGTCAGCAGCAAGGCTAGGGGAGGGGTGCCCACCATTGCCCAGGCTTGCTTAGGTAAACAAAGCAGCCAGGAAGCTCGAACAGGGTGGAGCCCACCACAGCTCAAGGATGCCTGCCTGCCTCTGTAGGCTCCACCTCTGGGGACAGGGCACAGACAAACAAAAAGACAGCAGTAACCTCTGCACACTTAAATGTCCCTGTCTGACAGCTTTGAAGAGAGCAGTGGTTCTCCCAGCACACAGCTGGAGATCTGAGAATGGGCAGACTGCCTCCTCAAGTGGGTCCCTCACCCCTGACCCCAGAGTAGCTTAACTGGGAGGCACCCCCCAGCAGGGGCAGACTGACACCTCACAGGACCACGTACTCCAACAGATCTGCAGCTGAAGGTCCTGTCTTTTAGAAGGAAAACTAACAAACAGAAAGCACATCCACACCGAAAACCCATCTGTACATCACCATCATCAAAGACCAAAAGTAGATAAAACCACAAAGATGGGGAAAAAACAGAGCAGAGAAACTGGAAACTCTAAAAAGCAGAGCGCTTCTCCTCCTCCAAAGGAACGCAGTTCCTCAGCAGCAAGGGAACAAAGCTGGACGGAGAATGACTTTAATGATCTGAGAGAAGAAGGCTTCAGACCATCAAATTACTCTGAGCTATGGGAGGACATTCAAAACAAAGGCAAAGAAGTTGAAAACTTGAAAAAAATTTAGAAGAATGTGTAACTAGAATAACCAATACAAAGAAGTGCTTAAAGGAGCTGATGGAGCTGAAAACCAAGGCTCAAGAACTACGTGAAGAATGCAGAAGCCTCAGGAGCTGATGCGATCAACTGGAAGAAAGGGTATCAGCGATGGAAGATGAAATGAATGAAATGAAGTGAGAAGGGAAGTTTAGAGAAAAAAGAATAAAAAGAAATGAACAAAACCTCCAAGAAATATGGGATTATGTGAAAAGACCAAATCTATGTCTGATTGGTGTACCTGAAAGTGACAGGGAGAATGGAACCAAGTTGGAAAACACTCTGCAGGATATTATGCAGGGGAACTTCCCCAATCTATCAAGGCAGGCCAATATTCAGATTTAGGAAATACAGAGAACACCACAAAGATACTCCTTGAGAAGAGCAACTCCAAGACACATAATTGTCAGATTCACCAAAGTTGAAATGAAGGAAAAAATGTTAAGGGCAGCCAGAGAGAAAGATCGGGTTACACTAAAAGGGAAGCCCATCAGACTAACAGTGGATCTCTCGGTGGAAACTCTACAAGCCAGAAGAGAGTGAAGGCCAATATTCAACATTCTTAAAGGAAAGAATTTTCAACCCAGAATTTCATATGCAGCCAAACTAAGCTTCATAAGTGAAGGAAAAATAAAATATTTTAAAGACAAGCAAATGCTGAGAGATTTTTGTCACCACCAGGCCTGCCCTAAAAGAGCTCCTAAAGGAAGCGCTAAGCATGGAAAGGAAAAACCGGTACCAGCCACTGCAAAATCATGCCAAAATGTAATGACCATCGAGACTAGGAAGAAACTGCATCAACTAACGAGCAAAATAACCAACTAACATAATGACAGGATGAAATTCACACATAACAATATTAACTTTAAATGTAAATGGACTAAATGCTCCAATTAAAAGACACAGACTGGAAAATTGGATAAAGAGTCAAGACCCATCAGTGTGCTGTATTCAGGAAACCCATCTAATGTGCAGAGACACAAATAAGCTCAAAATAAAGGGATGGAGGAAGATCTACCAAGCAAATGGAAAACACAAAAAGGCAGGGGGTTGCAATCCTAGTCTCTGATAAAACAGACTTTAAACCAACAAAGATCAAAAGAGACAAAGAAGACCATTACATAATGGTAATGGGATCAATTCAACAAGGAGAGCTAACTATCCTAAATATATATGCACCCAGTACAGGAGCACCCAGATTCATCAAGCAAGTCCTGAGTGACCTACAAAGAGACTTAGACTCCCACACATTAATAATGGGAGACTTTAACACCCCACTGTCAACATTAGACAGATCGACGAGACAGAAAGTCAACAAGGATACCCAGGAATTGAACTCAGCTCTGTACCAAGTGGACTTAATAGACATCTACAGCACTCTCCACCCCAAATCAACAGAATATACATTTTTTCAGGACCACACCACACCTATTCAAAAATTGACCACATACTTGGAAGTAAAGCTCTCCTCAGCAAATGTGAAAGAACAGAAATTATAACAAACTATCTCTCAGACCACAGTGCAATCAAACTAGAAGTCAGGATTAAGAATCTCACTCAAAACTGTTCAACTACATGGAAACTGAGCAACCTGATCCTGAATGACTACTGGGTACCTAAAGAAATGAAGGCAGAAATAAAGATGTTCTTTGAAACCAATGAGAACAAAGACACAACACACCAGAATCTCTGGGACACATTCAAAGAAGTCTGTAGAGGGAAATTTATAGCACCAAATGCCCATAAGAGAAAGCAGGAAAGATCCAAAATTGACACCCTAACATCACAATTAAAAGAGCTAGAAAAGCAAGAGCAAACACATTCAAAAGCTAGCAGAAGGCAAGAAATAACTAAAATCAGAGCAGAACTGAAGGAAATAGAGACACAAAAAACCCTTCAAAAAATTAATGAATCCAGGAGCTGGTTTTTTGAAAGGATCAACAAAATTGATAGACCTCTAGCAAGACTAATAAAGAAAAAAAGAGAGAAGAATCAAATAGATGCAATAAAAAATGATAAAGGGGATATCACCATTTATTCCCACAGAAATGCAAACTACCATCAAAGATTACTACAAACACCTCTACGCAAATAAACTAGAAAATCTAGAAGAAATAGATAAATTCCTCGACACATACACTCTCCCAAGGCTAAACCAGGAAGAAGTTGAACCTCTGAATAGAACAATAACAGGAGCTGAAATTGTGGCAATAATCAATAGCTTACCAACCAAAAAGACTCCAGGACCAGATGGATACACAGACAAATTCAACGAGAGATACAAGGAGGAACTGGTACCAATCCTTCTGAAACTATTCCAATCAATAGAAAAAGAGGGAATCCTCCCTAACTCATTTTATGAGGCCAGCATCATCCTGATACCAAAGCCGGGCAGAGACACAACCAAAAAAGACAATTTTAGACCAATATGCTTGATGAACATTGATGCAAAAATCCTCAATAAATACTGGCAAACCGAATCAGCAGCACATCAAACAGCTTATCCACCATGATCAAGTGGGCTTCATCCCTGGGATGCAAGGCTGGTTCAATATACACAAATCAATAAATGTAATCCAGCATATAAACAGAAACAAAGACAAAAACCACATGATTATCTCAATAGATGGAGAAAAGGCCTTTGACAAAATTCAACAACGCTTCATGCTAAAAACTCTCAATAAACTAGAGCTATCTATGAGAAACCCACAGCCAATATCATACTGAATGGGCACAAACTGGAAGCATTCCCTTTGAAAACTGGCACAAGACAGGGATGCCCTTTCTCACCACTCCTATTCAACATAGTGTTGGAAGTTTTGGTCAGGGCAATTAGGCAGGAGAAGGAAATAAAGTGTATTCAATTAGGAAAAGAGGAAGTCAAATTGTCCCTGTTTGCAGATGACATGATTGTATATCTAGAAAACCCCATTGTCTCAGCCTAAAATCTCCTTAAGCTGATAAGCAACTTCAGCAAAGTCTCAGTATACAAAATCAATGTACAAAAATCACAAGCATTCTTATACACCAATAACAGACAAAAATAGAGCCAAATCATGAGTGAACTCCCATTCACAATTGCTTCAAAGAAAATAAAATACCTAGGAATCCAACTTACAAGGGATGTGAAGGACCTCTTTAAGGAGAACTACAAAACACTGCTCAAGGAAATAAAAGAGGATACCAACAAATGGAAGAACATTCCATGCTCATGGGTAGGAAGAATGAATATTGTGAAAATGGCCATACTGCCCAAGGTAATTTACAGATTCAGTGCCATCCCCATCAAGCTGCCAATTAGTTTCTTCACAGAATTGGAAAAAACTACTTTAAAGTTCATATGGAACCAAAAAAGAGCCCACATTGCCAAGTCAATCCTAAGCCAAGAGAACAAAGCTGGAGTCGTCACACTACCTGACTTCTAACTATACTACAAGGCTACATTAACCAAAACAGTATGGTACTAGTACCAAAACAGAGATATAGATCAATGGAACAGAACAGAGCCCTCATAAATAATGCTGCATATCTACAACTATCTGATCTTTGACAAACCTGAGATAAACAAGCAATGGGGAAAGGATTCCCTATTTAATAAATGGTGCTGGGAAAACTGGCTAGCCATATGTAGAAAGCTGAAACTGGATACCTTCTTTACACCTTATACAAAAATTAATTCAAGGTGGATTAAAGACTTAAACCTTAGACCTAAAACCATAAAAACCCTAGAAAAAAAACTAGGCATTACCATTCAGGACATAGGCATGGGCAAGGACTTCATGTCTAAAACACCAAAAGCAATGGCAACAAAAGACAAAATTGACAAATGGGATCTAGTTAAACTAAAGAGCTTCTGCACAGCAAAAGAAACTACCATCAGAGTGAACAGACAACCTACAAAATGGGAGAAAATTTTCACAACCTACTCATCTGACAAAGGGCTAATATCCAGAATCTACAATGAACTTGAACAAATTTACAAGAAAAAAACTAACAACCCCATCAAAAAGTGGGCGAAGGACATGAACAGACACTTCTCAAAAGAAGACATGAATGCAGCCAAAAAACACATGAAAAAATGGTCACCATCACTGGCCATCAGAGAAATGCAAATCAAAACCACAATGAGATGCCATCTCCCACCAGTTAGAATGTCGATCATTAAAAAGTCAGAAAACAACAGGTGCTGGAGAGGATGTGGAGAAATAGGAACACTTTTACACTGTTGGTGGGACTGTAAACTAGCTCAAACATTGTGGAAGTCAGTGTGGCGATTCCTCAGGGATCTAGAACTAGAAATACCATTTGACCCAGCCATCCCATTACTGGGTATATACCCAAAGGACTATAAATCACGCTGCTATAAAGACACATGCACACGTATGTTTATTGCAGCATTATTCACAATAGCAAAGACTTGGAACCAACCCAAATGTCCAACAATGATAGACTGGATTAAGGAAATATAGCACATATCCACCATGGAATAAAATGCACCCATAAAAATTGATGAGGTCATGTCCTTTGTAGGGACATGGATGAAATTGGAAATCATCATTCTCAGTAAACTATGGCAAGAACAAAAAACCAAACACTGCATTTTCTCACTCATAGGTGGGAATTGAACAATGAGAACACATGGACACAGGAAGGAGAACATCACACTCTGGGGACTGTTATGGGGTTAGGGGATGGGGGAGGGATAGCTTTGGGAGATATACCTAATGCTAGATGACGAGTTAGTGGGTGCAGTGCACCAGCATGGCACATGTATACATATATAACTAACCTGCACATTGTGCACATGTACCCTAAAACTTAAAGTATGATAATAATAAATAAAAAATAAATTAAAAACAAAGAATATATGGCACATATACACCATGGAATACTACGCAGCCATAAAAAACGAAGAGTTCATGTCCTTTGTAGGGACATGGATGAAATTGGAAACCATCATTCTCAGCAAACTATTGCAAGGACAGAAAATGAAACACCGCATGTTGTCACTCATAGGTGGGAATTGAACAATGAGAACACATGGACACAGGAAGGGGAACATCACACTCTGGGTACTGTTGTGGGGTGGGGGGAGGGGGGAAGGATATCATTAGGAGATATACCTAATGCTAAATGATGAGTTAATGGGGGCAGCACACCAGCATGACACATGTATACATATGTAACTAACCTGCACATTGTGCACATGTACCCTAAAACTTAAAGTATAATAATACTAACATGAAATAAAAAAACAATAAAAAATAAAGGAACCCACTCCATAATGTTTTCTTTTTAAAATTTTAGTTCATAAAGATTAGTAACAGTTTTTTTAATAGTTACCCGTATTAGTCTGTTTTCATGTTTCTAATAAAGACATACCTAAGACTGGGTAATTTATAAAGAAAAGAGGTTTAATTGACTCACAGTTCTGCAAGGATGGGGAGGTCTCAGAAAACTTACAATCATGGTGGAAAGGATAGCAAACATGTCCTTTACATGCTAGCAGCAAGAAGTGCAGAGTGAATTGGACGAAAAGCCCCTTATAAAACTATCAGATGTAGTGAAAACTCATTCATTATCACAAGAACAGCATGGAGATAGCCTCCCCCATGTTTCAATCACCTCCCACCAGGCCCCTCATATGACAGATGGGGATTATGGGATCTGCAATTTAAGATGAGATTTGAGAGGGTACACAGAGCCAAACCAAATTACTACCCTTCCCCTTTAACACACTGTAACATTAAAATATCTTCTTATTTACTGTTTGAGATTTCTCAAAAGCTGGCAAATTGTGAGCTGTGTAGGAGACTGAGATATGAGGATTGCTTAAGCCCATTAATTCAAGGCTGTAGTGAGCTAGGATCATGCCACTGAACCCCGGCTAGGCAACAGAGCAAGATCCTGGAAAAAAAATGATTATTTGTCCCTGGTCTTTATAGAACAACCCACTCGGCTGTAGAAAAAGTGTGTCCTTTGGAAATATTAACAAAGAATTGTGACTTAGAAGTAAGAGGTCAGAGATTTGCAGGCTCAGAAGACTGCACAATGAAAGCTCAAGGATAAATAGGATGAGTCAACGAATCACCCAACATCTCATCTTCTGCCTTTCCTCCCACTTTTTTCTCTCATTTTCTATGAAGAAATGACGGGATTGACAAGATAGAATCAATGACATGGCTCAGAAGGCAGCAATTCTTACCACAGATCTCACTCTTTTTTTTTTTTTTTAATTCAACACAAGGGAGTACACAAACAATAACCAACAAACCAAATCTGTACCACTGCCTTTTTTGTATGGCCTATGGGAGACATAGGCTCACCACCTTCTAAACATTAGCTGAAAAATCACTGACATAAATCTTATTGATCTTTTGGAAGAAACAACTTTTAGGCCCTGTTAAATACCTCTTTTGTTTTCTGTTTAGTGGTATCCTACCTCTTATCTTTATTACCTTTTTTGGTTTGATCAGACCTCTGTGCATTATTTCATTATCTTATCTACTCTCCCACCTCTGAGTTTAATGGCTCTTCATTCTGTAGTTTCTTAAGTTGAGAAAAAGAGTTCTTTAATGTATCACATTTCTTCTTGATATGATTTGGCCATGTCCCCATCCAAATCTCATCTTGAATTTTAGCTCCCATAATTCCCACCTGCCATGGGAGGAACCTAGTGGAAGATAATTGAATCATGGGGGCAATTTCCCCCATATTGTTCTCATGGTAATCAGTAAGTCTCATGAGATCTGATGGTTTTATAAAGGGAAGTCCCTTTCTCTTGGCTCTCATTCTCTCTTGTCTGTTGCCATGTAAGATGTGTCTTTCATCTTCTGCCATGATTGTGAGGCCTCCTCAGCCACATGGAACTGTGAGTCAATTAAATCTCGTTTTCTTTATAAATTACCCAGTACCAGTAGGTCTTTAACAGCAGTGTGAAAATGGACTAATACAACTTCTCTTTCAGGATGTGTATGTGATGCTAGGCAAGTGTATTTGTCATTGCTTTAGGTCCATCCCGCAAACTGTCATATACTGGCATTTATTTACCCAACATCTATTGGAAGCATTTATTCACCATGCATATGTCAATAAAATGAAATTTATCCAGACTAATTAAAGGCTATATAAATAAATATAAATAAATATTATGTAGATATACAAAAATATTCATTTAAATCCATAAATGTTTAAATAAATCACTTATGTAGCACAGATGTAAAACATAAATGATTTATTCATATTAGTATGTTTCTGTATAAATGCATAAGTATTTGGATGTACATTTTTACCATTTTAATAAGCAAATTTTACTATTTTAATATGTATATTTCCTACAATAGGAAATATACATGTGGCAAATACATGTATATAATAATCCCCATGTGGACTAGGCATGGTGGCTCACGCCTGTAATCCCAGCACTTTGGGAAGCTGAGGTGGGCAGATCACTAGGTCAGGAGACTGAGACCATCCTTGCTAACACAGTGAAACCCTGTCTCTACTAAAACTACAAAAAATTAGCCAGGCGTGGTGGCGGGCACCTGAATTCCCAGCTACTTGGGAGGTTGAGGCAGGAGAAAGGGGTGAACCCAAGAGGCAGAGCTTGCAGTGAGCCAAGATCATGCCACTGCACTCCAGCCTGAGCAACAGAGTAAGACCATCTCAAAAATAAACTAATAATAATAATAATAATAATTCCCAGGTCTCAAGGACCAGATGGAGATTATATATACGTGAAACAAATTTTGCACATATAGTGCCATGACCACATCATTCCACATGTAGTTATTTACCCAAGAGAAATAAAAATACACATCCCAGAGCGGACAAACAAATGAATTATCATTTCAACTTGTTTCTTATTGGACCTAAGGTAAACACGGCCAAATGCCCTCAATAAAAGAATAGACAACTACAAGGCAGTATTTTTCATATAACAAAATGCTGTTCAATAATTAAATTGTGAATAAAAAGGCTAATAATCACCATGAAATGAGTGAATCCCCCAAACATTAAGTGTAGTAAAAGGGGCTGGAGAAAAGAAAAATTCCTACTATAAGATGCCATTCACAAAAAATTGAAGACCAAAAAAGATAACCTAGGATGTTAAATGAAAGAACCATGTTTGCCTCTGGGCATAAAAGGAGTTGACCAGAAAGTCATTTTTCTGGTATGGTAAGAATACACTTTTCATGATTTCTTCTGATATTGATAATGCATAACTACTTATACATATTTGAGAACATTCCTTGCATTGCAATATGGTTTTGCTCTGTGTCCCCACCCAAATCTCACCTTGAATTGTAATAATCTGAACATGTCAAGGGCAGGACAAGGTGGACATAATTGAATCATGGGGGATGGTTTCCTCCATGCTGTTCTCATGATAATGAATGCATTCTCATGAGAGCTGATGGTTTTATTAGGGGCTTCTCCCCGTTTTGCGTGGTATTTCTCCTTGCCGCAGCCATGTGAAGAAGGGCGTGTTTGCTTCCTCTTCCTCCATTATTGTAAGTTGTCTGAAGCCCCCAGCCATGCTAAACTGTGGGTCCATTAAACCTTTTTTCTTTATAGATAACCTAGTTTCATATATTGTTGCATAGCAGTATAAAAATGGACTAATACAAATTATATATTTAAAGCCATGAATTTCACTTATGTGTGTTCATTTCAATAAAAATTGCACAGTTCTTTGTATAGCTCCAAAAAGCATAAGCAAATGCATGCATTCAATAATACAGGAAACTACCACTCAAGCAGAGTTTACACAAACAGAACTTAAGAGAGTTGAATCCCTTAGTCAGTAATATACTCTGTTTCTGGTTTCACTGTTGGCAATTGTAGAAGCTTCAATCAATTATTCAAGGAAATCTACTTTTTAAATTCATGTTATTCTCTCCTAAGTAACCCAACTTATAAGATTGTTTTCAGTTATAATGTTTTCTATGTCAGTAGTAGAACCTTTTAATTTGTGTTTCAATTAGGGTTCTGAATGAATTTAGGTCTACTTTTTTTTCTAGGAGAATCTTTTTCTAGAAAACTTCTGTACTTTTCTGTTCTGGGAAACTCCGATTGAGTATTTCTCAATTGGGAAATACCTACAGGAGCTTCTCTTTTCTACACTGTAAAGAGAAACAGAGATTTTCTCAAGCTTGAACCATAGCACTTATTTCCTTATTTCTCTAAATCTTACTGAATTTGTCCTAAAAATGAAGCATAATATGTTCTTTCTGTCCCATGTCTCATCCAATTTGATTGAAATACCTATTAAATTCTTACAGAACCTTCTTTCTATATTCTGCCTTGTCAGAAAACATATGGCAGTTATTTTTTATTTCCAGGTTCTTAATAGGTAGTGTCTGGACTTTAGATCAGGGCTACTGGCAATTTTACCATGGTATCACTTCTCTACAAAGGTAAAAGAAAATTTTCCTACATCACAGCAGTGCTATTAACACATCAAATAAAAACAAAATAAATTTTCTACTATCATAAAATCTCACTATTGATATCTAAGTTTCATCAGAGTTATCCAGTAAAATATCTTACTTTACATTTGCTCCCTTTAGTTTATTTTAACTGGAATAGCCACTTCATTCCCATTTTTATCTAATTTCCTAGGTTTTTGGGGGGAGGAGGGGTGATCTGAACCTGGCTTTATAAAATATCCCTCACTTATCCTGGACGTATCTGATATACCTGCCACAGTTAACATGTACCCATGGACCTTTTAATTCCTGTTGAGGGGAAAATTGGACCTAAGCCATGCTTGGAGTGAAGTTAGCCATCTGAATGGTAATGCTGTGCTGGCTCATGCCAATATACAAAAAGCTGTAATTGATAGCTCATTGGTGGAACCAGCATGGTCATTTCACTTTACAGATAATGATATTTTCTATTTAAATTCAGCATTTCTTTTATCAAGAAGAGCTCACAGACTTCCTCCTCAAGTGGGTCCCTGACCCCTGACCCCTGAGCAGCCTAACTGGGAGGTACCCCCGAGCACGGGCACACTGACACCTCACATGGCAGGGTATTCCAACAGACCTGCAGCTGAGGGTCCTGTCTGTTAGAAGGAAAACTAACAAACAGAAAGGACATCCACACCGAAAACACATCTGTACATCACCATCATCAAAGACCAAAAGTAGATAAAACCACAAAGATGGGGAAAAAACAGAACAGAAAAACTGGAAACTCTAACACGCAGAGCGTCTCTCCTCCTCCAAAGGAACGCAGTTCCTCACCAGCAACGGAACAAAGCTGGATGGAGAATGACTTTGACGAGCTGAGAGAAGAAGGCTTCAGATGATCAAATTACTCTGAGCTACAGGAGGACATTCAAACCAAAGGCAAAGAAGTTGAAAACTTTGAAAAACATTAAGAAGAATGTATAACTAGAATAATCAATACAGAGAAGTGCTTAAAGGAGCTGATGGAGCTGAAAACCAAGGCTCGAGAACTATGTGAAGAATGCAGAAGCCTCAGGAGCCGATGCAATCAACTGGAAGAAAGGGTATCAGCAATGGAAGATGAAATGAATGAAATGAAGCAAGAAGGGAAGTTTAGAGAAAAAAGAATAAACAGAAATGAGCAAAGCCTCCAAGAAATACGGCACTATGTGAAAAGACCAAATCTACGTCTGATTGGTGTACCTGAAACTGATGGGGAGAATGGAACCAAGTTGGAAAACACTCCGCAGGATATTATCCAGGAGAACTTCCCCAATCTAGCAAAGCAGGCCAACGTTCAGATTCAGGAAATACAGAGAAGATACTCCTCGAGAAGAGCAACTCCAAGACACATAATTGTCAGATTCACCAAAGTTGAAATGAAGGAAAAAATGTTAAGGGCAGCCAGAAAGAAAGGTCGGGTTACCCTCAAAGGGAAGTCCATCAGACTAACAGCGGATCTCTCGGCAGAAACCCTACAAGCCAGAAGAGAGTGGGGGCCAATATTCAACAATCTTAAAGAAAAGAATTTTCAACCCAGAATTTCATATCCAGCCAAACTAAGCTTCATAAGTGAAGGAGAAATAAAATACTTTACAGACAAGCAAATGCTGAGAGATTTTGTCACCACCAGGCCTGCCCTAAAAGAGCTCCTGAAGGAAGTGCTAAACATGGAAAGGAACAACCGGTACCAGCCGCTGCAAAATCATGCCAAAATGTAAAGACCATCGAGACTAGGAAGAAACTGCATCAACTAACGAGCAAAATCACCAGCTAACATCATAATGACAGGATCAAATTCACACATAACAATATTAACTTTAAATGTAAATGGACTAAATTCTCCAATTAAAAGACACAGACTGACAAATTGGATAAAGAGTCAAGACCCATCAGTGTGCTGTATTCAGGAAACACATCTCACATGCAGAGACACACATAGGCTCAAAATAAAAGGATGGAGGAAGATCTACCAAGCAAATGGAAAACAAAAAAAGGCAGGGGTTTCAATCCTAGTCTCTGATAAAACAGACTTTAAACCAACAAAGATCAAAAGAGATAAAGAAGGGCATTACATAATGGTAAAGGGATCAATTCAACAAGAAGAGCTAACTATCCTAAATATATATGCACCCAATACAGGAGCACCAAGATTCATCAAGCAAGTCCTGAGTGACCTACAAAGAGACTTAGACTCCCACACATTAATAATGGGAGACTTTAACACCCCACTGTCAACATTAGACAGATCAATGAGACAGAAAGTAAACAAGGATACCCAGGAATTGAACTCAGCTCTGCACCAAGCAGACCTAATAGACATCTACAGAACTCTCCATCCCAATTCAACAGAATATACATTTTTTTCAGCACCACACCACACCTATTCCATAATTGACCACATAGTTGGAAGTAAAGCTCTCCTCAGCAAATGTAAAAGAACAGAAATTATAACAAACTATCTCTCAGACCACAGTGCAATCAAACTAGAACTCAGGATTAAGAATCTCACTCAAAGCCATTCAACTACATGGAAACTGAATGACCTGCTCCTGAATGGCTACTGGGTATGTAAAGAAATGAAGGCAGAAATAAAGATGTTCTTTGAAACCAACAAGAACAAAGACACAACATACCAGAATCTCTGGAACACATTCAAAGCAGTGTGTAGAGGGAAATTTATAGCCCTAAATGCCCACAAGAGAAAGCAGGAAAGATCCAAAAATGACACCCTAACATCACAATTAAAAGAACTAGAAAAGGAAGAGCAAACACATTCAAAAGCTAGCAGAAGGCAAGAAATAACTAAAATCAGAGCAGAACTGAAGGAAATGGAGACACAAAAAACCCTTAAAAAATGAATCCAGGAGCTGGTTTTTTGAAAGGATCAACAAAATTGATAGACTGCTAGCAAGACTAATAAAGAAAAAAAGAGAGAAGAATCAAATAGACACAATAAAAAATGGTAAAGGGGATATCACCACCAATCCCACAGAAATACAAACTACCATCAGAGAATACTTCAAACACCTCTATGCAAATAAACTAGAAAATCTAGAAGAAATGGATAAATTCCATGACACATACACTCTCCCAAGACTAAACCAGGAAGAAGTTGAATCTCTGAATAGACCAATAACAGGAGCTGAAATTATGGCAATAATCAATAATTTACCAACAAAAAGAATCCAGGCCCAGATGGATTCACAGCCGAATTCTACCAGAGGTACAAGGAGGAACTGGTACCATTCCTTCTGAAACTATTCCAATCAATAGAAAAAGAGGGAATCCTCCCTAACTCATTTTATGAGGCCAGCATCATTCTGATACCAAATCCGGGCAGAGACACAACCAAAAAAGAGAATTTTAGACCAATATCCTTGATGAACATTGATGCAAAAATCCTCAATTAAATACTGGCAAACCAAATCCAGCAGCACATCAAAAAGCTTATCCACCATGATCAAGTGGGCTTCATCCCTGGGATGCAAGGCTGGTTCAATATATGCAAATCAATAAATGTAATCCAGCATATAAACAGAGACAAAGACAAAAACCACATGATTATATCAATAGATGCAGAAAAAGCCTCTGACAATATTCAACAACGCTTTATGCTAAAAACTCTCAATAAATTAGGTATTGATGGGACGTATTTCAAAATAATAAGAGCTATCTATGACAAACCCACAGCCAATATCATACTGAATGGGGGCAAACTGGAAGCATTCCCTTTGAAAACTGGCACAAGACAGGGGTGCCCTCTCTCACCACTCCTATACAACATAGTGTTGGAAGTTCTGGCCAGGGTAATTAGGCAGGACAAGGAAATAAAGGGTATTCAATCAGGAAAAGAGGAAGTCAAATTGTCCCTGTTTGCAGACGACATGACTGTATATCTAGAAAACCCCATTGTCTCAGCCCAAAATCTCCTTAAGCTGATAAGCAACTTCAGCAAAGTCTCAGGATATAAAATCAATGTACAAAAATCACAAGCATTCTTATACACCAACAACAGACAAACAGAGAGCCAAATCATGAGTGAACTCCCATTCACAATTGCTTCAAAGAGAATAAAATACCTAGGAATCCAACTTACAAGGGATGTGAAGGACCTCTTCAAGGAGAACTACAAACCACTGCTCAAGGAAATTAAAGAGGATACAAACAAATGGAAGAACATTCCATGCTCATGGGTAGGAAGAATCAATATCTTGAAAATGGCCATACTGCCCAAGGTAATTTACAGATTCAATGCCATCCTCATCAAGCTACCAATGACTTTCTTCACAGAATTGGAAAAAAATACTTTAAAGTTCATATGGAACCAAAAAAGAGCCCGCATTGCCAAGTCAATCCTAAGCCAAAAGAGCAAAGCTGGAGGCATCACACTACCTGACTTCAAACTATACTACAAGGCTACAGGAACCAAAACAGCATGGTACTGGTACCAAAACAGAGATATAGACCAATGGAACAGAACAGATCCCTCAGAAATAATGCCGCATACCTACAACTATCTGATCTTTGACAAACCTGAGAAAAACAAGCAATGGGGAAAGGATTCCCTATTTAATAAATGGTGCTGGGAAAACTGGATAGCCATATGTAGGAAGATGAAACTGGATCCCTTCCTTACACCTTATACAAAAATCAATTCAAGATGGATTAAATATTTAAACGTTAGACTTAAAACCATAAAACCCCTGGAAGAAAACCTAGGCATTACCATTCAGGATATAGGCATGGGCAAGGACTTCATGTCCAAAACACCAAAAGCAATGGCAACAAAAGACAAAATTGACAAATGGGATCTAATTAAACTAAATAGCTTCTGCACAGCAAAAGAAACTACCATCAGAGTGAACAGGCAACCTACAAAATGGGAGAAAATTTTCGCAACCTACTCATCTGACAAAGGGCTAATATCCAGAATCTACAATGAACTCAACAAATTTACAAGAAAAAAACAAACAACCCCATCAAAAAGTGGGCGAAGGACATGAACAGACACTTCTCAAAAGAAGACATTTATGCAGCCAAAAAACACATGAAGAAATGCTCATCATCACTGGCCATCAGAGAAATGCAAATCAAAACCACTATGAGATACCATCTCACACCAGTTAGAATGGCAATCATTAAAAAGTCAGGAAACAACAGGTGCTGGAGAGGATGTGGAGAAATAGGAACACTTTTACACTGTTGGTGGGACTGTAAACTAGTTCAACCATTGTGGAAGTCAGTGTGGCGTTTCCTCAGGGATCTAGAACTGGAAATACCATTTGACCCAGCCATCCCATTACTGGGTATATACCCAAAGGACTATAAATCACGCTGCTATAAAGACACATGCACACGTATGTTTATTGTGGCATTATTCACAATAGCAAAGACTTGCAACCAACCCAATTGTCCAACAATGATAGATTGGATTAAGAAAATGTGGCACATATACACCATGGAATACTATGCAGCCATAAAAAACGATGAGTTCATGTCCTTTGTAGGGACATGGATGAAATTGGAAATCATCATTCTCAGTAAACTATCGCAAGAACAAAAAACCAAACACCGCATATTCTCACTCATAGATGGGTATTGAACAATGAGGTCACATGGACACAGGAAGGGGAATATCACACTCTGGGGACTGTTGTGGGGTGGGGGGAAGGGGGAGGGATAGCATTGGGAGATATACCTAATGCTAGATGATGAGTTAGTGGGTGCAGTGCACCAGCATGGCACATGTATACATATGTATCTAACCTGCACAATGTGCACATGTACCCTAAAACTTAAAGTATAATAAAAAAAAAAAAAGGATTTCTGGGTCAAATGGTATTTCTGTTTCTACATCCTTGAGGTGTCTCCACACTGTCTTCCACAATGGTTGAACAAATTTACAACCCCTCCAAAAGTGTAAAAGCATTCCTATTTGTCTGCATCCTTGCCAGCATCTGTTTTTTTTTCTAGTTTTTTTTCTAGTTCTGTGAGAATGTCAATTGTGGCTTGACGGGGATAGCAGTGAATCTATAAATTACTTTGGGTGGTATGGCCATTTTCTGACTTTTTAATAATTGCCTTCTAATTGGCATGAGATGGCATCATATTATGGTTTTTATTTTCATTTCTCTAATGAACAGTGATGATTATCTTCTTTTCATATATTTGTTGACTGCATACATGTCTTCTTTCGAGATGTGTCAGTTCATATCCTTCATCCACTTTTGATAGATTGCTTGTTTTCATCTTTGTTTAAGTTCTTGTAGATTCTGGATATTAGGCCTTTTGACAGATGGATAGATTGCAAAAACTTTCTCCCATTCTATAGGTTGCCTGTTCACTTTGATGATATATTCCTTTGCTGTGCAGAGGTTCTTTAGTTTAATTAGATCCCATTTGTCAATTTTGGTTTTTGTTGCTGTTGCAATTGCAATTTCTTTTGGTGTTTTAGTCATGAAGTTTTTGCTAATGCCCATGTCGTGAAAGGTATTGCCTAGGTTTTCTTCTAGGGTTTTTATGGTTTTAGGTCTTACATTTAAGTCTTTAATCCATCTTGGGTTAATTTTTGTATATCGTGTAAGGAAGGGGTCCAGTTTCAGTTTTCTGTATATGGCTAGCCAGTTTTCCCAGCACCATTTATTAAATAGAAAATCCTTTCTCCATTGCTTGTTTTTGTCAGGTTTGTCAAACATCAGATAGCTGTAGATGTCTGATGTTACTTCTGAAGCCCCTGTTCTGTTATGTTGGTCTATATATCTTTTTTGGTACCAGTACCATGTTGTTTTGGTTACCGTAGCCTTGTAATGTAGTTTGAAGTCAGGTGGCATGATGCATCTGGCTTTGTTCTTTTTGCTTAGGATTGTCCTGGCTACACATGATATTTGATGCCATATGATAGTTGAACTAGTTTTTTTTCTAGTTCTGTGAGAATGTCAATTGTGGTTTGATGGGGATAGAAGTGAATCTATAAATTACTTTGGGTGGTATGGCCATTTTCATGATATTGATACTTCCTATCCATGAGCATGGAATATTTTTCCATTTGTTATGTTCTCTTTTACTTCTTTGAACAGTGGTTTGTAGTTCTCCTTTAAGAGGTCCTTCGTGTCCCTTGTAATTTGTATTCCTAGATGTTTTATTCTCTTGGTAGCAATTGTGAATGAGAGTTCACTCATGAATTGGCTCTCTGTTTTTCTCTTATTAGTGTATAGGAACCCCTGTGATTTTTTTGCACATTGATTTTGTATCCTGAGACTAGAGTTGCTTATCAGCTGAAGCAGTTTTTGGGTGAGATGACGGGGTTTTCTAAATATACAATTTTGTCATATGAAAACAAAGAAAATTTGACTTCCTCTCTTCCTATTTGAATATACTTTATTTATTTTCTTCCATGATTTCCCTGACCAGAACTTCCAGTACTATATTAATGTTCTCTCTCACCGCTCCTATACCACTCACAGTTTCTACCAATGTTTTCTCCTCTTTTGTTTTGTATCATCTAGTTACAAACAGGCAGAGTCAGAAATGAGTTAAAAGATAGGAGACCTTACATCAAGAATTAGAAATAAGACATCATTTTCCTTCTCAGTGCATCTGATAATTCTCAAAACATCCAAAAATTGTCATCATCAGAAAGCTGCCTTCCTTCATGCTAAAAGTCAGCTTTGCTCTAAATAGAGACTTCTAAGTGGTTGTCTGTTCCACCACAGACATTTGACCATTGAGAGTATAAAGCTCAGAGTTTCACAGTGGCATATTTCATAAAAGTTTCAAGAGGTTGCTTTTGGTGTAGTTATATAGTGGATTAATTTCTTACTACATTTAACATGACACCTTCAAAAATACCCAAAATATTAATACTATACCTACACATCATATTTATCCTTGAAGAAAGTTCAAACATTCTTTTAATTTGTAAAGAAATAATTCAATTAACAAATGATTTCATTAGAAGTTTCTATAATTACTAATACATGAATTAGTTGTGGACTAAGTATTGCAGAAGAATTCTATGTTACATGAGTAACATAGAATTTTAAATACATGAGTGTTTTTAATACATGAGTGTTTTTTGTTTGTTTGTTTGTTTTTAATGAGACTGGCTTGATTTCTCCTGGCACTTGAGCAATGAATACAGGTGTAGATATAAAGTGTGAGGCCCAAAATTTGGGTTAACTATTACATTCTGTTCTAATCAATATTGCTCGATTTCATAAAATTAATGTGTATTTAGTTTTTTTCTCTTGAATATCAAGCATCCCAGCATTTTCAAAAAAAAAAAAAATCTGCCTTCAACATTTTTTTTCATTCATTTGCCATATAGCCAATGAGAAAACTGGCTACCTTGAGCCACCTTCCATACTACATTGAGGAACCCTACAATGAAAAAGCCTTGATGTCTATTTAAAAAAAAAAGGAAATGGAATTAAAACGTGCATATCATGGAACCAACTCATGTGCCCAACATTAGTAGACTAGGTAAATAAAATATGGTACATTTAAATTTCAGAATACTATGCAGCCATAAAAAAGAATCAAATCATGTACTTTGCAGCCACATGGATGCATGTGGAGACCACTATTCTAAGCAAATCAAAGCAGGAACAGAACACCAAATACCACATGTTCTCACCTCTAAGTGGGCCCTGGACACAAAGAAAGAAACAACAAACAGTGGAGACCCCAAAAGTGGGAAGGGACAGAGGGAGATCAGTGTTCAAAACCTTCCTGCATTAGTCCATTTTCACACTGCTGGTAAAGGCATACCCAAGACTGGAGAATTTAGAAAAGAAAGAGCTACCACATTGCTGAGGTGGTCTCACAGTCATGGTGGTAGGTAAAAGGCAAGTTTCACATGGCAGCAGACAAGAGAAGAGAGCTTCCATATTATTTTTTAAATAATCAGATCTCATGAGATTTATTCACTATCACCACGAGAACAGCATGGGAAAGATCTGCCCCCATGATCCAATTATCCAATATGTTGTGGGTCCCCTCCACAACATATGAGAATTCAAGATTAGATTTGTGTGAGGCACAGCCAAACCACATAACTTCCTATTGGGTACTATACCCACAACATGCATGATGGGATCATTAGAAGTCCAACCTTCAGCATTGTGCAATGTACCCATGTAACAAATGTGCACATGTACTCCCTGAATCTAAAATTAAAATTAAATATTTTTTTAAAAAAACAAAAAGGCAGCATATTCAAATGAGGGAAACCATCCCCCATTCATGTTCAAAGATGGAAATCAGCTTTGAAGTAGCCACAGGAAGTTTTTGTGTGTATTGGTTCCATATGACAACTATAAAGAATTACCTCAAATTTCGTGTCTTGAAACAACAGACATTAATTACCTTATAGTTCTGTAGATCAAAAATGAATTGACTTCTCACAGGGCTCAGTCAAGTTGTTGTCAGACCCATGTTTCTTCTGCATGATCTAGCATAGAAAATTTTCCCTTCCTTTTACAGCTTTTAGAGACCACCCACATTCATTGCTTCATGGACCCTTCAACAAAAATGACCCATAAATCCTCTCATCCCATCCCTTTGACTCTAAGCCTCTTTCTACTTCCAGCTTCTACTTTTTTAAAAAATTAATTTTAATTTGAAGTTCCGGGGTACATGTGCAGGTTGTTCAAGTTTGTTACATAGATAAACATGTGTCATGGTAGTTTGCTGCACCTATCAACCCACCTACTAGGTATTAAACATAGCATGCATTGGCTACTTTTCCCAATGCTCTCCCTCACCTCACCCCATCTCCCTCACACACAGGCCCCAGTGTGTGTCATTCCTCTCCCTGTGTCTCTGTGTTCTCATTGTCCAGGTCCCATTTCTCAGTGAGAACATGCTTGTTTGGTTTTCTGTTCCTGTATCAGTTTGCTGAAAATAATGGCTTCCATCTCTACCCATGTCCCTGCAAAAGACATGACCTTATTCCTTTTAATGGCTGCATAGTGTTCCAGGGTGTATATGTACATTTTCTTTATCCAGTCTATCATTGAGGGGCATTTGGGTTGATTCTACGTCTTTACTATTGTGAATAGCCTATCTTCTACTTTTAAGGAACTTTATAATTATAGTAAACTTCCCCAGGTAATCCAGGATTAGTGCCTCATCTCAAACTCACCTGATAAGCAACGTTAATTCTATCTGCAAGTTGAATTCTCTTCTTGTCACCTAACTTAGTCTATTCACAATTTCTAGGGAATAGCATGAGGATATTTTTGGGAGACTCTTATTTTGAATCCCAGAGAAAATTTTAACAGGTTCTAATTTAAGACCTCAGAAAAAAAAACCTAAGGCAAGAGAGCAGGGAAGCATAAAACCATTTAACAGGTTTGAAAATAATTCAAGTATTCTGTTATAACTTTAGACCAGTGGATTTGGTTCAGGATGAAGGGAGGGAGGGTATGCCTCAAAATATACACTGCTTATGTGAACTAGTTAGGAAATATTGTACTACACCCTAAAGGCAAAAAAAAAAAAAAAGTCTGAACTCCACTCATTTTACAATGGTAACATGTAGAAAGTGTTAGAGAAAGACAAAGAAATGATATACAATGTTTTCCACAAATACAATAGAGACAGACCTAAATGGGTTCAAAGTTACTTCATGGAATCTACATAGCTAAAGGTAGTAGAAATACCTGCAGATGATGAACTGTTTGAACCCCATGCACTTACAAAGCCTATACTGTGTCACTGATCAAGCATATATCTTCAGAGTTATATAAGCATCCTAAAAAATTGTCTACAATTTGTTGACTTGAAATCTTTTTTGATTTCTCCCAACATAAAGTGGTCAGCAGTACTGCTTAAAGATCTGACATTATAGTGAAATCTACATTCTAGTGAGTTATTTAAAGCTTGTTATTGGAATTATTTTAAGTTCTATTCACACTACTGGCCTGTGCTTTGGCATAAAGGACAATGTGCAATTATTCATCTGCTATTCTCTTTATGGAACTTAGTAGAGCAAGACCCTCAAATCAAAATGATGTATTCATTAACAATGAGATCTCTACTCCTACACAAACCAGTATGTGTTGGACATATAATTGTAGGAAAACATAACCCACCTACAACAGGTAGTAGATGAATAGCATCTACCTTTGTTTACTCTGATGCTTTAAAATATAACTGATTATCAGCTTTAAAGAGGCATCATGCATTATGATATACAAGTTGAAAATTCTTAATCTGAAATTTGAAATCTGGAATGCTTGGAAATCCAAAATATTTTGAGCACCAATATGCCATTCAAAGGAAATGCCCATTGGAGCATTTCAGATTTTGGAGTTTCAGATTACAGATACTCAAAAGTAAGTATATTGTAAATATTACAAAGTTCTCTGAAATCCAAAATCCAAATCACTTCTGCGCCCAAGCATTTTTGATAATGGGGACTCAATGTGTATTTATTTTCGGCTTTTAAAATGAACATTTATGGCCGGGTGCAGTGGTTCACGCCTGTAAATCTAGCACTTTTGGAGTTTGAGGCAGGCAGATCACCTGAGATCAGGAGTTCAAGATTAGCATGGCCAACATGGTGAAACCCCGCCTCTACTAAAAATACAAAAATTAGCCAGGCATGATGGCGGGTGCCTGTAATACCAACTACTCAAGAGGCTGAGATGGGAGAATCACCTGAACCCAGAAGATGATGGTTGCAGTGAGCCAAGATTGTGCCTCTGTACTCCAGCCTGGGCAGCTGAGTGAGATTCTGTCTCAAAAAAATAAAATAAAATAATTAAATAAACATTTATGTAGATCATGATGCTATATTGGTGTTTTTAAAAATATTTTAAAAATCTTTAGATTTGGATATCCACAGGAACAAGTCTAGGAAGATACATAAATGATTCAATAGCAGTTATTGCTACCTAACAGATTTATACAAACATTTGAATTTTATTCTGTATCTTTTTCTACCTTCATGAAAATTTTCACAATGAGCTCCCCTTTGACATTCAGGAAATACACTTTTAAATAGTCTGCATATTGTATTTCCGTGAAATCTTGTGTTTGGAGATGACTAACAATGTACAACTATTTAAGTAAAAAATGTGTGTATTCTAGTTTTAATGAATGATCCCTTTCAATTTGCTAAACTCATTACTCCTGTTTGATTAGGTTTTTAATTTCCCTCCAATATGTTTTCGACCATTTGAGAATCAAAAATGTTGTAGAATTAACAATGTTGCAATATAAAACTGAGTTAAAATGCTGCAATGATTGGCACAGTTTTCCCAGTGGAACAAAATGGCCTTCCTCCATACTAGCTTTTTTCCGGCATTAATTAAGAGGAGTTAAGCTATTATACATAGTGGAGTGTAGAAGCCTTATTTTTTGGCAGTAGGGATTATATGGGGGCTCAGCACGACAAAATTCTGTAATTGGAGAAAAGCAACTGCTCAAAGGTTTTTTTTTTTTTTTTTTTTTTTTTTTTTTTTTTTTTTTTAATTTGAGATGGATCTCGCTCTGTCGCTCAGGCTGGAGTGCAGTGGCGCGGTCTCTGCTCACTGCAAGCTCCGACTCCCAGGGTTCACGCCATTCTCCTGCTTCAGCCTCCTGAGTAGCTGGGACTACAGGAGCCCGCCACCATGCCCGGCTAATTTTTTTGTATTTTTAGTGGACACGGGATTTCACCATGTTACCCAGGATGGTCTCGATCTCCTGACCTGTGATTCGCCCGCCTTGACCACCCAAAGTGCTGGGATTACAGGGTTGAGCCACCGCGCCGGGCCTCAAAGGGATTTTTTCTAGTTAATGGCTTTCAATCTGTGGTTGGATATGTCTCTTAACAATTTCTTCACCTTTTCAATTTCCTCTTCGCTCTCACTGCCTGAGGAGTGTCCACTTAAAGTACACATTCTCTGCATCTCCACCGAGCGGAATCTGTGAATTACATCTTTGACTGAAAAGTCTCTATCTTTATCAAATCAATATCTTCTTACCCTGTGCCAGCAATGTTTAGCCCAGGGTCTGACAGATGGACACACAGCTAACATACAAATACGTTTTTGAACTAACTAACAAACAAAACAAAACATAACAAAAACACACAAAAAAACCTCTTGATCCTATATCTAAATTGATTTTGACAAAGAGCTGAAGGTCAATGCAGATCTTACGGTAAATGTCCAAGGATAGAGAATTGCTATTCTCATTCTCTAATTTTGTGTGTAAAAAGGTAAAACGATTTGACTATGAAGCACCAAGTCTGACTCCCATTACCATGTGTGTTATTATCATGGTAGGGTGGTGAGAATAAAGATGTGAGGCACAATGACCCTATTGTAAGGCACCCTTCCAATTCAAGCTGGTCTTTCAGTCAGCTGTTAAAAGCCCCTGAAAATTTAAAGGATGAAAACTCCCTTGTGGTTTAAAACAAAGTCCCATGGTGAAGGGACAAAGTAATACAAATATATTATTATGTATGTTTATATAAATATATATAATATAAACATGGTATAATTGTTTATATTATATATATCATATATCTATTTTATATTTATTTTATGTAGTTTTATATTTGATTTATGTTTATATATTTATATATTATATATTATAATTTATATATATTCTCTATATATAAATCTATGTAGTTTCTATATAAAAATATATATAGAATCTATATATTTACATATAAAATATATAATATTTATAATATAAATATTTCTATAATAAATAACAAATATATGTTATATAACTGTATATTTTATATAAATATATATTTTATATTTAATCTACATACTTATATATAAACTAATATATAGAATATAGAGATTCATATTTATAGAGAGAGTCTGTATATGCACACACACACATAAATTCATTCGGGTCACTTATTGAGTCTTTCTATAATGTGTAAGATATGTTTTCATTTCATGAAGTCACAATTTTATCCAGGTTGGTTTCTTTCAAAGACACAAAGATTTTCTTTTCAATAGTAAATCTCTAATCCATTTAGACTTAATTTTTTCTCTTTTTTTGCTTCTTGTGGTGAAGAAAATGAAAGTACTTCACCGCAATATGTGGCTCCCTTAGTATAATAAGTATTTCACATTAAATACCCTTGGAGACCAACAAGCACTGGAAGAAACTTTTCTCCTATCAATATAGAGAGAGGACTGACCTACCAAGGAGAACAATTGTTCTTATTCCTCTTGTTTTATCTCATTATCTATTACCAAAAGTATAATTACACCACAACAGACCCTTTTACAAGATAATCACTGTCTCCAAGGATCATTAAATCTTTTTAAATAACCCTATATACAAGTTAATCTCTGTCCCCCGATCCAATCATTTTCCCTACTAATCATTTATTGACCCTCAATAGAATTCCTCCTCTCCTCCTCCCATCGCCTGTATTCCCAGGACCCAGAGCCCATCCCTCCTGCAATCTCACAATGGTATTTAAGCTTCTGGTCCTGATTGGGAAGTTGTGTCTTCATTCTGATAGCTCCTGTGTATATGCATTACATACATTTGTAAGCCTTATTTTCTGTTCATCAGTCTGCCACATGCC
Organism: Homo sapiens; assembly: GCF_000001405.40. Classification (NCBI taxonomy): domain Eukaryota; kingdom Metazoa; phylum Chordata; class Mammalia; order Primates; family Hominidae; genus Homo; species Homo sapiens. The sequence continues at coordinate 16,926,937 of NC_000024.10, forward strand.
AGTGATTTTTTTGTCAATCTTTAGCTGGTTCTATGAACCAGAGCTTTTGGCTCCTACAGTGAATAGCTCCATGTCCAGCTCTGCAGAAACATTCCACTCTCTTACACTGAATTTTGATACCTCCTCTGTTAATGCCATACTTAATGCCATTCAATGAACTCTTTGCTGGGCTCTCTCAGTTCAAAATTGAGTTAGTGGTCTATCCCTACATAAGCACCACATCATTTCAACTAATATTACTCTTGAATAAAATTTTATTTGTTCAAAATTTCTGCTTCTTCACATTTTTCATGGTTCAAGTTGCTCCTTACAATTTCAAATGCTTTTAAGTATCTTGTATTTATTTTTATTTTTCAAAACCCTTCTTAGAACATGATTGATTTGAATTAACTTTATAGGCTATTTTGGAAAGAATTTCCATCTTTATTGTGTCTTTTCATCTATGAATATTTAGTACATTTCCATTTACTCAAATCCAGTTTTATATCATTTAAAGTATATAATTTTAATATTTTTTGATAAGAGATTTGGATACATTAGATCTATATCTAAATACCCCACAAATTGTGGGGTCTATTGTAAATGTATTGCTTTCTTCTTTCATACTATATTGTCAAAAAGTAATGAGAACAGTTGCGTGTTTATTCTTATTTAATACATTTATTCCAAGACACAGGCAGGAAAGGGAACAGTGTCAACTCTGGAGAAATAATAAAGGCTTATGTGAGAAATCACATCCAAATGGATTTGTTACAGATATCTGAGTTAGTCAGAATAACATGTGTGAGGATTGCTGGCAAGATGGCCGAATAGGAGCAGCTCCTAGATCAAGGCAGAAGGCAGCTTATTTCTGCATTTCCAGCTGAGGTACCTGGTTCATCTCACTGGGACTGGTTGGACAGTGGGTGCAGCCAACAGAGCGTGAGCCAAGTACTGTGGGGCATCACCTCACCTGAGAAGCACAAGAGGTCGGGGAATTTTCTCGCCTATCCAAGGGAAACCATGAAGGACTGAGCCGCACACTCCAGCCAAGTTACTGAGCTTGTCCCATAGTGTTCACAGTCCTCAGACCAGAAGAATCTCTCTGGTGCCTAGCCCACCAGGACCCTGGGTTTCAAGCACAAAACTGGGCAGCCATTTGGGCAGGCACCAAACTAGCTGCAGGAAGTGTTTGTTTGTTTGTTTGTTTCCCGGTGGCACCTGGAAGCCAGTGAGACAGAATGGTTCACTCCCCTGGAACCGGGTGCTGAAGCCAGGGAGCCAAGCGGTCTGGATCGGCAGGTCCCAACCCAAGGGAGCACAGCAAACTATGATCCACTGGCTAAGCCAGCTCAGCAGCCATCTGAGATTGACCTGGGACATTCATGCTTGGTGGGGGAGGGGTTACCGCCATTGCTGAGGCTTGAATAGGCGGTTTAATCCCCACAGTGTATACAGAGCCGCCAGGAAGTTTGAACGGGGTGGAGCCCACTGAAGCTCAGCAAGGCTGCCGTGGCCAGACTGACAAATTTCTCCTCTCTGGGCAGGGAATCTCTGAAAAAAAGGCAGCAGCCCCAGTCAGGGACTTATAGATAAAAACCCCATCTCCCTGTGACAGAGCACCTGAGGGAATGGGCAGCTGTAGGTGCAGCTTCAGGAGACTTAAATGTCCCTGCCTGAGGGTGCTGAAGAGAGCAGTGGAACTCACAACACAGCATTAGAGCACTGCTAAAGCTCAGACTGCCCCCTCAAGCGGGTTACTGACCCCTGTGCATCCTGACTGGGAGACAACTCTCAGTAGGGGACGAGAGACATATCATATAGGAGAGCTCTGGCTGGCATCTGGCAGGTGCCCCTCTGGGAAGAACCTTCCAGAGGAAAGAACAGGAAGCAATCTTTGCTGTTTTGCAGCCTCTGCTGGTTACATCCAGGCAAACGGTGTCAAGAGTAGACCTGCAGCAAATGCCGGCAGATCTGCAGCAGAGGGGCCCAACTATTAGAAAGAAAACTAACAAACAGAAGAGAATAGCATATCCATGCAAAGACCCCATCAGAAAGTCACCAACATCAAAAACCATGGGTAGATAAATCCACAAAGATGGGGAGAAACCAGCACAAAAAGGGTGAAAATTCCAAAAACCAGAACGCCTCTTCTCCAAAGGATCACAACTCATCTCCAGCAAGGGAAAAAAACTGGATGGAGAGTGAGTTTAACGAATTACAGAAGTAGGCTTTAGAAGATGATTAATAACAAACTCCTGCAAGCTAAAGGAGCATGTTCTAACCCAATGCAAGGAAGCTAAGAACCTTGAAAAAAGGTTAGATGAATTGCTAACTAGAATAACTAGTTTAGAAAAGAATAAATGACGTGATAGAGCTGAAAAACACAGCATAAGAACATCATGAAGCATAGACAAGTATCAATAACCAAACGATCAAGTGGAAGAAAGGATATCAGTGACTGAAGATCAACTTAATGAAATAAAGTTAGAAGACAAGATTAGAGAAAACAGAGTGAAAATAAACCAACAAAGCCTCCAAGAAATATGGGATTATGTGAAAAGACCAAATCTACGTTTGATTGGTCTAACTGAAAGAGATGGGGAGAATGGAACACAGTTGGAAAACACTCTTCAAGATATTACCCAGGAGAACTTCCCCAAATTAGCAAGGCAGGCCAAAATTCAAATTGAGGGAATAGAGAGAACACCACAAAGATACTCCTCGGGAAGAGCACCCATAGACACATAATCATCAGATTTACCAAGGTTAAAATGAGGGAAAAAAATGTTAAGGGCAGCCAGAGAGGAAGGTCATGTTACCCACAAAGGGAACCCCATCAGGCTAACAGTGGATCTGTCTGCAGAAACCCTACAAGCCAGAAGAGAGTGGGGGCCAATATTCAACATTCTTAAAGAAAAGAATCATCAACCCAGAATTTCATATCCAGCCAAACTAAGCTTCATAAGCAAAGGATAAATACAATCCTTTACAGATAAGCAAATGCTAAGAAATTTTTTCACCTACAAGCCTGCCTTACAAGAGCTCCTGAAGGAAACACTGCACATGGGAAAGGTTCAACTGGTACCAGCCAGTGCAAAAACATACCCAATTGTAAAGATATCAACACTGTGAAGGGACTGCATCAACTAACAGGCAAAACAACAAGCTAGCATCATGATTACAGGATCAAATTCACACATAACAATATTAATCTTAAATGTCAATGGGCTAAATGCCCCAATTAAAAGACACAGACTGGCAATTGGATAAACAGTCAAGAGCCATCGGTTTGCTGCATTCAGGAGACCCCTCTCACATGCAGAGACACACATGGGCTCAAAAAGAAGGGTTGGAGGAATATTTACCAAGTAAAAGGAAAGCAAAAAAAAAAAAAAAAAGAAAAAGAAAAAGAAAGCAGGAGTTGCAACCCTAACTTCTGATAAAACAGAAAACAGACTTTAATCCAACAAAGATCGAAAGAGACAAGGAAGTGCATTACATAACAGTAAAGGGATAGATGCAACAAGAAGAGCTAACTATCCTAAATATATATGCACCCAATACAGGAGCACCTAGATTCATAAAGCAAGTTCTTAGAGACCTACAAAGAGACTTACACTTGCACACAATAATAGTGGGAGATGGCCGGGCACAGTGGTTCATCCCTATAATCCCAGCACTTTGGGAGGCTGAGGCAGTTGGATCATGAGGTCAGGAGATTTAGACCATTCTGGCTAACATGGTGAAACTCCATCGTTACCAAAAATATGAAAAAGTAGCTGGGTGTGGTGGCAGGCACCTGTAGTCCCAGCTACTTGGGAGGCTGAGGCAGGAGAATGGCATGAACCCAGGAGGCGGAGTTTGCAGTGAGCCGAGATCATGTCACTGCACTCAAGCCTGGGTGACAGAGTGAGAGTCCATCTCAAAAAATAAAAAATAAATAAATAGTGGGAGATTTTAACATCCCACTGTCAATATTAGACAGATCAATGAGACATAAAATTAACAAGGAGGTTCACGACTTGATTCAGAACAGAGAATTAACAAGGAGCTCTGGAACAAGCAGACCTAATAGACATCTGAAGAACTCTCCCTCCCAAATCAATAGAGTATACATTCTTCTCAGCACCACATCACACTTATTCTAAAATTGACCACATAATTAGAAGTAAAACTCTCCTCAGCAACGGCAAAATGACAAAAATCATAACAAACATTTTTCAGACCACAGGGCAACTAATTTAGAACTCAGGATTAAGAAACTCACTGAAAACCACACAACTCCATGGAAACTGAACAGCCTGCTCCTGAGTGACTACTGAGTAAATAACAAAATGAAGGGAGAAATAAAGACGTTCTTTGAAACCAATGAGAATGAGGACACAATGTACTGGATTTACTGGGACACATTTAAAGCAGTGTGTATAGGAAAATTTAGAGCACTAATTGCCCATAAGAGAAAGCTTTAAGGAAAGATTTTAAATTGACAGCCTAACATCAAAATTAAAAGAACTAGAGAAGCAACAGCAAACCAACTCAAAAGCTAGCAGAAAAAAATAAATAACTAAGAACAGAGCAGAATGGAATGAGAGAGAGAAACAAAAACTCTTTAAAAAATCAATGAATCCAGGGGCTGTTTTTTTTGAAAAGATCAGCAAAATAGACAGCTAGCCAGACTAAAGAAAAAAAAAAGAAAGAAAAGATAGAATAATCAAATGAATACCATAAAAAATGATGTAGGGGATATCACCACTGATCCCACAGAAATACGAACTACCATCAGATGATAGTATAAACACCTCTACACAAATAAACTAGAAAATCTAGAAGAAATAGATAAATTTCTGGAAACATACATGCTCCCAAGTCTAAATCAGGAAGAAATCAAACCCTGGAATAGACTAATAACAAGTTCTGAAATTGAGGCAGCAATTAATAGCCTATGAACCATAAAAATTCCAGGACCAGATGGATTCACAGCCAAATTCTACCAGAGGTACAAAGAGGAGCTTGTACCATCCCTTCTGAAACTATTCTAAACAATAGAAAAAGAGGGAATCCTCCCTACCTCATTTTATGAGGCCAGCATCATCCTGATTCCAAAGCCTGGCAGAGACAAAACAAAAAAAGAAAATGTCAGGCCAATATCCCTGATGAACATCAATATGAAAATCCTTAATAAAATACTGGCAAAGCGAATCCAGCTGCACAGCAAAAAGCTATCCACTACGATCAAGTTGTCTTTATACCTGGGTCTATTTTCAGATAATTTGCATTTCTTAGAGAAATGCATTTCTTAGAGAAATGCCAATCAAAGCCACAATGAGATATCATCTCACACCAGTTAGAATGGTGATGATTAAAAAGTCAGGAAACAACAGATGCTGCAGAGGGTGTGGAGAAATTGGAATCCTTTTCACTGTTGGTGGGAGTGTAAATTAGCTCAACCATTGAGGAAAACAGCGTGGCAATTCCTCAAGGATCTAGAACTACAGACACCATTTGACCTAGGAATCCCATTATTGAGTGTATACCCAAAGGATTATAAATCATTGTACTATAAAGACACATGCACACACATGTTTATTGCAGCACTATTCACAATAGCAAAGACTTAGAACCAACCCAAATGTTTATCAATGATAAACTGGATAAATAAAATATGGCATATATACCATGGAATACTATGCAGCCATAAAAAGGATGAACTCATGTCCTTTGCAGGAACATGAATAAAGCTAGAAATCATCATTCTCAGCAAACTGTCACAAGAACAGAAAACCAATCACTGCATGTTCTCACTCATTAGTGGGAATTGAATAACGAGAACACATTGACACAGGGAGGGGAACATCACACACCAGGGCCTGTCAGGGGATGGGGAGCTAGAGGAGGGATAGCATTAGGAGAAATACCTAATGGGTGCACAAAAACCACCATGGCAAGTGTATATTCATGTAACAAAACTGCATGTTCTGCACATGTACCACAGAACTTAAAGTATAATAATAATTTAAAAAAAAAGGATCCCGTGTGTGTATATAGGAACAGGTACCTCAAGAAAAGGGAAAAGTCTGTCAGAAATATGTATTTCTGGGGTGGGCATAGTGGCTCTTGCCTATAATCCCAGCACTTTGGGAGGCAAGGCAGGATGACTGCTTGAAGACAAGAGTTTGAGACCAGCCTGGGCAACGTAATGAGATCCTGTGTCTAAAAAAAAAAAAAAAATTACCTGGGCATGTGGGTGTATATCTGTAGTCCCAGCTTTTTAGGAGACTGAGGCAGGAGGATTGCCTTATTTTTTGAGCCTGGGAGTTCAAGGATGCCATGAGCTTTAATCGTACCACTGCAGTCAGCCTGAGTGACAGAGTGAAATGCTATTAAAAAAAAAAAATGAGAGAACAGCCACCCTATGGATTCTTCTCACCCACTGCACAGATAAAACCAATTCACTGAGACAGCAGTATTGCAGTAGGGAAATAGTTTAATTAATGCAGGACTAGCCAAGCAGAAGATGGAAGTTTATTATTCTAATCAGTTTCTCTGAAAGTTCAGAGACTAGGGTTTTTTAAGGATAGTTTGGTGGGCATGGGGCTAGGGAATACAGATGCTGATTGGTTGGGTCAGGGATGAAATCATATATTGTAGAAAATGTCTTCTAGCTGTGAGTCAGTTCCTGGGTTGAGCTCACAAGATTAGTTGTGCCGGTTTCTTGGCATGGGTTACCAGTCTAGGTGGTACTAGCTGCTCCATTAGAATGCAGGGTCTGAAAAATTATCTCAAACACTAATCTTACATTTTTAAATAGTGCTGTTATCTATGGTAGCAGTTTGAAAGATTACCTTTTGATCTCTGGTTACATGACTCGTAAGCCATGATGCCATAATTCTTTTTTTTTTTTTTTTTGAGTCAGGGTCTCTCTCTGTTGCCTAGGCTGCAATACAGTGCACAAACATTAGTCATTGCAGCCTAGAACTCTTGGCATCATTGGCATGAAGCAACCCTCCCACCTCAGCCTCCTGTGTTTCTGGGACCCCAGGCACAAGCCAACATGCCTGGCTAGTTTTTGTAAAATTTTTTGTAGAGATAAGATCTCACCATGTTGCTCAGGGTGGTCTCAACTCCTCAACTTTCAGTGGTTTCACAAAGTTAGTTTCAGTCCCCCAAAAAGGAATGGATAGCTTTTGAGAGGCTTTTATCATCCTCACTTTAAGCTTAAACTATAAACTGAACTGAATTATTAAAGTTACCTTGGCCTATGCCCAAGAATGACTAAGGAGAGCTAAGAGGTTAGAAGCAAGATGGAGTCAGGTGTGTTAGATTTCTCTTACTGTCGTAATTTTGCAAAGGTGGTTTCAATAGCTGGTAAGTTCCAACAATTCACTTTACCACTCAATACCAGTGGCTCATAGCATGTGGTGAGAATACATAACATATGAGGTTGAAGAGGTAGATAGGAGGAGGTCATGAGGGATCATTTACACATTTTCAAGGACAGCAGGCTATATTCTCTGAGAGTACTGTATCTAGTATGGTAGCCACCAACTGTATTGGGCTATTCAGCACAGGCAATGCCACAGGTCTATCTGTGATATGCTCTAAATGGAAAATACAACCTGTGTTTCAAAGAATTAATATGAAAAAATAAACTATTTCATTAATAATGATTATATTTTTTCATGTTAAATTTTGCCTATGTTAGGTTAAATAGTTGTATTTTAAAGTTATTTTTTCTTGTCTCTCTTTACAAACTTTAATGTCACTGCCAGACAATTTAAATGACTGTTGATTCCTCAAATTCTATTTCCAACTCATTGCATTAATTTAGAAAAATGCTTTTCCTGTAATGGCCTGACAGCACTACAGATGGGATAAGAAGGCTCTGAGAGGATGACAGTTTGGAATTTGGAATGGAAGTGATGAGAACACAGATCTTACCCTCACCTTACCTCCCCCAGAGTAGCCTCACACCATCTGTTTCAGACAGGATCAGGCTATGCTAGCAGCAGGTCACAACCTTGACTTAAAGAGTTGTGTCATGATGTGGCTTTGCAGATGACAAACACTCCCCAAATTGCCTGTGAACCAGCTGCAGAATTGGCAACATCTCCATCAGACCAGTTCATAAGCTTTATTTTAGGCATTGTTCCTTGAAGATTTTCCCATAGCCTGTTCCTCTAGCCCTTCCTAACAATTTTGGCATCTATACAATATATTTTCACAGACCTCTTTCTGCTTAATCAACTGCTTTAGATGGTTACAATTAAGAACGCTGGCTAGCATAAATCTAGGTAAACACTTGGCCAGAATCTCTCTTGGAGATATGAAGTTTTCGGCAAGGTCTACTCCAAAACAAATTGACAGTTAATGGGAACTTATATATTTTTCCTTCTCAGCTTTCTTCAACTTTGACGAAGGAGCCAATTTATTAATTTTATTTTTTGAGACAGGGTCTTGCTCTGTCACCCAGGTTGGAGTGCAGTGCGATGATCACACCTCACTGCAGCCTCTGCCTCCCAGGCTCAAGCCATCCTCCTGCCTCAGCCTCCTGAGTAGCTGGGACCACAGACATGTACCACCATGCAAAGCTATTTTTTTGTATTTTTAGTAGAGACAGGGTCTCATGATGTTGTCCAGGATGATCTCAAACTCTCGGGCTCAAAGAACCCTCCTCCTCAGTCTCCCAAGTAGCTGGGACCACAGGAATGTGCCACCACAGCAGCTAATTGTTTGTTTTTTTTTTTTCTTAGATTTTTGTAGAGATAGGGTCTCATCATGTTTCCCAGGCTGGGAAAAAGCCAATATTTTGTGACACACAGAATATGATTCTTATACTTAACACTCCCGCATATCGGCATACTACTATATCAGAACTCATAATCCATAAGCATGAGTAAATACTATTTTTAGCCACCTCACCAGTATTGAACCTTCTGCAAGCTCTTTACACTGCAGTCATGTTTGTCTTCTGATTAGACTGTGGGTTATTGCAAGTGAGGACAGCTTCCTTTATGTATACGTGTGTGTGTGTGTGTGTGTGTGTGTGTGTGTACGTATGGGGTGAGGGGTTAAGACAGAATCTTTCTCTGTCACCCAGACTGGAGTGCAGTGGTGTGATCATAGCTTACTGAAGCCTCAACCACCTGTGCTTAAGCGATCCTCCTGCCTCAGCCTCCCAAGTAGGTGGGACTACATGCACACACCACCACAACACCTGCCTAATTGTGTGTGTGTATGTGTGTGTATATATATATATAAATATATATATACACACACATATATATAGTTAAGTATATATAGTTATATATAGTTATAGATATAGTTATATATATGGTTATATATAGAGTTATATATATAGTTATATATAGTTATATATAGAGTTATATATAGAGAGTTATATATAGTTATATATGGAGAGTTATATATAGTTGTATATAGTTATATATAGTTGAGTATATATAGTTATATATACATAGTTTTATATATGTGTTTTATATATGTGTGTATCTAGATATATATGTCTATATATATATGTCTAGATATATGTCTATTATATATATATATATATATATCTAGACATATATATATATATATAGAGAGAGAGAGAGAGAGACAGAGAGAGAGATGGGTTCTTTTTGTGTTGCCCCAGTATAGTCTCAAATAGGGCTCACACAATACTCCTACCTCTGCCTCCCATAGTGTTAGGGTTACAGGTTTGAGTGACTGCACCAAGACTACATTTTTAATTTAGCAACATTGAGTCTATGCCTCTGGCACAGTTATATATTCAATGCATTTTTGAGGGATGAATGTAAGTAGCAGAGTTGAAGTTCAGAAAAGAAAGAGTCCAGCCACTGTGGCTCATGGCTGTAATCCCAGCTCTTTGGGAAGCAGAAGCAGGCGGATCACCTGAGGTCAGGAGTTCCGTACTAGCCTGGCCAATATGAGTAAACCTTGCATTTATTAAAAGTACAAAAAACAAAATAGCTGGGGAAGCGGTATGTGCCTGTAGTCCCAGCTGCTCAGGAGGCTGAGGCAGGAGAATCACTTAAACCCAGGAGGCTGAGGCTGCAGTGAGCTGACATCATGCCACAGCACTCCAGCCTGGGTGACAGAGCAAAACTCCATCTAAAAAAAAAAAAAAAAAAGGTAGGGCAAAAGGGAATAGCAAGAGTAACAACAAAATGTTAACCCATTGACACTTTAAGCTATAGTTTACCCACATTTAGGGAAAATCAACTCACTGATGCTTGTCAACCTGCAGAGGCAATGTTTCAGCTGTGAGCAAATGCTGAGGAGACAAAATGGTAGAATTCTCTTTATGACTTTGTGTCCTGAAAGAACATTATTTTTTTCTGTCAAGTGCAAAGAGAATTTGTCTCCAAACATAAGTACACCCTGATGGACACACATGCACAAAAACTAGCAGAATGGAAAACAGCCCGTATGATGTAGAGACCATATGTAGGTCTCTACTCTAAAATATATGTGAGCAAATCTCTAGTAAATGCTCCTCCTTTATTCTGTGGCACAGTGCATGTTTACAATTGCTATTTATAATGGATCAACTGTTATACTCTTTCTCCCCTATTTATAAACCTCTTGAAGACATCAACAACCTATCATCCGCATGGACTTCCACCCACTTAATGCTGTAAGTTCCACATTCTGAAATAATAATAATAATAATAATAATAATAATAATAATAACTGCAATAACAATAATAATTATTATTATTTGAGATGGAATCTGGCTTTGTCAACCAGGCTGGAGTGTGGTGGTACAATTTCAACTCACTGCAACCTCTGCCTCTTGGGTCCAAGGGATTTTCCTGCCTCAGCCTCTCAAGGAGATGGAACTACAGGTGCATGGCACCACATCAAGCCAATTTTTTGCATGTTAGTAGAGACAGTTTCATCATGTTGGCCAGGCTGGTCCCAATCTCCTGACCTCAGGCAGTCCACCCCCCTCAGCCTCCCAATGTGCTGGGATTACAGGTGTGAGCCACCATGCCTGGTCCACATCCTGAAATTATTTAAAGACTTGTGGATGATGAGGAAATTAACGGCTTGGAATATTTGTGCTGTTTTAATTTTAAAAGAGGGTAGTCCTGAATATGAGTGAATTTAAGAAGGCTGGTAGTCTCTACGTAACATTTTAATGTAAATGCTAATGGTGATTTAGCTCTTTGAAATTTACTATAGAGTGTTATTACTCGGACTCTGTTGTATTTTTCATAGCATTCATTTTAAAATTTATTTTATTCTTTATTATTTATTTTTATTAGTTTTTTTGAGACTCCACTCTGTCACCCAGTCTGGAATGCAGTGGCATGATATTGACTCACTGCGGCCTCAGCTTCCTGGGCTCAAGCAATTCTCCTACCTCAGCCCCTAAGAAGCTGGGTCTCCTGGTGTACACCATCATGTCTAGCTACTTTTATCATTTTTAGTAGAGACAGGGGTTTCACCACATTGCCTACGTTGATACCAAACTCCTGTGCTGAAGTGATCCCCCTGCCTTGGCCTTCCAAAGTGCTGGGATTACAGGCAAGAGACATTTGACTATACTTGGACTTTTTTTTTTTTTTTTTTAAAGAAAGGCCAAAAGAGAAGTTGGCTGAACAGTGGAAGCATTATATGCAAAATATTATGAAACTGAAATGGGGCTTGGTGGTAAATCTAACTACTCACCACAGTTTGGAGCTGGCTGTAGATAAATTTATGTCCAATAACATGGTTCCTTTTTAGATCACTGACCAGGTACAAGACAGTGGTAAGATGGATTCCTATTTACTTTATTATCAGAACGCTTACTGTATAGCTTAAGAGGAAACTACACATAGAGAAAAATAAGTCTATCAAGATATATTTGAAATGCAGGGAGACTACGGTGCCATTATGAGTTCTGAAATACAAGGGGTTTTGCCTGTTTCCTAAAGACTTGCTCCACTGACCTTTTAATGCAGAACCTGCTTACACTCATACATGTCCAGAAATCCCAATTCAGTTCATTCAAACATTTTGCAGTGTTGGTGCAACAAATGTGGTTACTTCTCATTCATTCAGTCTTCCTCTTGTGTTTCAAGATCTTTTCTTACTGTGTCATGTGTCTTCGTTGTATCCATCCTGTGGTAACTCTACTAATACTTTCTGTAAATCAAAAATAAAATCATATATGCACAACTGACTGAACAGATGCCTCTTGACCAAGGGGGCCTAGAAAGGGAGGTCAGACACACCACACTTTGTATCCCATCCCCTTTGTGGTTTAGACACAAAAACTGGCCGGCATTAACGTTGAAATAAGACTGACATAATAGATGCTTTGAGGCAATAAGACACCAAATTATGAAAATGACCTAACTCCATGCTAGGGGAAGGTTAAGTCACACACCCCTACAGGTTTCTCTGACCCAGTGTATTGGTTAACAAACTTCCTTGTCTTAAACATTTTTTTCTACAGACTCCAAGTTTTTAGACAAAGCTTTACTCTTTTGCCTAAGTGCAAGTGAAAGCATCTCTGAATCCATCTCTGACTGCTAAGCCTCTGCTGCAAGATGTCCTGCCTTTTGGGGGCTAAACAACTGTATACCTTCCATGTATTAATTAATGATTTTGCCTATAACTTCTGCTTCTCTAAAATGCATAAAACAGTGTTGTGACCTACCAATCTCAGGACCACTTGTGCAAGGTTTCTTGCATTTGGGTTTTCTCCAGGCAGTTATCACTCTTACTGGCTAAAATAAATCTCATTTTTCCCTCCCTCCATCCTTCCTTTCTTTTTTCCTGCCTTTCTTCCTTTCTTGAATGTGATTCATTGATCAAGTTGTTTCAGCTAACAAAGAACTTCATTCTTTCCCTCCAGTCACATTCTGTCCCTAAAACTCTATGTTTAGATTATATTCAATGCACTTCTAAGCCATTTATCTCTCTTCCTTTAGCTGTAGACTCTTCAGTATTCTACCAGTAACTAGCTCAACTTTGTAGCTATGCTCATGGCCAGGCAACAGATTAGCTGTCAGGTCCTGGAGTGGCTGCCTTAAAAGACAGGATGAGGTGAGGTCAGATGTGGTGGCTCCTGCCTGTAATTGCAGCAGTTTGGGTAGCCAAAACAGGTGAATCACTTGAGCTCAGGAGTTCAAGACCAGCCTGAACACATGGCAAAACCCCATTTCTATAAAAAATATGAAAATGAGCTGGGCATGGTGACATGAGCCTGTGATCCCAGCTACTTGGGAAGCAGAGGTGGGAGGATCGCTTAAGCCCAGGAGGTTAGGCTACAATCAGCCAAAATCATGCCACTGCACTGCAGCCTGGACAACAAAGCCAGTTCCTGTCTCAAAAGAAGAGATGAGGGTCGGGCCCAGTACTTTGGGAGGCCGAGGGGGGCAGATCACAAGACCAGGAGATCGAGACCACCCTGGCTAACACGGTGAAACCTGTCTTTACTAAAAATACAAAAAATTAGCCGGGCATGGTGGCAGGTGCCTGTAATCCCAGCTACTCAGGAGGCTGAGGCAGGAGAATGGCATGAACCCAGGAGGTGGAGATTGCAGTGAGCTGAGATCATGCCACTGCACTCCAGCCTGGACAACAGAGTGAGACTCCGTCTCAAAAAAAAAAAAAAAAAAAAAAAAGAAAGAAAGAAAAGAGATGAATCTGGAGAACACAGGCAATGAGAGTTGCTTGTATACACCCAAAAAGTAAAATCAAGGAATAGGTAAAATCTCAAAAGCTCAATTTTGAATTTAAATGTGATATGCAATGGAAAGCATAAAATAAACTATTGGAAACAGCAGAATATCACTAAATTTTATTTTATAATAATTAGTTTATTTTAAGTATGCTGTTAGGTAAAAAGTAAGAATAATAAAAAGTTGAGCTATGGCAGAATAACTTAACACTTCTATCTAGGCTTATGTTCTTATAAACCAGAGTACAGGTTTTTATCAGGATGAGACATGCTGTATTGGATTTGTACATTTGTCCCTGGTAATAAAATATGACTATATTTCCAAAAGTGTTCCAGATTGTGTTTTGATGTTTGTGTTATTTTAAGATGCAATGTTTGGTATAAACAAGCTAACAAAAACTGTATGGATTTGTTAAAGTAAATAATACTTAAATATTTTGGCTTTATCCTGTACACTGATGCAGTGTTTAAACATTTGTTCTTTACTTTACTTTACTTTTCTTTTCTTTTCTTTTTCTTTTTTTTTTTTGAGGTGTGGTCTCACTGTGTCAACCAGGCTGGAGTGCAGTGGCATGATCTCAGCTCACTGCAACCTCTGCCTCCTGGGTTCAAGGGATCCTGCTGCCTTAGCCTCCCAAGTAGCTGGGATTACAGGCATGTACCACTACACCCAGCTAATTTTTTGTACTTTTAGTAGAGATAGGGTTTCACCATGTTGGCCAGGCTGGTCTCGAACTCCTGATCTAAGATGATCTGCCCACCATGGCCTCCAAAATTGCTAGGATTTCAGGTGTGAGCCATCACAACTGATCTATCATTTTCTAAGAGCTAAATTATTATTATCTATATATAATTCCTAAAGTGACTAATTATTTCCTGATATTTAAAATGGTGTATGGTGCCCTGACAGCTCAGGCCTATAATGCCAGCACATTGGGAGTCTGAGACGAGGATTGCTGGAGCCCGAGATTTTGAGACTAGCCTGGGCAACACAGGGAGACCCTAGTTTTACAAATAAAAAGTAAAAAATAAATTAGTTGGACATGGTGGCTGATACCTGTGTTCCCAGCTACTCAGCAGGCTAATATGGGAGGATTGCTTGGTACCAGGAGGTTGAGGCTGCAGTGAGACATGATTGTGCCACTGCACCCAGCCTTGGTGACAGAGTGAGATCCACTGTGTCATCTCAAAAGATAAAAAATGTAAAAAATAAAATAATGCATGATTTTCACTGATGCAGCATTTATGCTATCAGGAGATAGAACTTATTTTGGGAATCAAAATAATAAAATCAAACACACCCTGATGACATTATTTATTGAGTTCTTACAATGTTTATCTCAATAGTATTACATATAGTTTTCCAATTTTATAGCTAACACAATGGTGTGAACCTAAACCACAGTTGTAATTATTATCACAGACAATTTATTTATTTCATATTGTGGTATGTTGAGGATTTCTAATGCTTTAAATGTAGCAGTGATATGTTGTATATATTAATGATTGAATTTAATTTAAAAAGAAAATGTAGTTTTTGAAAAGGAAAGGTATAACAAAACACTCCCCTTTCTTGATAAAATGGCACAGGTGCTGTGATTTTATCAGTTGTCTATTTTTCAAAAGTAAAATAAATTTGACTTTTCCTATTTTAGTCTAATAAAGTCTTAGAGAATCTACCCAATTATTTTAAAAAGCAAGTAAAACAGACATCAATGGCTTATTTAAAAAACATATAGCATTTTCTTGTAGGTAGAGCCGTTATTCACCTCCTTGAGCTGTTTAACTTTTGTCCAATTCTGTACCCTCATTCAGAAATATATCTTTTGTACTACCTCCACAGAGTTCTTTTTTTTTTTTTTTTGAGACAAAGTCTCACTCTTTCATCCATGCTAGAGAGCAGTGTCACAATCTCAGCTCACTGCAGCCTCCACTTCCTGAATTCAAGTGATTCTCCTGCCTCAGCCTCCCAAGTAGTTGGGATTACAGGCATGCACCAACATATCTGGCAAATTTTTGTATTTTTAGTGGAGACAGGGTTTCACCGTATTGGCCAGGCTGGTCTCGAATTCAAGTGATCTGGCCAACCAAAGTGACAGGCTTACAAGCATGAGCCACCATACTTGGCTGCTTTTCCTTAATTTCTTACTTTATATTACTATCCCTATAACTTAAAATATAATTTTACATGTTCTTTTATTTTTATAACCCAATTGAACAAACTCACATCGACAGGATGCTCAGCATCAGCATTTTTTTATTGGCACTATTTCACTTTAGTTTTAACGATGCTTGGTAGAAAATATTGTCATAGTCTAGCCAGGAAAACAAGTTAGAGAATTTGCTTTAAATAGAATAGAAAAATGTAGGCAAACAGAAACAACTGAGTTGACTTGACAGCAGTGATGTTGAAAACCAGCCTCCAGTCCCTACACCTAGGACAGGAAAGAAAGAAGTTGATTTTATAAAATGTAGCAGCTTGTGTCATTTTCTATAGCATATTCCTAAGATAATATCATTGATCTGATTACAGTATCATTATAGCATGTCCTGTATGTGGTGGCAAATGATCTATATCATGTATTATGTCTCTCATTGATTTTCTCACTGTATTTTTATAATATATGATCCTATATGAACTATAAGATCATTTTCTCAATGCAAAAGATAAAACACCTTGCTAAGATACATATTTTTATTGGGGGAACCGCCCCTAATACATCAGTGTAGGTTATTTCTATTTTCCATAAGTGTTGGCTGGCTGAAAAATAATGAGAGACAGTACAAAGAGGAATTTTACAGCTGGGCCACCAGGGGTGACATCACATATCATTAGGACCATGATGCCCACCTGGGTCTCAAACCAGCAGGTTTGTATTAAGGGTTTAAAAAGTGAGGGGGTGTAAGAACAGGGAGTAGGTACAGACATCACATGCTTCAAAGGGCAAAAAGCAGAACTACTAATAAGGGTCTAACAAAGATCACATGCTTCTGAGGGAACAGGACAAAGGGAAAAAGCAGAGCCACTGATAAGGGTCTGTGTTCAGCAGTGCACTTATTGTCTTGATAAACATCTTAACAGAAAACAGGGTATGAGAGCAGAGAACCAGTCTGACCACAAATTTACCAAGGCAGAGATTTTTCTCCACCCTAGTAAGCCTGATGGTACTGCAGGAAACCAGGGCATATCTCAGTCCTTATCTCAACTGCATAAGACAGACATTCCCAGAACAGCCATTTATAGACCTCCCCGCAGGAATGCATTCCTTCCCCAGGGTATTAATATTAATATTCCTTGCTAGGAAAAGAATTTACCAATAACTTCCCTTGCATGTCTGTTTACAGGCTCTCCACAAAAAGAAAAATATGGCTTTTTTTGCCAGACTCCACAGGCAGTCAGACCTTATGGTTGTCTTCCCATGTTCCCTAAAAATCGCTGTTATTCTGTTCTTTTTCAAGGTGCACTGATTTCATATTGTTCAAACACACATGTTTTACAATCAATTTGTACAGCTAACAATTATCACAGTGGTCTTGAGGTGAGGTAAATCCTCAGCTTAAATCCTCAGGATTAAGAGACTAAAGTAAAGACAGGCATAAGAAATTATGAAAGTATTATTTAGGAACTGATAAATGTCCACATAATCTTCACAATTTATTTTCCTCTGCTGCGGCTCCAGCTGGTCCCTCCATTCGGGGTCCCTGACTTCCTGCAACATATATTGGCCGGGCATGGTGGCTCATGCCTATAATCCCAGTACTTTGGATGTGGGTGGATCACAAGGTCAGGAGATCAAGATCATCCTGGCTAATACAGTGAAACCCTGTCTCAACTAAAAAAAAAAAATAAAAAAATACAAAAAAGTAGCCAGGATTGGTGGCAGGCAACTGTCAGTACCAGCTACTTGGGAGTCTGAGGCAGGAGAATGGCATGAATCTGGGAGGTGGAGCTAGCAGTGAGCCAAGATGACAACACTGCACTCCAGCCTGGGTGACAGAACGAGACTCCATCTCAAAAAAAAAGAAAAAAAATCCATATTTTTATGACAACTGATTCATACATTAATTTTGGTAGAGGTGGCATTTTCATGATATATAATTTAAGCATTTGAGAATAAAACATATACTTCTATTTGTTTGGGTATTCTGTGTCCCAGTTTAATTTAATATATTTCTTCCCAGGGTCATTTTTATTATATGCACTGCTAAGTTTTTTTAAAAAATTACTGAATTATCAACAGAATGTTCCCATATTTCTTTCTAGGTTCTTATTGCAGCATGTAAAAAAACCTGATAATTTTTATTTATTTACTTTCTATTCAGCAATGTTACCAAATTAGTCTATTTTTCTAACAGGCTTTAATAGATTTTCTCAGGTAAGCATTTATGCTATCAGCAAAAGTGCTCCAATTTTATGTTCTTTTCCAATAGTTATCACAATGTTCATTTACTCATTTCACTGCATTTACCACAATCTTCCAGAAGTCACTGGATAATAACAGAAATAAAAGGCATTCCCATATGCCCTCTGATTTTTCTTGAAATTACTTTTCTTGAATTTGCTTTTTGTGTTTTAGGCTGCAGTTGATATTCGTCTTAGAAAAGCACTTTTTTTTTTTATTTGTTTCATTTGAGACTGTTTCTTGCTTTGGTGCCCACGTTGGAGTACAGTGGTGTGATCCCAGCTCACAGCAGACTCAACATCCTGGGGTCAAGCAATCCTCCTATCTCAGCCTCTTTACTATGTGGAGCTATAGGCATGTGCCACCACACTCAGCTAATTTTGATTAATTTTTGTAAAGGTGGAATTTTGCCATGTTGCCCAGGCTGCTCCCAAATACCTGGTCTCAAGCAATCCTCCAAACTGAGTCTCCCAAAGAGCTGGGATTATAGGCACAAGCCATGCACATAGCTGAGATGCTTTTCTTATTTGTGTGTTTGTTAAAATGTCTTATCCTTTTTAAAATGTCTTATCCTTTTTAAAATGTCTTATCCTTTTCTTCTTACTATTTTAGATTCAGTTATAATTCTTCAGTGCCTATTGATGGACTCACACACTTGTCTTTCATTGGTTGAATTAATGGATTATATTGACAGATTTTCTAACATAGTGCATTTTTCTAATGCATTGTAATTTTTGCAGCTACTCTTCTTAACCACATAGAGTGTCATTCCATGCTATGATACTAGATTTTAAACAAGTTTCAAAGGCACCAATATCATTAGGAAGATTGAATTATATTTACCTACACTAAAATCATTATTTTGTATCAAAAATGAATATATGCTTTATGTAGAAAGTACCGTATTTCATATATTAACTCATTTTATTCTAAAAAGTAGTCATCTAGCCTAAGCAATATAGGAAAACATTGTCTCTACAAAAAAAAAAAAAGAAAAGAAAAAGAAAAAGAAAAATTAGCCAGGCATGATGGTGCATACAGGTTGTCCCCGGTTACTTGGGTGGCTGAGGTAAGAGGTTTGCTTGAGCTCAGAAGGTCAAGGGTACAGTCCATGGGCTGGGTGTGGTGGCTCACACCTGTAATCCCAACAATTAGGGAGGCTGAGGCAGGAAGATTTCTTGAGGCCAAGATTTCCAGACCAGCCTGGCCAACATGGTAAAACCACATCTCTACTAAAAATACAAAAATTAGTCAGGCTTGGTGGTGGGTAATCTCACCCAGCAAGTAGCCTGTAATCCCAGCTACTCAGGCATCTGAGGCAGGAGAATTGCTTGATCCCAAGAGGTAAAGGTTGCAGTGAGCTGAAATCATGCCACTGCACTGCAGACTGGGAAATGGAGCTAGACTCCATTTTAAGAAATAAAAATAGAAGTCTACACTCCACGATCAAACCACTGCACTGTATCCTGGGCAACAGAGTAAGAACCTGTCTCTAGAACAAAAAGTCAAAAAACAGTCATAAAATGGCTAGTTTACCTCTCAATCTGTGGAGTGGTAAAACCTCCCTGGATGTCTCAGTGCTTCTGTGAGATGACTTAGCCTTTCTTAGAAAAATGTTTGCTTTCATTTCCGTTTGAAGCATCTCCTCATACTGTGAGAACTGGATAAGCAGCCATGTATCTAGTTAATTTCTCTTATTGGAAATCATAATAAAACTTCTTATTTCCCCAAAGCCAAATGCTAACAGCTCTCACTTGTTCTTAGGCTAAGTGCCTAGAAACTTGTCAGACTGGTGCAAGTACCCAAGTACCCAAGTAGGTATTTAGATTTCAAGGAGGAAAACACCCAGATGCTGGCAGCATCTCTAGGTGATAAAAAACACAGGCTCCTTCAGCTTCTGGAGAGGTTTTATTTTATATTTCAAAGGGCTGGAGAAAGGAGGTGATCCCTTCAGCAGCAAAGGGACATCTCCTTCCTTTTCTTTTATAAACAGTTTAAAAAATTTTTTATCTCTCAACCTAAGAAGTGTGTTAGGTTGCTTGCTTAAGACAATTGACCTGGTTCTCATTGTATTTCCCCAGGATAAAGACTAGCAGAGAGATTGAGAACACTCTTCTTATGTGCTGTGTGGTTTTGTGGTTTTTAATAAAAAAATCTATCTCTGAACCAGAACATCTTGTGTGCACATTCAGAATAAAATTCATAAAGATGAATAACTAAAGCCTAATGCATCCCCTTTCTTGTTAACCAATGAAGATGCTAAAATTCATGCTGCTAGATGCAAAGCTAGCTGGAACCTACAACTTGTATTCATCATATTTCTATAGTGTACTTATCAGAGGCATTTGAACAAAAGCAATTCCATCTTGAATAGGGGCTGTGTTAAATGAGGCTGAAACATGCTGGGCTGCATTCCCTGGAGATCTGGCATTCTAAGTCACAGTATAAAAGGGGAAGTAGGCAGAACCAGTATCACAAATCAAAAGACCAGATAAAACAGGATACGTAAAAGAAGCTGGCCAAAACTGGCCAAATCTAAGATGGCAACACAAATGACCTCTGGTCATCCTTCCTGGTCATATGCTAATTATAATGCATTAGCTGCTTAAAGACTTAAAGACATGTCCACTATTGCCATGAGAGTTTGCAAATGCCATGACAATGTCCATTAATTATCATTACCCTCTAAGGTATATAAAGGGGAAGAACACTCAGTTTAAAGAATTGCCCACACCTTTTCTAGAAAACTAATGAATAAACCACTCCTTGTTTGGCACATAATCAAGCAGTAACTGTAAGTATATTCAGTCAGTAGCCCATGCCACTGCTCTACCTATGGAGTAACCATTCTTTTTTTTTTTTTTTTTTTTTTTTTGATTGGGAGTCTTGCTCTGTTGCCCAGGCTGGAGTGCAGTGGCACAATCTCAGCTCACTGCAAGCTCCAACTCCTGGGTTCATGCCATTCTCCTGCCTCAGCCACCCGAGTAGCTGGGACTACAGGAGCCCGCAACCACACCTGGCTAATTTTTTGTATATTTAGTAGAGATGGGTTTTCACCGTGTTAGCCAGGATGGTCTCGATCTCTTGACCTCGTTATCTGCCCACCTCGGCCTCCCAAAGTGCTGGGGTTACAGGTGGGAGCCACCAAGCCTGGACTGGAGTAGCCGTTCTTTATTCCTTTACTTTCTTAATAAGCTTGCCTTCACTTTACTATACAGACTCGCTCTGATTTCTTTCTTGTGTGAAGTCCAAAAACCCCTTCCTGGAATCTGGATCAGGAACTCTTTCTGGTAACATCCTCATCAAATAAATTAGTGGGCTCCGTATTATTTCTGTGGAATGAAAGAGTTTAATATCAAGATTTATGGTTTTTTATTTGAATATGAGTTGCAATTCAGCTGTAAAAAGGCCTATTTCTGTTGCATATTTCAATGGTAGATCTCTAGTGGGCTTGACATTTATTTCCATGAAAACCAGCCAACTTTGTTTTCTCAATTTTGTTCCATCAAACTTAGTAATTTTTATTTCCCACAAAATCTTCTGCTGCTTCTGTTTGCAAATTAAGTGTAATAGATTTTCATGTAATTTTTTTATCATTGGTATCCATTTCTTTAAATTCCCCTGTGTCTGATGTAAGCCCCCCCTTTTTTTAATAATGTAATCTTGCTATTTGTTTCTTCACAATCCATCAGACTCACAGAGACTTTATCTGTTTTATTTCATTGCAAAATTTTAAGAAACTATCTTGGGTGGTAGGTATGATTTTTATTTTCCATTCCATTAATTTCATCTTCAATCTTTATTATCATTTTTCTATTCAATTTTATCTTATTTTGTTCTTTATTCAAATAAATACTTAGTTTGTTTGCTTCTCTCATTTCTTTTAGATAATATAGACATTTGAGGCTGTGTTTTCCTTTGAGTGCTCTTAAAACTGCTTTTGGAAAAATTGTAACAGTGAGAAAATTATGACAGCGAAAGGGATCTACTGTAATGGACTCCATCTTCCTTGTAAAAGCCAAGCTGCCCTTGTTCATTCCCAGGCATCTGAACTAACTTTGGAAGGAACTTAGTTTATAGTTTAACTGTGACAAAGATAACAGCCCTTTCCCAAAGCAAACTACCATCTTGCCTGGAGACAAGACTTCCTTTTTAGGATGAATAAGTTAAGCCCAAAATTAGAAATTATGTTTTAGGACTCATGAAGCCAGAAGCCACAATATTCTAATCCTTTCTGGTTACTCCTAAGAATAGCATCACTATTGTAAAACCTAAGATTCAAGGATTCCTGGCAAGATGGCCAAATAGGAACAGCTCTGATCTGCAGTTCCCAGTGAGATTAACACAGAAGGCTGGTGATTTCTGCATTTCCAACTGTGGTACCTGGTTCCTCTCACTGGGACTTGTTGGACAAGTGTGTACAGCCCAAGGAGAGTGAACTGAAGCAGGATTGGGCATCGCCTCACCTGGGAAGTTCAAGAGGTTGGCGAACTCCCTCTCCTAGCCAAGGGAAGCAATTAGGGATGGTACTGTGCACTTCCGCCCAGATATTGCACATTTCCCACCATCTTCACAAGCTGCAGATCAGGAGAATCCCTTCAGTGCCTATTCCTCTAGGGGCCTGGGTTTGCGGCATAAAACTAGGAAGCTGTTTGGGTAGATAACAAACAATCCACAGGAGTTTGTTTTCATACCCCACTGGCACCTGGGATGCCAGTGGAAAAGAACTGTTCACTCCCCTGGAAAGGGGGCTGAAGCCAGGGAGCCAAATGGTCTGGCTCAGTGGGTCACAGCCCCATGGAGCCCAGCAAGCTAAGATGCACTGGCTTGACATTCTTGCACCAGCACACCAGTCTGAGTTCAACTTGGGATGCTCAAGCTTGGGGGTGGGGAGGGGCATCTGCCTTTGCTGAAGCTTGGGTAGACAGCTTCACCCTCACAATGTAAACAAAGCTGCAGGCAATTTCAAATTGGGCACAGCCCACAGAGGCTAGGCAAGGCCACTGGAACAAGACTGCCTTTCTAGATTCCCTCCCATTGGGACAGGGATCTCTGGAAAAAAGGCAGCAACCTTAGTCAGAGGCTTATAGATAAAACACATCCCTGGGACAGAGGACCTGGGGAAAGGGGAAGTTGTGGGAACAGCTTCAGCAGACTTAAACATCCCTGCCTGGCCATTCTGAAGACATTAGGGGATCTTCCAGACATCGTTCACTAACTGATAAGGAACAGTCTGCCTCCTCATGTGGGTCCCTGATCCCCATGTATCCTGAGAGGGAGACACCTCTCAGTAGGTGCCAACAGACACATCATACAGGAGAGCTCTAGCTGTCATCTGGTGGGTGCCCCTCTGGGATGACACTTCCAGGGGGAAGAACAGGCAGCAATCTTTGCTGTTCCCCAGGCTCTGCAAGTGATACCAGAGCAAACATGGTATGGAGTGGACCTCCAGCAAGCTCCAGTAGACCTGCAGCAGAGGGGCCTGACTGTTAGAAGGAAAACTAACAAACAGAAATGAATAGTATCAACACCAACAAAGGACATCCACTCAGAGACCCAATCAGAAGGTCACTGACTTCAAAGGCCAAAGATAAATAAATCCAGGAAGATTGGGAGAAAACAGTGCAAAAAGCCTGAAATTTCCAAAAGCAGAATGGTTTTTATCCTCCAAAGGATCACGACTGCTCACCAGCAAGGGAACAAAACTGGATGGGGAAGGAGTTTGATGAATTGACAGAGTAGGGTTCAGAAGGTGGGTAATAACAAATTCATCCAAGCTAAAGGAGCATGTTCTAACCCAATGCAAGGAAGCTAGGAACATTGAAAAGAGGTTAGACAAATTGCTAACTAGAATAACCAGTTTAGAGAAGAAAATAAATGACCTGATGGAGCTGAAAAACACAGAATGAGAACTTCATGAAGTATACATAATTATCAGTAATCAAATTGATCAAGCAGAAGAAAGGATATAAGAGATTAAAGATCAACTTAACGAAACAAAATGGGAAGACAAGATTAGAGAAAAAAGACTGAAAAGAAACCAACAAAGCCTCCAAGAAATATGGGGCTACGTGAAAAGACTAAACCTACATTTGATGGGTCTACCTGAAAGTAACGGGGAGAATGGAACCAAGTTGGAAAACACTCTTCAGGATATTATCCAGGAGAACTTCCCCAACCAAGCAACGCAGGCCAACATTTGAATTCAGGAAATACAGAGAACACCACAAAAATAATCCTTGAGAGGAGCAACCCCAAGACACATAATTGTCAGATTCACCAAGGTTGAAATGAAGGAAAAAATGTTAAGGGCAGCCAGAGAGAAAGGTCGGGTTACTCCCAAAGGGAAGCCCATCAGACTAACAGCAAATCTCTCAGGAGAAACCCTATAAGACAGAAAAGAGTAGGGGCCAATATTCAACATTCTTACAAGAGCTCGTGAAGGAAGCACTAAACATGGAAAGGAACAACCGGTAACAGCCAGTGCAAAAACATACCAAACTGTAAAGGTCATTGTCACTATGAATAAACTGCATCAACTAACTGGCAAAGTAACCACCTAGCATCATAATAAAAAGATCAAATTCACATATAACAATATTAAATATGAACAGGCTAAATGCCCCAATTAAAAGACAGACAGGAAAATTGGCTAAAGAGTAATCCATCAGTGTGCTGTATTTAAGAGACCCTTCTCACATGCAAACAGGCACATAGCCTCAAAATAAAAGGAGAGAGGAATATTTATCAAGTAAATGGAAAATAAAAAATTACGGGTTGCTATGCCATCCTCTGTTAAAACAGACTTTAAACCAACAACAATCAAAAGAGACAAAGAAGGGCATTACATAATGGTAAATGAATCAATTCAACAAGAAGAGATATAATAAATAAATATGCACCCAATTCAGGGGCACCTAGATTTATAAAGCAGGTTCTTAGAGCCCTTCAAAGAGACTTAGACTCCCACACAATAGTAGTGGGAGACTTTAACACCCCACAGTCAGTATTAGACAGATCAACAAGACAAAAAATTAACAACGAGATTCAGGACTTGAACTCATCTGTGAACTGAGCAGACCTAGTAGACATCTCCAGAACTCTCTCCCCTAAATCAACATAAGGTACATTATTCTCTGAACCACATTGCACTTATTCTAAAATTTACCACAAAATTGGAAGTAAAACAGTTCTGAGCAATTGCAAAACAATGGAAATCATAACAAGCTCTCATATCACAGAGGAACCAATTTAGAACTCAGGATTAAGAAACTCAAAACTGCAAAACTACATGGAAACTTAACAACCTGCTCCTGAGTGACTGCTGGGTAGACATAAAAGGCAGGCAGAAATAAAGATATTCTTTGACACCAATGAGAACAAAGACTCAATGTACCAGAATCTCTGGGACACATTTAAAGAAGTGTGTAGAGAAAAATTTATTGCACTAAATGCCCACAAGAGAAAGGAGGAAAGATCTAAAATTTACACCCTAGACTAAATGAAGCTTTCAGTTTTAGGTCATGCCTTTGAAATACTTAAAGAGAAATTTTAATGTAATACATTTACGAATGCAATTTTAAAAAAGGAACTAGAGAAGCAAGAACAAAGCAATTCAAAAGCTAGCAGAAGATAAGAAATAACTAAGATTCAGCAGAACGGAAGGAGTTAGAGTCACAAAAACCCCTTCAAAAAATCAGTGAATCCAGAAGCTGTTTTTTATAAAGATTAAAAAAAAAAAAGGATAGACCACTAGCCAAGCTAATAAAAAAGAAAAGGAGAAGATTCAAATAGATGCATTAAAAAATGATAAATGGCAAAACACCACCGTTCCCACAGAAATACAAACTATGATAAGAGAATACTATAAACACCTCTCACCTCTACTTAGGTAAATAAGCTAGAAAATCTAGACAAAATGGATAAATTCTTGGATATGCACAGCCTCCCAAGACTAAACCAGAAAGAAGCCAAATCCCTGAATAGACCAATAACAAGTTCTGAAATTGAGGCAGCAATTAATAGCCTACCAACAACAAAAAAAAGGCCAGGATTATATGGATTCACAGCTGAATTCTACCAGAGGTACAAAGAGGAGCTGGTAACATACCTTCTGAAACTATTCCAAACAATAGAAGAAGAAGGAATCCTCCCTAACTCATTTTACGAGGCCAGCATCATACTGATACCAAAACCTGGCAGAGGCACAACAAAAAAAGAAACTGTCAGGCCAATATCCCTGATGAATATTGATG
Organism: Homo sapiens; assembly: GCF_000001405.40. Classification (NCBI taxonomy): domain Eukaryota; kingdom Metazoa; phylum Chordata; class Mammalia; order Primates; family Hominidae; genus Homo; species Homo sapiens. The sequence goes on from NC_000024.10 coordinate 16,953,273, forward strand.
AGAAAATCTTCAATAAAATACTAGCAAAGTGACTCCAGCAGCACACCAAAAAGCTTGTCCACAACAATCAAGTCAGCTTCATATCTGGGATGCAAGTCTGGTTCAACACCTATAAATCAATAAATGTAATCCATCACATAAACAGAACCGACGACAAAAATCGCATGATTACGTTAACAGATGCAGAAAAGGCCTTGACAAAATTCAGCATCCCTTCATGCTAAAAACTCTCAATAAACTAGGCATTCATGGAACATAACTCAAAATAATTAGAGCTATATATGACCATCCCACAGCCAAAATCATACTTAATGGGTACAAACTGGAAGCATTCCCTTGGAAAACCGGCACAAAACAAGTATGCTATCTGTCACCCCTCCTGTTCAACATAGTATTGTGTGGTAGGCAAGCCACCCAGGTGCCGAGACGAGAGACCGAGGACATGAGCTCTTCCAGTATAATAAAATATACAATAAGAATAGTTATACCAGACATAGATCTTAGATATGATTATATATGAATATCATTAATCAATAGTGGGTAACAATTACTCTTTATTCCAATATTATAATAATCCTCACTCTATAATCATAACCCAGGAAAAGCCAGGCCATACAGAGATAGGAGTTGAGGAGACATAGTGAGAAGTGACCAGAAGATAACAGGGTGAGCCTTCTGTTATGCCCAGCCAGGGCCACCATAGGGCTCCTTGTTCTAGTGGTAACTCCAGCATCTGGGAAGACGCACATTGCCAAGTGGACCATGGTCTAGTGGTAGACTTAAGTGTCAAGGAAAAACACCCGCTACTTAGCAGACCAGCAAAGGGAGTCTCCTTTTCCCAGGGGGAGTTTAGAGAAGACTCTACTCCTCTACCTCTTGTGGAGGGCCTGACTTGTGAGGCCCACTTTCAGTTATCCAGAGGCCTAACAGTCTCCCAGTGATGCTGTGCTTCAGTGGTCATGCTCTAGTCTGCCTTCATGTTCCTTCTTGTACACCTGGCTCTGCCGTTTAGTTAGCGGTAGCAAATTAGTGAAAGTACTAAAAGTCTCTGATAAGCAGAAATAATAATGTAAGCTGTTTCTCTCTTTCTCCTCCCTCTCTCTGCCTTGGCTGCCAGGCAGGAAAGGGCCCCCTGTCCAGTGGACAAGTGATCCATGTGGCCTTACCCATCATTGGAGATGGCTCACACTCCTTATCCTGCCCCTTTCTCTTATATCCAATAAATATCAGTGGCATTTGGGGCCACTACCAGTTTCCGCTTCCTGATGGTAGTGGTCCCCCTGGCCCAGCTGTCTTTTCTTTTATCTCTTTTTTATCTCTTGTGTCTTTATTTCTATGCTGTCTCATCTCCACACACAGGGAGAAACCCAGCAACCCTGTGGGGCTGGACCCTACATCTGGCGATCCGACGTAGGGCTCTCCCTCACTGTGTGAAGTTGCACACAGAGTGTGGGATTCAATGGAGGATTTTGACCAGAGATTTTTGAGGATTGCGATCAATAAGCTTGGTGGTAAGCTTGAGAATTCAGAGTATTCTGGGGACACCATGGGACAAGTCACTACTAAGTAACTGGACTCGGCTACAGTCACAGGCTCCCTTGAGGCCTGGTTCCTCTCCTCCTAATCAGGCTCTGTTAGAGTCACAGGCTCCCTTGAAGCCTGGTTCTTTTCCTCCTAAATGGATGCGGTTAGAGTCACAGCCTCCCTTGAAGCCTGGTTTCTTCCTCCTAATTGGACTCGGCTAGAGTCACAGGCTCCCTTAAAGCCTGGTTCCTTTCCTCCTACTCAGACCCAATTAGAGTCACAGTCTCCCTTGAAGCCTGGTCCACAGTTGCGATGGCAGCCTGAATTTCAGGCCCATGAAAGACCTGCTCAGCAGGTAATCTCATCTACCCTTGTGGCTCACAAGCAACAAGTTACATACATTCCTCAAAATGACACTCCACTTGTGAGGGCTATAGCACAGGCAAGAGAATATGGGGGTCCCAAAGCCTGGCAATTTCCTGTAATTTTACAACCTCCAGTACCTGCCACCCCAGCAGCAGAAAATCACTCACAGCCTGTTGTTAGTCTTGCTCAGCAGGTGGCTGATCTCATGGTACTTTCATACTCTATGTTAATATCTTGTTTTTCTACAGTACAACAAGCAGTTGCAGTAGCCTTTTTAGTTATTGCCCCAGAAAAAATCCAGACCTCTTCTCCTTATCACTATTTAGGAATGCAGCTAAAAGACAAGGTTATTAAGCAACCCCCCCAAAAAAAATATATTGTTCCTCTCACCAAATTACAAGTTCAACAAACTTTTGCAACTTGCATTGCTTGCAAGTATATTTGGCAGGTTTCCTGGTATAATTGATAATAACTCTCCTAATGTAAAATTATTTCAGTTCCTTAAACTCACTTCTTGGATTTTATCTAACATTACTAGAAATACCTCATTAGCTGAAGCTATCACTGTTTTCACTGATGCTTCCTGTAATGGCCAAACAGCATATACAGGGCCAAGAGGACGTGTTCTTACCACAGGAACTATCTCAGCACAAAGAGCTGAGCTGCTTGCTGTTATGGCTGTCCTTGAAGATTTTCCTGAACCAGTTAACATTGTCTCTGACTCAGCATATGTCATACATGTTGCTCTCAAAATTGAAACTGCCTTAATCAAATTTGTGCCTGTTGATAATCTATTCTTTCTTTTTCAAAGATTTCAGTCTGTGCTCAGAGCAAGGTCTTCTCCTTTCTACATTACTCACATTTGGGCCTACACACCCCTCCCCAGACCCCTCTCAGCAGCAAATGCCAGAGCTGATATATTAGTTACTCCCATTTTTATAGATGCAGAAAATTTTCATGCTTTACCTAATGCCAATGCTGTGGGACTCTGAAAAAAGTTCCCCCTTACATGGAAACAAGCTAAAACCATTGTATGTCACTATCCTACCTGTCAGGTGTGAATTTTACAGGCACTTTCTTCAGGAGTCAAGCCTGCAGGACTTTCACAGAATGCTCTCTGGCAAACGGACATGACTCATTATCCTGCTTTTGGCAAGCTTTCTTTTATACATGTAACTATTGGTACCTTTTCTCATTTTATTTGGGTCACTTGTCAAATAGGAGGAAGAACAGCTCATGTTAAATGGCATACGCTTTCCTGTTTCTTGGTTATGGGTTGTCCTGAGAAACTAAAAACTGATAACAGGCCCTGCTACACTAGTGCTGCTTTTAAAAAGTTCACTCAAACATGGGCAATTATTCATACAACTGGCATCCCCTATAATTCTCAAGGACAGGCCTTGGTTGAATAAGCCAATAAAACACTCAAAGATCAACTTTGAAAACTGGATACTAAATCAAAGGGAGACGCTGCTTCTCCTCATGCCCAACTAAATATGGTTCTTTTTACACTAAATTTCTTAAGTCTAACAAGAAATCTACCTTTTACAGTGGCAGAACAACATTTCACTGGAAATAAATTTGATCCACAAAAATCAATGTGTGTACGGTGGAAGGATGCAAAAACTAACACATGGGAATTAGGCACGGTCATAACTTGCGGTAGACGTTTTGCTTGCGTTTCCCCAGAAAAAGGACTACAGCCTGTGTGGGTCCCCTCCTGAAAATTAAAATTGCACCATAACTCCAAAGATGAAATGCTCCCACAAACAAAAGGCAAAGACCCGTCTGAAACCAAAGAGCAACTTTCACCGCCTGACACATAAACTTCATGACCTCCACATTGAGACAAGATCTTGCCATGTGACATACAACACTGCTCGTTCAACTCCACCAACATGGGGTCAAATAAAGGTTTCATCTCATCAAACAGAAAATTTCTTAAAAGAAAAAGTCACTCCAAAAACGACCAGTAATATGATTCTGGCTGCCTTTATGGTAGTCAGTGCAGCGTTAAGTATACCACCGGTTAGGGCAATACATAATTATACTTACTGGGAATATGTTCCTTTTCCCCCTCTAATTCGGTCTGTCTCCTGGATGGACTCCCCAGTAGAAGTTTACACTAATAATAGTGCATTCATGTCGGTCTCTAATGATGATTGGTTACCAGCTCAACCAGAAGAAGACGGTATGCACTTTAATCTGTCAATTGGCTATAAATATCTACCACTATGCATTGGGGTGTTGCCTGGCTGTTTAGCTTATTCTCACCAGAATTGGATGTGGACCATACCATCCTTTACAAATGATTCTTATTAAGTACATAATGTGTTCAGGACCAATTCTTTTCAACTTCTCACTGTCAAACTTGCTCCTCATGAGGAATGGAGAGTTCCTGTCACTACCAAAATTAATAAAACAAAAGGACTGCCAGACTGCCTAAAGAAACCTACAAAGGGACCTTTTATAGTGACTTCAATTTTATGGAATAATTGTAATGCTCCCAAGGCCATTGTGCTCCAAAGTCTAGCCATGGGTATTGTTATTCATTGGGCTCCAAAAGGGCATTAGTGTCAAGATTGCTCTGGCAAAAATACCTCATGCTTGGAATTTAATTATTTGTTAGATTATATACAGGCTGAGACAATGGATGCCTCCTTACCCATTTAAATGGATGTACGCAGACACTGCTCCTCCTAGACCAAAAACGATTCATCCCTTTCTTACCCCAAAACATCCTCAACTATGAAAATTAGCTGCAGCTATGACAGGAATAAGGATATGGAACACTACCTATCAATTCCTTCACACTAATTCCAAAACACCCACATTCAACATCACCTTCATATCTGAATGGGAGATACCCATCAGGAGCTGCGTCAAACACCCTTACATGCTGTTGGTTGGAAAAATAATTATCATTCCCAACACACAAACTGTAGAATGTGGTAACTGTAAGCTGTTCACATGCATTGATGCTACTTTTAATCCCACTACAAGTATTCTCTTGGTAAGGGCTAGGGAGGGGGTATGGATACCAGTTTCTTTACATCATCCTTCAGAGTCTTCCCTGTCTATTCACATAGTCAGTGAAGTTCTTAAAGGTACCCTCAAAAGAACAAGAGATTTATTTTTACTCTTATTGCAGTCATTGCAGGACTAATTGCTGTTACTGCAACAGCAGCCGCTGCTGGAATTGCCATACAAAATTCTGTTCAATCTGCTTAATAAGTTGAAGCATGGCAAAAAAACTCCTCCAGACGTTGGAATTCTCAGGCTCAAATTGATCAAAAATTAGCTCATCAAATTAATGATCTCTGCCAAAGTGTAATCTGGCTGGGAGTTAGAGTTATGAACTTGGAACATCGTATAAAATTACAGTGTGATTAGAGTACTTCTGATTATTGCATAATGCCTTATACTTATAATAAAGATCAACAGAGCTGGAAAAAGGTCTCAAGGCATTTAAAAGCCTGGGATGATAACTTAACCTTGGATATTTCAAAACTTGAGCAAATTTTTGAGGCATCACAAGCTCATTTATCCTCTCTTCCTGGCTCACACATTTTTGAAGGCATAACTAAACAATTATCTGATTTTAATCCCTTCAAATGGATCAAACCCCTTAGAGGATCATTGTTGTTACTGGCGTTCTTATTATTGTATGCTTATGTTGTCTCCTTTTGGTCTGCAGATGCCTCCAAGGAGCCCAAAACCACGTCTGAAGTCAATGACAAGCAATGATGGTGATGGCGATCTTAGTTAATAAAAAGAGGGGAGATGTGGGTGGCAAGCCACCCAGGTGCTGAGGCAAGAGACAGAGGACATGAGCTCTTCCAGTATCATAAAATATAAAATAAGAATAGTTATACCAGATATAGATCTTAGATATGATTATATATGAATATCAATCATTAGTAGCAGTTACTCTTTATTCCAATATTATAATAATCCCCTCTCTATAATCATAACCTAGGAAAAGCCAGGCCATATAGAGATAGGAGCTAAGGAGACATAGTGAGAAGTGACCGAAGACAAGAGTGCGAGCCTTCTGTTATGCCCAGACAGGGCCACCAGAGGGCTCCTTGGTCTAGTGGTAATGCGAACATCTGGGAAGACACCCATTGCCAAGCGGACTGCGGTCTAGCAGTAGCGTTAGTGTCAAGGAAAAACACCCTCTACTTAGCAGACCAGGAAAGGGAGTCTCCCTTTCCCAGGAGGAATTTGGAGATCACTCTACTCCTCCACCTCTTGTGGAGTGCCTGACATTAGTCAGGCCCACCCACAGGTATCTGGAGGCCTAACCATCTCCCTGTGATGCTGTGCTTCAGTGGTCATGTTCCTAGTCCACCTTCATGTTCCATCTTGTACTCCTGGCTCTGCCATTTAGTTAGCAGTAGCAAATTAGTGAAAGTACTAAAAGTCTCTGATAAGCAGAAATAACAATATAAGCTGTTTCTCTCTTTCTCCTCTCTCTCTCTGCCACAGCTGCCAGGCAGGGAAGAGCACTTTGTTCTGTGGACACATGACCCATGTAGCCTTACCTATCATTGGAGATGGCTCACACTCCTTATCCTGCCCCTTTTTCTTGTATCCAACAAATACCAGTGCAGCCTGGCATTCAAGGCCCCTACCGGTCTCTGTGCCTTGGTGGTAATGTTCCCCCAGGCCCAGCTGTCTTTTCTTTTATCTCTTTGTCTCGTGTCTTTATTTCTATGCTCTCTTATCTCCGCACATAGGGAGAAACCTACCAACCCTGTGGGGCTGGCCCCTACAGTATTGGAAGTTTTAGTCAGAGCAATCAGGCAAGAGAAAGAAATAAAGTGTATTCAAATAGGAAGAGAGTAAATCAAATTTTCTCTGTATGAAAATGACATAATGATGTATTTAGAAAAAACCATTGTGTCCGCCCCAAATCTCCTTAAGATGATATGCAATTTCAGCAAAGTCTTAGGATACAAAATCCATGTGCAAAAATCACAAGCAGTCCTATGCACCAATAACAGACAAACAGAGAGCCACATCATGAGTGAACTCCCATTCACAATTGCTACTGAGAGAATAAAATACCTAGGAAAACAACTTACAAGAGATGTGAAGGACCCTTCCAAAGAGAATTACAAACCACTTGCTCAAGGATATAAGAGAGAACAAAAACAAATGGAAAAGCATTCCATGCTCATGGATAAGAAGAATCAACACTGTGAAAATGGCCATACTGCCCAAAGTAATTTATAGGTTCAGTGCTCTCCCCATCAAGCTGCCATTGACTTTCTTTACAGAATTTTATATTTAAAAAACTAGTTTAAATTTTGTATGGAACCAAAAAAGAGCTCATATAGCCAAGAAAATCCTAAGCAGAAAGAAAAAGCTGGAGGCATCATGCTACCTGACTTAATACTACACTAAAAGTCCACAGTAACCAAAACAGAATGGCACTGGTACCAAAACAGATATATAGACCAATGAAACAGAATAGAGGCCTCAGAAATAATGCCACACATCTATAACAATCAGATCTTTGACAAACCTGACAAAACCAAGCAATGGTAAAAAATTCCCTGTTTAACAAATAGTGTTGGGAGAACTGGCTAGCCTTAGGCAGAAAACTGAAACTGGACCCATTCCTCAAACCTTATACAAAAATTAACTCAAGATGGATTAAAGACTTAAATGTGGGCCTAAAACTATAAAAAACCTAGAAGAAAACCTAGGCAATAACCATTCAGAACATAAGCATTGGTAAAATCTTCCTGACAAAAACACCAAAAGCAATGTCAACAAAAGCCAAAATTGAGAAATGGGATCTAATCAAGCTAACAAGCTTCTGCACAGCAAAAAAATAAACTATCATCAGAGTGGACAGGCAACCTACAGAATGGGAGAAGATTTTTGCAAAGGGATAATTTGACAGAGGGCTAATATCCAGAATCTACAAAGAACTTAAACAAATTTACAAGAAAAAAAAACAATCAGATCAAAAAGTTGGTGAAGGATATGAACAGACACTTCTCAAAAGAAGACATTTAAGCACCCAATAAACGTTTGAAAAAAATCTCATCACTGGTCATTAGAGAGATGCAAATTAAAACCACAATGAGATACCATCTCACTCCAGTTAGAATGGCAATCACTAAAAAGTCAGGAAACAACATATGCTGAAGAGGATGTGGAGAAACAGGAACAGTTTTATACAGTTTATGTGAGTGTAAATTAGTTAACCCATTGTGGAAAACAGTATGATGATTCCTCAAGGATCTAGAACCAGAAATACCAATGGACCCAGCAATTCCATTACTGGGTATATACTCAAAGGATTATAAATCAACCAACTATAAAGAAATATGCACACATATGTTTATTGCAGCGTGTTTCACAATATCAAAGACTTGGAACCAACCCAAATGTTCATCAATGATAGAATAGATAAAGAAAATGTGGCATGTATATGCTGTGGAATACTATGCAGCCACAAAAAGGGATGAGTTCATGTTCTTTGCAGTAACATGGATGAAGCTGGAAACCATGATTCTCAGCAAACTAACACAAGAACAGAAAATCAAACATTGCATGTTCTGACTCATAAGTAGGAGCTGATCAATGAGAACACATGGACACAGGGAGGGGAACATCACATACAGGGGTGGGGGGTTGGAGGGGTTTGAGAGGGTTAGCACTGGGAGAAATACCTAATGTAGATGATGAGGGTTGATGGGAACAGCAAACTACCATAATACCTGTATACCTGTGCAACAAACCCGCACGTTCTGCCCATGTATTCCAGAACTTAAAGTATATATATATATATATATATATATATATATACACACACACACACACACACATACACACATATATATACATACACACACACATACACACACACACATTATATACACACACACACACGCACATGTATATTTTATATATATATAAACTTGGAATCTGTGTTTTTTCTAAGTTTTCACATAAGCTAGGGTCCTCTGGTAATTACTACAATTACTACCAACCCTCCAATTCAGCAATTAATCCATTTACTCAGGAAGGTTGAGAACATTGTCACCTGGTTACTTTGTTGTTTCATTAATATCCCTCATTCTGTCGTTAAACACTCCTGCTACTTTCTGTTGTTAAACTCTCCCTTTCCTTAAAAATGCAAGAGGCATCTCTTTCTACCTGCTTTCTCAATGTAATGGCTTTCTCCCTGAAGATAACTGTTTTCTTTTTCTCCGGGTATTCTCTCACAATTCTAATTACTGGTCCTGGAATTTAAGTCTTTATTTTTTTTGTAATGGTGTTTGCCTGGCTATGACTTTTGTAGCCTCTTCTAAAATCTCTGCTACTCTAAAATTGAACATTTGGCCTCATCATTATCTATGGACCCTTTCCACCATTTTATCTACCAATACATTTTCAATGATTTTAATTTTGAATCAAATGTCCAACATCACTAGAAAGTTGTTGCATCCTGTGGAAAATTGTCTAGGGACTTCATTGAAAATATCTTTTGCATTTTTAAAATTATTTTTAGTCTATTTATCATACTTTTCTAATCAGATTTTTTCATAGCTGGAACAATGATTTAATTCTTCCATCTTTCTCTCTGTGTGTGTGAGAGAGAATGTGGACAACAGCCACCATATAACTGGCTGTGTCATATGCTCAGATACTGTGAAAAATAATGAGACATTGTTTAGGGATTTTAGATTTCAGATGACTAATTTTGTTTATCTCTTTGACTGTTAAGAATAATACTTCTAATTAAATTCATTTTAGATTTACTAAAACATTTTTAAGAGATGCCATCTAACAGAATGGCTACTAATAAAATGTCAAAAAATAAAAAATACTGGTGAGATTACGGAGAAAAAGATATGCTTGTACACTGTTGGTGGGAGTGTAAATTAGTTCAGTCTTTGTGAAAGACAGTGTGGCAGTTCCTCAAATATGTAAACATCAAAATACCGTTCAACCCAGAAATCCCATTACTGGGTATATACCCAAAGGAATATAAATTATTCTGGATGTTTACTGCAACACTATTCAAAATAGGAGGGAAATTGAATTAATCTAAATGCCCATGAGTGATAGACTGGATAAAGAAAATGTGATGACTGGGCATGGTGGCTCACACCAGTAATCCCAGCACTTTGGGAGGCTGAGGCAGGCAGATCACAAGGTCAGGAGATTGAGACCATCCTGGCTAACGTGGTGAAATCCCACCTCTACTAACAATACAAAAAATTAGCCGGGCATGGTGACTTGCACCTGTATTCCCAGCTACTCTGGAGGTTGAGGCAGTAGAATCACTTGAATCTGGGTGGGGGAAGTTGCAGTGAGCCGAGATGGTGCCACTGCTCTGGAGCCTGGCAACACAGCAAGACTTTGTCTCAAAAACAAACAAACAAACAAAAAACAAGAACAACAATATATACAAGATGGAATATCATGTAGTCATAAAAAAGAATGAGATTATACCCTTTGTGGGATCATGGATGGACCACTATACTTAGCAAACTAATGTGGGAACAGAAAAACCAAATACCACATATTCTCATTTATAAGTGGAAACTAAAAGGCAAGAGAATACATGGACACCCAGAAGGGAACAACACATAAGGAGGCCTTTTGGAGACTGGAGGTAGGAGAAGGGAGAGGCTCAGGAAAAATAATTAATGGATATTAGGCTGAATACCTGAGTGATGAAGTAATCTGTACAACAAACCACCATGATGGAAGTTTACCTATGCAACAAACCTGCACATGTGTCCTTGAACTTAAAAGTTTTTTAAAAAATTATCCAGTTTACTGTCATTAATTATTTCATAGCAAACAAACATTGTATTTTCTTTTTTCCAGTAAGAGAAAATTTCAAGTGACATTCCGGAAATTTGCATTCTTTAGATCTCTTTGTTTCTTCCAATTCTGGTCTTCATTTCAGCTTTAGCTAAACCCTAGCTCCAGGTCCCATGAGTGACCATCATAGTACGTCCTCTATCTTTGTTTCCTGGTGAGCTCACGTTTGTGTCTCTCTGAAGCACCCAGAATTCTTTCACTTGCAATGCCTAAGTCCAGACTTCCTATTCTTTATAGTCCAGAAACTTGAAATTTGCATTTTACAGACCCAAGCATCCATATTGTCTAGGAAACTGATGGATATGTCAGAAATAATGTAAGTCAGACTCCATCTCCAAGCCTACTTCTCTTGTATGTAACCCAGCTAGGAATTTATTTAGTTGGTCTTCACTGATCTGTGGCATTCTTTCTCCTTTCACAACTTTGCACATCAGTCCAGTGTGGATCGAAGTTTAAGAAACCAGAGCCCAAACCAGTAAACATTCTTGTCATAGGTCTCATTTCTTCTCACATAGTCTGCTTACTAGAAAGGCATTTTAGATATATCTTCTCATGCGGTTAAATGTCAGTCTTGAAGTTAGTAAAAATGAATCATGAACTGTAAGATGTCTGAAGTGTTGCAGATCACTGAAGTTTTGTTCAAGCAATCCTATACCTACCTATTCTAGGCAGATCACAGTTCTATTTGTATACACAACCCACCTTGAGCTTGAACATAGGCTTGATAAAGGATATGCACTGAACATCTCTTTAGTCAGTAGAGCAGTTCTTTGCTGAATGCAGTAAACCTGTTGACACTGAAAGTGTTCTACAAAGAAAGAAACAACATACATTGGGATCTACTTGGGGAGAAGGATGGGAGGAGGGAGAGGAGCAGGAAAGAACTGTTGGGCATGGGTCTTGATACTAGGATGATAAAATAATCTGTACAACAAAATCCTGTGATGTGTGTTACTGATGTAAAAACCTTCACATGTACCCCCAAACCTAAAAGTCAAGAAAAAGAGAAAATGTTCTATTACTTTAAGCAAAAACTCTGATTTTGACTTATTAGCAAATTTTAATAATGCCATATTATAATACTCACCATCTGTTTATTTGTGAGAAAATGACTGTTTAAAGTACTTGGTATTTCTTCAAATGTTACACATAACTAAGATTTAAAGCAGTAGTCCCCAAGTTTTTTGGCACCAGGACCAGTTTAGTGGAAGACAATTTTTCCATGGACAGTGGTGACAGGTTTTGGAGTGGGTGATTTCTGGATGATTCAAGCACATTACATTTATTGTGCACTGTATATCTATGATTATTATATTGTAATATATAATGAAATTATATATATACATAAAATATATAATGAAATAAGACACTTCACCATAATGGAATTGGTGGGAACCCTAAGCTTATTTTCCTGAAACTAGGTGGTCCCATCTAGAGGTGACAAGATACAGTGAAAGATCATCAGGCATTAGATTTTCGTAAAGAAGTTGCAGCTTATATCCCTTGCATGCACAGTTCATTATGGAGTTATTGCTCATATGAGAATCTACTGCTGCTGCTGATCTGACAGGAGGCAGAGCTCAGACAGTGATGTGAGCAATGAGGAGGGACTGTAAATACAGATCTAGCTTTTCTTGTTGAACCACCAATCACAGGCCCTAGACCAGTAGTGGTCCATGGCCCAGGGGCTGGGGACCCATGATTTAAAGCATCCTTGTGTCTTAAATATTGTGCAAATAGCACATGTCTAAAGTTTAGTTCTTAAGCAACAGGTCCTGGGTCAAGTATTCTTGTGTGGTGAGGTGCTGAGAAAATGCTCCCTGGAGAAACTCATAGAAGGCAAAGACAAGTAGGTAGAGAAGACCAGGAGCCCTCAGTTTGATCCCATAGGGAACTGTAGAGCCTAAGTGGTCCCAGAGGACATTTCTCAACTAAAACAAATGAAGCAGAGCACATTGGTCAGGCGTGGCTAGTAGTTGACTTAGGGTGTGCCCAGGAGTATCAACTCCCAGGGATCTCCAGGTAAGGAAGAAGCAAATAAATGGTTCTCTTAAAAATAGTGCAGGTATGAATTTGTAGTAGCAATAGCACAGCATCTCTATGAAGAGGATTTGCATGGAGAACCCAGCTTCTAGTAGCATGAAAAGTCTATTTTCAGCCTCAATTTTATGTGGTCTATAAAACTCTATCGGTACACAGCCTCTTGACTTACTCTTGAATAAAATGCCATTTCCTAGCCAGAGTTTCTCTTTCTCCAAGGTATTCAGCTGCTTTCTTCCTATGTCTTCACTTGTTACTTCGAGTTTGGCACAAGCAATTAATTTCTGTCTCTGAATGCAACCCTGTTTAATTCACCAAGGAGATATGCCTCTTAAGAGCATTTTAGCCTCACAATTAACACATAGTTTTTTAGTGGGTTTATAATCTGCTTCTCCTCAAGAAGAAGAAAAATCAGGATGAAAGCCCCCTGCAATTATTCATGGTATTACTATAATTTTTTTTGAGATGGAGTTTCACTCTTGTTGCCCAGGCTGCAGTGGCAACAGCGGGTCTCGGCTCACTGAAACCTCTGCCTCCCAAGTTCAAGCGATTCTCTTCTCTCAGCCTCCCAAGTGGCTGAGATTATAGGTTCCTGCCACTACACCCAGCTAATTTTTGTATTTTTGGTAGAGACAGGGTTTCACCATGTTGGTCAGCCGGGTCTCAAACTCCTGACCTCAGGTGATCCACATACATTGGCCTCCCAAAGAGCTGGGATTACAGGTGTGAGCCACCACGCCTGGTCTATTCATGGTATTTTTAATAGGCTCAGGGAAAGAAAAGTCACCATAGAAATACAAATTGCCCAATGTTTTTCTTTAATTGTACATATCACATATCAAACCTCCAATATCCATGTAACTCTTCTCTATTTTACCCCTCCAAATAAGAATACAGAAGAAAAAGTTTTGACAATTGATACCATCTTGATTTCAATATTTTATATGACCAAGTGCAGTGGCTCATGCCTGTAATCCCAAGATTTTAGCAGGCCCAGGCAGGCAGACCATTTGAGGTCAGGAGTTTGAGACCAACCTGGCCAACATGGTGAAACTCTGATTCCACTAAAAATACAAAAATTTGCCAGGCCACAGTGGCACACACCTGTCTCAGCTACCTGGGAGACTGAAGCTGGATAATTACTTGAAACCACAAGGCAGATATTGCCATGAGCCGAGATCATGCCACTACACTCCAGCTTGAGGAACACAACAAGAGTCCTTCTCAAAAAAAGTAATTTTTAAATTAATTTATTCACCTTCACTCTGGGGGTTTCTCCACATAAGCAATGTCTTTTTTTTTTTTTTTTTTTAGAGGGAGTCTTGCTCTGTCACACCCAGTCTGGAATGCAGTGGCATGATATTGGCTCACTGCAAGCTCCACCTCCTGGGTTCAAGCCATTCTCCTGCCTCAGACTCCCAAGTAGCTGGGACTACAGGGGCCCACCACCAGGCCTGGCTAATTCTTTTGTATTTTTAGTAGAGACAGGGTTTCACCACGTTAGCCAGGATGATCTCTATCTCCTGACTTCATGATCTGCCCACCTTGGCCTCCCAAAGTTCTGGGATTACAGGCTTGAGCCACCACACCCGGCCCATGTCTCTTCATTTTTAAAATTTGAAATCTGCTTTGTTGTCATGTTTAGGAAATGCTCCAATGACATATATTCCTCATTTTATTTTTATACTCACTTTCCACACAGAGTAACAGATTTTATTTGCAATTCTACCTATTTAAATTGCAGGTTACTATGAAAATTAGACCAGACTAGACATTTTCAGGCTTTGCAGCATGTAAGAATAAATTGGATGAACCATTCTACTTGGAGATTCTATGTCCTCATGTGGAGCAAGACTAGCTCTATCAGAGTGGTTGGAACAAGGATGGGTCTATTTAACAGTTAGTCCCATGTGATTGTGCAGTGAGTTGCCCATGGTGCAAATACTAAGACCTGCTGTGAGGGGATCAGTTTTAGGAAGACAAAGGATCATCTAACTTGTTTGCATTTTCTTAGTTGCATTAATGGGTGCTGAAATAACATTTTTTTCCCCTTAAATAGACCGTGGATAATCAATGCTTCCCTCATTCTCATGAAATCAAGCAGAGCAAAACCGTAAAATCCTTTCATTTCCTATTTGCATGTAAAGGTCTGGGTCAGGTTTTCCTGCCCTGATAAATGTGTGGCCTTCCTGTTTTTACTATTTTCCACATTTTCTGAATCTTATGAGATTTCTGCTTTGCATAATGTTGCACTACATGATATGTGTCCTGTTGCTTTCCAAACTTTTCATGTTTCAAACTTATTATCCTCAGTACTGTATTTTGTTTTACTCACAGCTCATTCATGGATAACTTACTTACACTTATATGCCCCTCCATATGACAGTGAACTCCTATTCATCCCTCAAAAACCTAAATAGCTAGTACCATCTCTGGAAAGTTATTTTCTTATACATTATCTCTTCATTCATCCCTGTATACCTCTTTATTTTATTTTTTCTGTCTGTACTCTCCCTATAATTTCAGTATTTCCATGTCTGCACTCATTTATTGAACATGAACGTGCATATCACCCCTCTAAAACTGCAAGAGGTGTTGGAGGGACATTATTTATTTTTCTGTTTATTCATTCATTTACTTACACATTTGCCTTATTTTCAGTGGTTAGTATATTGTCTGGTATATGGTAGGGATATAATTTTTTAGTTGAATTTATCTAAATCATCTTGTATCAGCAGTCATTGGCTGTTACAGTTGAGAGATTGGGCCCTACTCGTGTCCAGTTTGTAGAGACCAGGGGTGATGATAAAAATCCTACACTGTACAGTACAGTCCCCCTAGCAAACAATCATTGGGTCCAAAATGTCACCTGGCCAGAGGTGAGAATTCCTGACTGTGTTGTGTGCTTCCTGATGGTAAGCTCTACATAACTTGTAAGTTATGTTAGAAGTCACATAATTCGAGATTTTTGCAAAGAACACAATGAAGTATACTTCCAGAGTAGTGACAAGACAATGTGCCAAAGTCAATCTTATTAAATAAGTTGATGTCTGTTAATTCTGATGATAGTTTATTTTGCTGTGCAGAAGCTCTTTAGTTTGATTATATCCCATTTGTCAATTTTGGCTTTTGTTGCCATTGCTTTTGGTGTTTTAGTTATGAGGTATTTTTTCATGCCTATGTCGTGAATGGTATTGCCTATGCTTGCTTCTAGGGTTTTTTATGGTTTTGGATTTTGCCTTTAAGTCTTTAATCCATCTTGAGTTAATTTTTGTATAAGGTGGAAGGAAGGGGTCTGGTTTCTGTTTTCTGCATATGGCTAGCCAGTTTTCACAGCACAATTTATTAAATAGGGAATCTTCACCATTGCTTGTTTTTGTCAGGTTTTATGGAGGTAAGATGGTTGTAGATATGTGGTGTTATTTCTGAAGTCTCTGTTCTGTTCCATTGATCTGTATATCTGTTTTGGTACCAGTACCATGTTGTTTTGCTTACTGTAGCCTTGTAGTATAGTTTGAAATCAGGTAGCATGATGCCTTCAGCTTTGTTCTTTCTGCTTAGTACTGTGTTTTCTTTTTATTATTATTATTATTATTATTATTATTATTATTATACTTTAAGTTTTAGGGTACATGTGCACAATGTGCAGGTTAGTTACATACGTATATATGTGCCATGCTGGTGTGCTGCACCCATTAACTTGTCATTTAGCATAAGGTATGTCTCCTAATGCTATCACTCCCCAATCCCCCCACACCACAACAGTCCTCAGAGTGTGATGTTCCCCTTCCTGTGTCCATATGTTCTCCTTGTTCAATTCCCATCTGTGAGTGAGAACATGCGGTGTTCGTTTTTTTGTCCCTGTGATAGTTTTCTGAGAATGATGATTTCCAATTTCATCCATGTCCCTACAAAGGACATGAACTCATCATTTTTTATGGCTGCATAGTATTCCATGGTGTATATGTGCCACATTTTCTTAATCCAGTCTATCATTGTTGGACATTTGGGCTGCTTCCAAGTCTTAGCTATTGTGAATAGTGCCACAATAAACATATGTGTGCATGTGTCTTTATAGCAGCATGATTTATAGTCCTTTGGGTATATACCCAGTAATGGGAGGGCTGGGTCAAATGGTATTTCTAGTTCTAGATCCCTGAGGAATCGCCACACTGACTTCCACAATGGTTGAACTAGTTTACAGTCCCACCAACAGTGTAAAAGTGTTCCTGTTTCTCCACAACCTCTCCAGCACTTGTTGTTTCCTGACTTTTTAATGATCGACATTCTAACTAGTGTGAGACGGTATCTCATTGTGGTTTTGATTTGCATTTCTCTGATGACAAGTGATGATGAGCATTCTTTCATGTGTCTTTTGGCTGCATAAATGTCTTCTTTTAAGAAGTGTCTGTTCATATCCTTTGCCCACTTTTTGATGGGGTTGTTTGTTTTTTCCTTGTAAATTTGTTGGAGTATATTGTAGATTCTGGATATTAGCCCTTTGTCAGATGAGTAGGTTGCAATAATTTTCTCCCATTTTGCAGGTTGCCTTTCACTCTGTTGGTAGTTTCTTTTGCTGTGCAGAAGCTCTTTAGTTTATTTAGATCCCATTTGTCAATTTTGGCTTTTGTTGCCATTGCTTTTGGTGTTTTAGACATGAAGTCCTTCCCCATGCCTCTGTCCTCAATGGTAATGCCAAGGTTTTCTTCTAGGGTTTTTATGGTTTTAGGTCTAACATTTAAGTCTTTAATCCATATTGAATTAATTTTTGTATAAGGTGTAAGGAAGGGATCCAGTTTCAGCTTTCTACATATGGCTAGCCAGTTTTCCCAGCACCATTTATTAAATAGGGAATCCTTTCCCCACTGCTGGTTTTTCTCAGGTTTGTCAAAGATCAGATAGTAGTAGATATGCTGCATTATTTCTGAGGGCTCTGTTCTGTTCCATTGATCTATATCTCTGTTTTGGTACCAGTACCATGCTGTTTTGGTTCCTGTAGCCTTGTAGTATAGTTTGAAGTCAGGTAGTGTGATGCCGCCAGCTTTGTTCTTTTGGCTTAGGATTGACTTGGCGATGTGGGCTCTTCATTGGTTCCATATGCACTTTAAAGTAGTTTTTCCAATTCTGTGAACAAAATCATTGGTAGCTTGATGGGAATGGCATTGAATCTATAAATTACCTTGGGCAGTATGGCCATTTTCAGGATATTGACTCTTCCTACTCCTGAGCATGGAATATTCTCCCATTTGTTTGTATGCTGTTTTATTTCTTTGAGCAGTGGTTTGTAGTTCTCCTTGAAGAGGTCCTTCACATACCTTGTAAGTTGGATTCCTAAGTATTTTGTTCTCTTTGAAGCACTTATGAATGGGAGTTCACTCATGATTTGGCTCTCTGTTTGTCTGTTATTGGTTATAAGAATGCTTGTGATTTTTGTACATTGATTTTGTATCCTGAGACTTTCCTGAAGTTGCTTATCAGCTTAAGGAGATTTTGAGCTGAGACAATGGGGTTTTCTAGATATAGCATCATGTTGAGTCTGCAAACAGGGACAATTTGACTTCCTCTTTTCCTAATTGAATTCCCTTTATTTCTTTCTCCTGCCTAATTGCCCTGGCCAGAACTTCCAACACTATGTTGAATAGGAGTGGTGACAGAAGGCATTCCTGTCTTATGCCAGTTTTCAAAGGGAATGCTTCCCGTTTTTGTCCATTCTGTATGATATTGACTGTAGGTTTGTCATAGGTAACTCTTATTATTTTGAGATACATCCCATCAATACCTAATTAGTTGAGAGTTTTTGGCATGAATGGTTGTTGAATTTTATCAAAGGCCTTTTTTGCATCTATTGAGATAATCATGTGGTTTTTGTCTTTGGTTCTGTTTATATGTTGGATTACGTTTATTGATTTGCATATATTGAACCAGCCTTGCATGCCAGGGATGAAGCCCACTTGATCATGGTGGATAAGCTTTTTGATGTGCTACTGAATTCAGTTTGCCAGTATTTTATTGAGGATTTTTGCATCCATGTTCATCAAGGATATTGGTCTAAAATTCTCGTTTTGGTTGTGTCTCTGCCAGGCTTTGGTATCAGGATGATGCTGGCCTCATAAAATGAGTTAGGGAGGATTCCCTCTTATTCTATTGATTGGAATAGTTGCAGAAGGAATGGTACCAGTTCCTCCTTGTTCCTCTGGTAGAATTCAGCTGTGAATCCATCTGGTCCTGGACTCTTTTTGGTTGGTAAGCTATCGATTATTGCCACAATTTCAGATCCTGTTATTAGTCTATTCAGAGATTCAACTTCTTCCTGGTTTAGTCTTGGGAGAGTGTATGTGTTGTGGAATTTACCATTTCTTCTAGGTTTTCTAGTTTATTTGCATAGTGGTGTTTGTATTATTCTCTGGTGGTAGTTTGTATTTCTGTGGGATCAGTGGTGGTATCCCCTTTTTCATTTTTTATTGCATCTATTTGATTCTGCTCTCTTTTTTTAATTTATTAGTCTTGCTGGCAGTCTATCAATTTTGTTGATCGTTTCAAAAAACCAGCTCCTGGATTCACTAAATTTTGAAGGGATTTTTGTGTCTCTATTTCCTTTTGTTCTGCTCTGATTTTAGTTATTTCTTGCCTTCTGCTAACTTCTGAATGTGTTTGCTCTTGCTTCTCTAGTTCTTTTAATTGTGATTTTAGGGTGTCAATTTTGGATCTTTCCTGCTTTCTCTTGTGGGCATTTAGTGTTACAAATTTCCCTCTACACACTGCTGTGAATGTGTCTCAGATATTCTGGTATGTTGTGTCTTTGTTCTCATTGGTTCCAAAGAACAACTGTATTTCTGCCTTCATTTCGTTATGTACCCAGTAGTCATTCAGGAGCAGGTTGTTTGGTTTCCATGTAGTTGAGCGGTTTTGAGTGAGTTTCTTAATGCTGAGTTATAGTTTGATTGCACTGTGGTCTGAGAGATAGTTTGTTATAATTTCTGTTCTTTTACATTTGCTGAGGAGTGCTTTACTTCCAAGTATGTGGTCAATTTTGGAATAGGTGTGGTGTGGTGCTGAAAAAAAAAATGTATATTCTGTTGACTTGGGGTGGAGAGTTCTGTAGATATCTATTAGGTCTGCTTGGTGCAGAGTTGAGTTCAATTCCTGGGTATCCTTTTTAACTTTCTGTCTCATTGATCTGTCTAATGTTGACAGTGGGGTGTTAAAGTCTCCCATTATTATTGTGTGGGATTCTAAGTCTCTTTGTAGGTCACTCAGGACTTGCTTTATGAATTTGGGTGCTCCTGTATTGGGTGCATATATATTCAGTGTAGTTAGCTCTTCTTCTTTAATTGATCCCTTTACCATTATGTGGTGGCCTTCTTTTTCTCTTTTGATCTTTGTTGGTTTAAAGTCTGTTTTATCAGAGACTAGGACTGCAACCCCTGCCTTTTTTTTGTTTTTCATTTGCTTGGTAGATCTTCCTCCATCCCTTTATTTTGAGCCTATGTGTGTCTCTGCATGTGAGATGGGTTTCCCGAATACAGCACACTGATGGGTCTTGACTGTTTATCCAATTTGCCAGTCTGTGTCTTTTAATTGGAGCATTTAGTCTATTTACATTTAAAGTTAATATTGTTATGTGTGAATTTGATCCTGTCATTATGATGTTAGCTGGTTATTTTGCTCATTAGTTGATGCTGTTTCTTCTTGGTCTCAATGGTCTTTACATTTTGGCATGATTTTGCAATAGCTGGTACTGTTGTTCCTTTCCATGTTTAGTGCTTCCTTCAGGAGCTCTTTTAGAGCAGGCCTGGTGTTGACAAAAATCTCTCAGTATTTGCTCGTCTGTAAAGTATTTTATTTCTCCTTCACTTAGGAAGCTTAGTTTGTCTGGATATGAAATTCTGGGTTGAAAATTATTTTCTTTAAGAATGTTGAGTATTGGCCCCCACTCTTCTGGCTTGTAGAGCTTTTGCCAAGAGATGAGCTGTTAGTCTGATGGGCTTCCTTTTATGGGCAACCCGACCTTTCTCTCTGGCTGCCCTTAACATTTTTTCCTTCATTTCAACTTTGGTGAATCTGAAAATTACGTGTCTTGGAGTTGCTCTTCTCGAGGAGTATCTTTGTCACATTCTCTGTATTTCCTGAATCTGAATGTTGGCCTGACTTGCTAGATTGGGGAAATTCTCCTGGATAATATCCTGCAGAGTGTTTTCCAACTTGGTTCCATTCTCCCCATCACTTTCAGGTACACCAATCAGACGTAGATTTGGTCTTTTCACATAGTCCCTTATTTGATTCCACATAAAATTTAGAGTAGTTTTTTCTAAATCTGTGAGGAAAGTCAATGGTAGTTTGATGGGAATATACTTGGTGATAGATTGATTAATTGCATAATTGAAGAATTAATTTTTTTTGTAAAAATTTTATGTGAGGTTTTTGAAGATGTATGTCGGCTATATGCTAGAAGAATCTCATTCATTGCCTTCATTTTCAGAGTAAAATCCAGTGAACTTTGTCTGATATAGTTCATTCCTCCTTCATAGCCTTATCTCATGTTAGCAACAAATCCAAGGATATTTCTTCCATATGCCATATTCTCACTCACTTGAGTCAGAAGAATAGTATAAAATTTTTGTTTTGTTTTGTTTTGTTTTGCATTTTGCTTTTATTGATTCTACATTCTTTCTGACAAAGTGAAGAATATACCAAAAGGGAAAATTCAGCAAGTATTTCCAATGGAACAATCTCAGAGCTGTGTTGGAAATGGGAAAAGTCTGCCATTATGATGATATAGTTCTGCCTTCCCCATGGGACAACACAGGCAAAATTAGTTTTGGATTTATTTATTCTGTGTTATTTACAAGATTTGAAATACTTGTAACATTAACAACTCAACTCTTACCGAATGCTGAAAGATGCATTCATTTAGCCTTCACGTATACTTGAAGGTAAGCAGGCGATACGTGTTATTAAGAGAGGAACCATCTCAGCTCTCACAAATTATGCAGATCCGAGGAAGAATGAGAGATTTAATCCTTACATTATATTAAGTGTGCTGATGAGAGATCATACCTGATCAAGTCTGGTGAGTCAAATAAGGTTCGCAGAAATGAAAGATGGCTGAACAGCATGCAGAAAAGGTTGAGTGTAGCCTTGAGTAGAAGTTGAGTACCAAGGAAATAGTCAAGCTGTTATTAAACAATAAAACATGTTCCTCTATGAGGGCAATCTCAACATGTTTTATGGGCCAAATAATGTCCTATATGGCTGATATTTAGCACGCTAGAGGGATGGGAAAAAGTACGAGGAAGAATTATGTCATGGGAGCAGTAGGCAGAAGGCTTTGTAGTATTCCAGAAGACCTGATTCACATGAAAATAATTCACATGGAAAGAAATGTGGACATTTTTAGCGTGGGAGTAGTGTGATTCATGCTCTGTCTTAGAAGGACAACTCCGGGTACATAATGTTGACTGGTTTGGATGGGAAGGAAGATGGCACCAATGAGAAGAAAGTGGATGCTCTTTTTAGCATCAACCAGGCTTCCTCTGATCTTTGCAACCTTCTTATTGTAGTAATGTGATATAGTAGTGGTTAGAGTGTATGAGTGTCATGGGTAGGCATGTAAGAAACAGATGTGTTCACATGGTATTTACCAAGTGGAATTGACAGGATCTGCTGACGCATAGGGTCTCAGATGAGGGAAGACAGCAGGGTCCAGAAAAAAATCTTGTGAGCTTTTGACTAGGAAAGGGATAGCAAAGACATGAATTGAGACAATGTACACCAGGGTGGCAATAATCACCTGTGGCATAATGGCAAAGAGGGTTAGATGATGCACTTGGTCAGGTCAGTTAAAGAGGAAGAAGACATCCAAGTTAGGATGTCCTTTAGGTGGTAGAAAATGAGGTGTTGTTTTTTTATTTTTATTTTTATTTTTTTACATGTTGTGTAGATATACAGTGGGATTTCATTCAGCTTTAAAATAGAAAGAACCAGTGTCATCTGCAACAGCATGAATGAAACTGGAGAACATTAAGTGAAATAAGCCATCCATAGAGAGACAAATACCACAAAATCTAACTTATAATGTGAAATTTGAAAAAATCAAACTCATAGAAGTAGAGAATAGATGGTAGTTACCAAGTACTGGGGTGGAAGCCTTGGGGAGATATTGGTCAAAGCATACAAATTACAAATTAGATGACAAGAATAAGTTTGATAGATCTATTGCACAGCATGGTGACTATAGTTAATTATAGCATAATGTATATGTCAAAATTACTAAAACAGTAGATCTTAAATGTTCTCACCAAATGATAGGTTTTTGAAGAGTTGAAGATGTTAATTAGCTTAATTTAATCATGATATATACATATATATGGATATTAAGGCCTCCCATTGCAACCTATAAATATATACAATTATTGCCAATTAAAAACAAAATAAAATAATACTTTTAAAAGCTCTAGGCCAGGTGCAGTGGCTCATGCCTGTAATCCCAGCGTTTTGAGAGGCCAAGGCAGGTCGATCACCTGAGTTCAGGTGTTTGAGACCAGCCTGGCCAACAGGGCAAAAACTCACCTCTACTAAAAATAAAAAAAAAATAAGCTGGGCATGGTGACAGGCACCTGTAATCCCCGCTACTTGGGAGACTGAGGCAGGAGAATTACTTGAATCTGGGAAGTGGAGGTTGCAGTGTGCTGAGATAGTGCCACTGCTTTCCAGCCTGGGTGACAGAACCAGACTCTGTCTCAAAACAAAAAGAAGCTCTGAAAAGGTAACTTGAGGTTTCAGAATAATATACACTTTTCCTTCCTTCATGTAATTTTTTAAATCTTTAAACAACCAATTTATTTAATTAGAAAGCCACAAACATGCAAATGGCAGGTGTATAGAAATTTATTTGAATCAACATTTTCATTGTGGTGAAAATTATTTTTCAACATTGATCCAAGCTCCCACATCTGAAGGTTAGGGAAAATATTGAACTTTGCACTTTCTAATACTCCTCATACAGCACAAAAACTTTTAAAAACATTCTGCTAGTTTTGTTTTATAGTTTAGTTTTGTTTTATAGTTTAGTTTTGTTTTATACCATCACCCAAATTCATGCCTTCATGTAATTTTTTAAATGTTTTCTCTAGAGGTTTTCATCATCTTGAGTGAAGAGACCTGGATTTGCCAATTTCTTGTGAAAGTACTTGAACTTGAGGAAGACAACTGGAAAATATTACCTGTTATTTCCTATCATGAAAATGAACTTGAAGCAGAATCTTGCCATTCTGGGCTGGGTGTGGTGTCTCATGCCTGTAATCCCAGAACTTTGGGAGGCCAAGGCAGGCAGATCACTTGAGCTCATGAGTTTGAGACCATCCTGGGCAACATGGCAAAACCTCATCTCTACAAAATTCCAAAAAATTAGCTGGGTGTTGTGGTGTGTGCCTGTAATTCCAGCTACTTGGGAGGCTGAGGTGAGAGGATGGCTTAAGCCCAGGAGGCGGAGGCTGCAATGAGTCAAGATCACACCACTGCACTCCAGCGTCGGTAACAGAGACCTTGTCTCAAAAACAAAAAGCAAAACAAACATCTCTGTAGAACAATTGACCTCCCAGTAGTAAGATTAGACAAGGTCAATATGTGGTCACAATTGGTATGAGCAATATTTCTTCAGTGTAAGACATTTCTGCATTATTTAATTGGCCCTAACTATTGGACAACTATGTCTTTCATTTAGCCTGTCTTCATTGAACTCCATGTTCTTAGGAAAATGTGTGTTGTTTGCATATTTTTTCCAAACAATCTTTGAATATTTTAAGACAAGGGTATTTTCCTCATATTGCTTTATTAACTTTATATGAGTAGGCTGATTTTCCAAAAACTGGGTACTGTATACAGTTGTACTGCTAATTATTGCTTTTCTGGAAAGATATTTGGAGTGCTTGGGGGAAAATTATGTTGGCATGAAGCTGTTTGGTTGTAGTACCTAAAATGGGAAAAAGATGCTTCAATTCTTTTTTTCAAATACTGTTATGGGATGATAAAGTCTGGAGATCTGGGTTCAAACAGCAGCAATCTTGATAATTTGGTGGATCATTCTTTGTTTTGACATTATACTGTCCCATTCATTTGTCCTGGATCATTCTTTGTTGTGGCATTATACTGTCTCATGCACTGTGGGATGTTTATCTCCCTTCCTGCCCTCTACACACTGGAAGCAAATAGCACCCCTCACTCTGAACCTTGCCAAGGAAAAATGTCTCAAGATTAAAATTAAAAGTCAGGAAGGAAGGCATCCAAGTTAGGATGTCCTCTAGGTGGTAAAAGGAGAGTAGAACAATGATGCATATATACACAATAGGATTTTATCAGCCTTAAAATACAAGAAAATTCTGTCATATGTAAAGGCATGGATAAAGCTGGAAGACATCATGCTAGGTGAAACAAGCCAGGCACAGAGAGACCAATACCACATGATCTCACTTATATGTGGAATCTGAAAAAGTCAAACTCATAGAAGTAGAGAGTAGAAATGACCCAGTGGGGATTCCGTTGCCAGGTTTGGCAAATAAACAGAGCAAGTTAATTTTGAATATCAGGAAAACATGAGTAATTATTTAGCATATGTATGTCCCTTGCAATATTTTGTCTGGAAAGCCCACCTGCTGTATAAACATCACATGCAGCTTGCTATACTTGTTTCTTTCTCAGTACATTTACAAATATCTCAGGATCTCAGTTCTTGCGGGAAGACAAGGCATTCTGCATTAGGAGAGTACTCAACATTATTCAACCTGTATATTTTTAGGTAGTATCACAAATTCAAAACAATCAAGTGCCCACATTCTCCCCATTTATTGTTAATTGAATATTTTTCACCTTCCCTTATACACCAAACTCAGATGGTGTTAAACGCTGATATTTGCTAAATTAACCCATGTCTTGAGGAGGATGTTGTATGGCAAATTTCTCAATGACCCTTTAGAAATCTTCTTGTGGGAAATGGCTGAAAATTCTAATTATATGTTACGGGCTTGATAAATTTCTTGTCTGTAATAGTTTTTCCACCAGATTATTTCTGCTGGGAAATCTTCATTTGGTAAAAATAAAGTGTATTCTTTTGCTTGAGGAAGAGAGTGGCCTTTATCTTCCAGCCTGCTGGTCCTAATCTAATTACGTGGTGTGAAGAGCCATTTTGAGCAGTGAGACCAGACTGCACTGGCAATGAGTAATAACTCCTAACACAACAGCCAACAGACTCACAAAATTAAAAGGTACATTCACAGACTGCACTGGCAATAGGTAATAACTCCTAACACAACAGCCAGCAGACTCACAAAATTAAAAGGTATCATTTCACATTTCTGGCAAGTTTTACAGCTGATGTAAACATCAAGTAGTTTTTACTCAGAGATTAATGCATAAAGTAGATGCATAAAAGTTGCAATGTATATACAAACTAAGTACACGTATCTGTGTGTTTTTTTTTTTTTTAAATTGGGTCTACTGGCCAGGTGCAGTGGCTCATGCCTGTAATCCCAGCACTTTGGGAGGCCGAGGTGGGTAGATCATGAAGTAAGGACTTCAAGTCCAGCCTGACCAACATGTTGAAACCCTGTCTTTACTAAAAATACAAAAATTAGCTGGGTGTGGTGGCACACACCTGTAGTCCTATCTACTCAGGAGGCTAAGGCAGGTGAATTGCTTGAACCAAGGAGGTAGAAGTTTCAATGAGCCAAGATCACACCACTGCACTCCAACCTGGGTGATAGAGTGAGACTCTGTCTCAGAAAAGAAAAATGTGTCTATCTCCATTCCCTGAAACTCTGAACATAGAAAGAACTCAATAAATGCTAATTGCTAAATGGAGATTAAAATAGAGGGTCTCCATCTTAAGCAGAAGCTTATACTTTTCTCCTGGTGAATCACATGATTCTTAGCCTTTCTCCTGTTTTCTTTCTACAAAATAAATTGTCTGTATCTATGATAGTGATGATGGTGATGATGGTGACAGTGATGTTGATGATGGTGATGATGACGGTTATAATGACGATAGTGATGGTGATGATGGTAATGATGGTGATGCTCATGGTAGTGACTATGATGTTAATGGTGATGGTGATGATGGTGGTGGTGATATCAATTACGGTTATGGTAATGATAATAATGGCAGTGATGATGGTAATAACGATAATGATAATGTTGATGATCATGATGGTGGTGCTGGTGATAATGATAGTAATGATGGGGATGGTGATGATGGTGGTGATGGTGATGGTAATGGTAATGATAATTATGATGATGATAATAACAATGGCAATGGGATGATAATGATGATGATGATGGTGACAATGTTGGTAATGATAATGATAAAAATGAGATGATGCTTTTATCTATGTTTCATTTATTTATTTAAAATTTTAACAAGCTTTTAGGAAGTATTCTGCACTAAGATTTTTAGCAACTTAAAACACCCCATGCACAAGTCTAAAATCTTTTTAAGGAAGCAAAATGTCTGCTGGGCTCTGTGGCTTATGCCTGCAATCCCATCACTTTGGGAGGCCAAGGTGCATGGATCACAAGGACAAGAGATTGAGACCATGTTGGCCAACATGGTGAAACCCTGTCTCTACTAAAAATAAAGAAAATTAGCTGGGTGTGATGGTGCATGCCTGTAGTCCCAGCTACTTGGGAGGCTGAGGCAAGAGAATCACTTGAACCCAGGAGGTGGAGGTTGCAGTGAGCCAAGATCGCACCACTGCATTCCAGCCTGGTGACAGTCAGAGACTCCATCTTGAGGGGTAAAACAAAGAAAATAAGTAAACAAGATGTCACATACATAAAAAGATAAGCAACACTGTGAGTGATGAGTAATTGAGAAGCAGTCTTGAAGTGAAGGGAAATGTACTGTAAGTTTCCTGTATCTGGGCTCTCCTATATGTATCTGTACTAGTTCATGCTATGCTCTAGTCCCAGCATTTTATCTCTCCTTTGTAACACATTGTTTCATCAGGCTTATTCATCTCTGATGTGAAACCACTCTACTCTCTCTAGCAAATAATGGCTAGCTGTAATGACTACCCACTAGCTGTAATGACTTTGCCCGTTCCTCACCTTTATTTAAATTCTTTCTATCATTCAAAAATGATTCCTCAACATCGGCCTCCTCTGATTTCCACATCCAACCTACATCGATATGCTTTCCTTTAGGACACACTATTTCTGGGGTCTAGTTTGGATGGAATTACAAACAAACTAATTTACCTTGGCGCTTAGCAATTCCATTAATATATGCATTAATTTAACCATCTAATATAACATACAAATAAGCAACTGGGTTTGGATGACCAGAAAAATTGAAAGAGAAAGGATCTATGTGTTTGTATTTTTAACTTTTAATCAATAGATATAAGCAATTTTTTAAAATTCTGCCTCATAAATTTAGGATAGAAATGAATGAAAAGCAACAATGGAGCAATTCCTTCCCTGTGCTTACCAAATCACATCTATTAACAACATATTGATAAATTTCAATAATTTGATAATTCTATATGATCAGTTGCCTTTCTGAAGGCTAAGTTTTCCTTTACTGTATTATTTTTCAGGCTTTGACAAACAATTTTGCTTAAAAATTCTAATAACTCTTCTTGTATTAGTGTATTCATATTTTAATATTTTTAAAGATTGTAAGTAAATAATGTGAAAGGAGGAGAAAAAGAAACAAAGGGGAGAATAACAGCACTAAGTCATCAATCTGTACTTCTTAGTGTTGACTGGGGCAAAATTATCTTCATTTTTTTTAGAAAAGAAAAAAATATTGTCTTTTTTCCACTTGTATTATGTGGTCCACAGCACATAGTCAACACTCATTGGACACCTGCCCAGTGAGCACATAGTCAACACAGCACACAGTCAACATTCATTGGACACCTGCCCACTCTGTTTCCAGCATTGGGTACACACTTGAGCCACTAACTAGGGGAAGAGGACACTTCTGTCCTGGAATGCAGCTGGTAACTGGATTCTTGCATGGAGAAAAGACGGGCATTGTTTGAAAGTTATTTGGCTTAATAAACACTTGTAAGTAAGCAACAGTCAAGGTGACATTTGATACCAAGTTTTGAAGAAGAGTGAAGTGCCCTCAGTGAACATGAGGCAAAGGTTTTTTCTACTTCTGGGAAGAAGGGATAAAAGGAGACAGTAGAAAAGGAAACCGGATAAGAGAAGAATCAAAGGAAGATGAACATTGGGTATTGCTGTGTGTGTGTGGTTTGTATGGAAGAAAACTCCACATGGTTAAGATATTGGGATTTAGAGAAGAGACATTTATAAAATACAGTCTTATTTACTGATTTAATAATTTTGACTTTTATTTGGATTTGGGGGGAGTGTGTGCAAGTTTGTTACATGGGTATACTGCATGATGCTGAGGTTTGGGGTTCAATTGATCCCACCGAGTTAGTAAGTATAATATCCAATAGTTTGTTTGTAACACTTGTCACCCTTTCTCCTTCTGCTTTCTAGTAGTTTCCAGTGTCTATTCATGCCATCTTTTTGTCCATGAATATGTGATGATTAACTCCTACTTAAAAGGGTGAACATAGAGTATTTGTTTTTCAGCTCCTGTGTTAATTCTCTTAGAATACTGGTCTCCACCTGCATCTAGGTTGCTGCAAAGGACATGATTTTATTCTTTCTCATGGCTGTACAGTATTCCATGGTATATATTTATCAGATTTGCTTTATCCACTGTATTGAGTTTCATAATAATGAAAGAAAGCAAAACAGTTCTTCAGGAAGATACATTGGAAAAAATATGAACATGTGCTAAAAACAAAATGCTACACTGTAAAAATAGGTATTGCCACTTATTTTTCTTCTCTGAAATCAGAAAAATTGATATTTCCTACTATGAATGCATCCATAAGAAGATCTGGTTCCGATAGGTTGAATCATCAATATTATCATGATGTGCTTTTGTAAAGTAAGGGAAAATGTAGTTTTAGTAATTATTATAAAACAAATTCCCTAGCTTCTCCATTAATCTTTAGAAGCTCCAAAATGAAATGATGAGATTTTTGTCTTATATTAGTTCAAATTATGATGTATGTTGAAAGTCATAAAATAAGTCAGATTTCTAAAGATATTTCCCAAGGTAGTATTCCTTCTAAATTAAAATAATTTGCTATAAGTATGTAAAGATGCAACTTTGGAAGAGTAATCTGGAATTAAAATTGTATGAAAAATATTCAAATATTAGGCAGGTGCAAAAGTAATTGCGGTTTTTGCCATTAAAAGTAATGACATTGAAAGTAGTGGCAAAAACCACAATTACTTTTGTGGCTTTTGCAATTAAAAATAATGCCATTGAAAGTAGTGGCAAAAACCACAATTACTTTTGTGCCAACCTAACACAAACTTCTTGCTCTGGAAATTAGTACATACATATTTCTCATACAAGTCATGTGTAACTTAACATACTATGGAGGAATAATGAGATTTCTTTTGGTAGATAATCTGACAAATCTGTTGCACAATGAATATGAGCTGTTATATTTTGCTTCTAACCTAAATGGGGGCTTTATTGTAAAAGTAGAACATTACACGGCAAGTGTCATAAAACACAAAACTTGAAGGGACTGAAACCACACTGCTAAAGCATCCTATATATTTTCTTCCTCATATTCTAGAAAAGCACAAATTCAGTAGAATCCACTATTCAGGAATCTCCAGGTTTGCTTTTAGTACAAGTTAGTGTTAATATATCAACATATTCATATTGGCCTTAGGTCAAGTCAGTGATGGGGACACCTTGACTCAACAGAGACTTAAACCTAAGTCATTTTGGGTGACAAAGATGCTACTGTTGCTGATCTTTTAGTTTTGGAGCCACTTTCAGAATTTGACAGATTATTGTAACAGATGTGGTAAAATTTTACGAAGCCTGGTTCAGTGAATAGAATCATTAAGATGTTTCTCCTAAAACAGAGGTAAGTAAATGATGCTTTATGTAGTTCTATGTTGGTCCTCTGTTTAAGGATGATGTTTAAGGATGGCCAGCCCTAAAAGGATGAGCAGCCACTTGCCTTCCAGTTTTGTAGATAACGATTAATATATCTTCCCTTCATTCAAAGGAATCACTTGGCTGTCACTTCCGATGATCCGCAAACTTCAGACCTCCAGGGACATTAAAGCCGGTCACAGGTGATAAACTCCATTCTTAGCACTTTGTCTGATTATTTAGAAACAAAACAATAAACAATAACAAAACAATGGTTCCCTGTTAAAATGTGAATTTCAGATAAACAATGAGCACATTTTTAAAGGTATGAGTATATCCCAGATATTACATGGGACATGCTTATACTAAGAAAAAAAAATTGTGAATCTGAAATTTAAGGGCATCTTTCATTTTAGGTACCAGCTCTTCCTAATTGTCAGTCCCAGAGGTGACCCATTGTCAGGTCAACCTATTTGAAAGCCCTGGCAGCAGATAAAACTTGGCCACATTTATCCCGCGAATGTACCTTGTTCCTACTACAAAGCAAATCCACTAGTGTTCAGATGTGTCATAAGGAATCTCAGTTGCATATCACTTGCTGGGAGGAGACTGATTAAACTTCAGTTATTTGCTTATAACCATAACCTATATCTACATCATATAGCCAGCTCATTTAGCAAGCTTCAGGAATTTGTGAAATAAGGCTCAAAACATCACATGTACCACATAAATATGTACACCTACCATTTACCCACAAAAATCTAAAAAAAAAAACTCAAGAGAAACAATAACCCATTGGAAGACATCAGTGTGAAAACACGCACACACACACACACACACACACACAGATACACACACAGCACAACAGGATTTTGGCAGTTATTTTTGTCCCCCCTAAAAAGCTAACATTTTCACAATTCAACTGGAAAAAAAATGTGTTATTTGATGGAGTCCTAGGTGGCATTAGAAAAAAGCAGCTTGAAATCTTACTGTCGGGCGGAGGAGCCAAGATGGCCTAATAGGAACAGCTCAGGTCTACAGCTCCCAGCATGAGCGAAGCAGAAAACGGGTGATTTCTGCATTTCCATCTGAGGTACCGGGTTCATCTCACTAGGGAGTGCCAGACAGTGGGCGCAGGTCAGTAGGTGCGCACACCATGAGCGAGCCAAAGCAGGACGAGGCATTGCCTCACTCAGGAAGTGCAAGGAGTCAGGGAGTTCCCTTTCCTAGTCAAAGAAAGAGGTGATGGACGACACCTGGAAAATTGGGTCACTCCCACCCGAATACTGCACTTTTCCAATGGGCTTAAAAAATAGCCCACAAGGAGATTATATCTCACACCTGGCTCGGAGGGTCCTACGCACACCGAGTCTTGCTGATTGCTAGCACAGCAGTGAGATCAAACTGCAAGGCAGCAGTGAGGCTGGGGTAGGGGCGCCCGCCATTGCCCAGGCTTGCTTAGATAAACAAAGCAGCCAGGAATGTCAAACTGGGTGGAGCCCATCACAGCTCAAGGATGCCTGCCTGCCTCTGTAGGTTCCACCTCTGTGGGCAGGGCACAGACAAACAAAAAGACAGCAGTAACCTCTGCGGACTTAAATGTCCCTGTCTGACAGCTTTGAAGAGGGCAGTGGTTCTCCCAGCACGCAGCTGGAGATTTGAGAACCAGCAGACTGCCGCCTTAAGTGGGTCCCTGACCCCTGACCCCAAGCAGCCTAACTGGGAGGCACCCCCCAGCAGGGGCAGACTGACACCTCACACGGCTGGGTACTCCAACAGACCTGCAGCTGAGGGTCCTGTCTGTTAGAAGGAAAACTAACAAACAGAAAGCACATCCACACCAAAAACCCATCTGTACATCACCATCATCAAAGACCAAAAGTAGATAAAGCCACAAAGATGGGGAAAAAACAGAGCAGAAAAATTGGAAACTATAAAAAGCAGAGCGCCTCACCTCCTCCAAAGGAACACAGTTCCTCACCAGCAACGGAACAAAGCTGGACGGAGAATGACTTTGACGAGTTGAGAGAAGAAGGCTTCAGATGATCAAATTACTCTGAGCTTTGGGAGGACATTCAAACCGAAGGCAAGGAAGTTGAAAACTTTGAAAAAAATTTAGAAGAATGTATAACTAGAATAACCAATACAGAGAAGTGCTTAAAGGAGCTGATGGAGCTGAAAACCAAGGCTCGAGAACTATGTGAGGAATGCAGAAGCCTCAGGAGCCGATGTGATCAACTGGAAGAAAGGGTATCAGCGATGGAAGATGAAGCGAATGAAATGAAGCGAGAAGGGAAGTTTGGAGAAAAAAGAATAAAAAGAAATGAACAAAGCCTCCAAGAAATATGGGACTATGTGAAAAGACCAAATCTATGTCTGATTGGTGTACCTGAAAGTGACGGGGAGAATGGAACCAAGTTGAAAAACACTCTGCAGGATATTATCCAGGAGAACTTCCCCAATCTAGCAAGGCAGGCCAACATTCAGATTCAGGAAATACAGAGAACACCACAAAGATACTCCTCGAGAAGAGCAACTTCAAGACACATAATTGTCAGATTCACCAAAGTTGAAATGAAGGAAAAAATGTTAAGGGCAGCCAGAGAGAAAGGTCGGGTTACCCTCAAAGGGAAGCCCATCAGACTAACAGTGGATCTCTTGGCAGAAACTCTACAAGCCAGAAGAGAGTGGGGTCCAATATTCAACATTCTTAAAGAAAAGAATTTTCAAATCTGAATATCATATCCAGCCAAACTAAGCTTCATAAGTGAAGGAGAAATAAAATACTTTAAAGAGAAGCAAATGCTGAGAGATTTTGTTACCACCAGGCCTGACCTAAAACAGCTCCTGAAGGAAGCGCTAAACATGGAAAGGAACAACCATCACCAGCCACTGCAAAATCATGCCAAAATGTAAAGACCATCAAGACTAGAAAGAAACTGCATCAACTAACGAGCAATATAACCAGCTAACATCATGATGACAGGACCAAATTCACACATAACAATATTAACTTCAAATGTAAAGGGACTAAATCCTCCAAATAAAAGACACAGACTGGCAAATTGGATAAAGAGTCAAGACCCATCAGTGTGCTCTATTCAGGAAACCAATCTCATGTGCAGAGATACACATAGGCTCAAAATAAAAGGATGCAGGAAGATCTACCAAGCAAATGGAAAACAAACAAAAAAAGGCACGGGTGGCAATCCTAGTCTCTGATAAAACTGACTTTAAACCAACAAAGATCAAAAGAGACAAAGAAGGCCATTACATAATGGTAAAGGGATCAATTCAACAAGAAGAGCTAACTATCCTAAATATATATGCACCCAATACAGGAGCACCAAGATTCATCAAGCAAGTCCTGAGTGACCTACAAAGAGACTTAGACTCCCACACATTAATAATGGGAGACTTTAACACCCCACTGTCAACATTAGACAGATCAATGAGACAGAAAGTAAACAAGGATACCCAGGAATTGAACTCAGCTCTGTACCAAGCAGACCTAATAGACATCTACAGAACTCTCCACCCCAAATCAACAGAATATACATTTTTTTTCAGCACTACACCACACCTATTCCAAAATTGACCACATACTTGGAAGTAAAGCTCTCCTCAGCAAATGTAAAAGAACACAAATTATAACAAACTGTCTCTCAGACCACAGTGCAATCAAACTGGAACTCAGGATTAAGAATCTCACTCAAAACCACTCAACTACATGGAAACTGAACAACCTCCTCCTGAATGACTACTGGGTTCATAACGAAATGAAGGCAGAAATAAAGATATTCTTTGGAACCAATGAGAACTATGACACAACATAGCAGAATCTCTGGGATGCATTCAATGCAGTGTGTAGAGGGAAATTTATAGCACTAAATGCCCACAAGAGAAAGCAGGAAAGATCCAAAATTGACACCCTAACATCACAATTAAAAGAACTAGAAAAGCAAGAGCAAACACATTCAAAAGCTAGCAGAAGGCAAGAAATAACTAAAATCAGAGCAGAACTGAAGGAAATAGAGACACAAAAAACCCTTCAAAAAATTACTGAATCCAGGAGCTGGTTTTCTGAAAGGATCAACAAAACTGATAAACCACTAGCAAGACTAATAAAGAAAAAAAGAGAGAAGAATCAAATAGACACAACAAAAAATGATAAAGAGGATATCACCACCAATCCCACAGAAATACAAACTACCATCAGAGAATATTGCAAACACCTCTACACAAATAAACGAGAAAATCTAGAAGAAATGGATAAATTCCTCGACACATAAACTCTCCCAAGACTAAACCAGGAAGAAGTTGAATCTCTGAAATGACCAATAACAGGATCTGAAATTGTGGCAATAATCGATAGCTTACCAACCAAAAAGAGTCCAGGACCAGATGGTTTCACAGCCGAATTCTACCAGAGGTACGAGGAGGAATTGGTACCATTCCTTCTGAAACTATTCCAATCAATAGAAAAAGAGGGAATCCTCCATAACTCATTTTATGAGGCCAGCATCATCCTGATACCAAAGCCGGGCAGAGACACAACCAAAAAAGAGAATTTTAGACCAATATCCTTGATGAACATTGATGCAAAAATCCTCAATAAAATACAGGCAAACTGAATCCAGCAGCAAATCAAAAAGCTTAAATCCACCATGATCAAGCGGGCTTCATCCCTGGGATGCAAGGCTGGTTCAATATACGCAAATCAATAAATGTAATCCAGCATATAAACAGAACCAAAGACAAAAACCACATGATTATCTCAATAGATGCAGAAAAGGCCTTTGACAAAATTCAACAACCCTTCATGCTAAACACTCTCAATAAATTAGGTATTGATGGAATGTATTTCAAAATAATAAGAGCTATCTATGACAAACCCACAGTCAATATCATACTGAATGGGCAAAAACTGGAAGCATTCCCTTTGAAAGCTGGCATAAGACAGGGATTCCCTCTCTCACCACTCCTATTCAATGTAGTGTTGGAAGTTCTGGCCAGGGCAATTAGGCAGGAGAAGGAAATAAAGGGTATTCAATTAGGAAAAGAGGACGTCAAATTGTCCCTGTTTGCAGATGACATGATTGTATATCTAGAAAACCCCATTGTCTCAGCCCAAAACCTCCTTAAGCTGATAAGCAACTTCAGCAACGTCTCAGAATACAAAATCAATGTACAAAAATCACAAGCATTCTTATACACCAACAATAGACAAACAGAGAGCCAAATCATGAGTGAACTCCCATTCAGAGTTGCTATAAAGAGAATAAAAAAACTAGGAATCCAACTTACAAGGGATATGAATGACCTCTTCAAGGAGAACTACAAACCACTGTTCAAGGAAATAAAAGAGGATACAAACAAATGGAAGAACATTCCATGCTCATGGGTAGGAAGAATCAATATCGTGAAAATGGCCATACTGCCCAAGGTAATTTACAGATTCAATGCCATTCCCATCTAGCTACCAATGACTTTCTTCACAGAATTGGAAAAAACTACTTTAAAGTTCA
Organism: Homo sapiens; assembly: GCF_000001405.40. Lineage (NCBI taxonomy): Eukaryota > Metazoa > Chordata > Mammalia > Primates > Hominidae > Homo > Homo sapiens. The sequence goes on from NC_000024.10 coordinate 16,989,576, forward strand.
TACGGAACCAAAAAAGAGCCCACATTGCCAAGTCAATCCTAAGCCAAAAGAACAAAGCTGGAGGCATCACACTACCTGACTTCAAACTATACTACAAGGCTACAGGAACCAAAACAGCATGTTACTGGTACCAAAACAGAGATATAGATCAATGGAACAGAACAGAGCCCTCAGAAATAACGCCGCATATCTACAACTATCTGATCTTTGACAAAAGTGAGAAAAACAAACAATGGGGAAAGGATTCCCTATTTAATAAATGGTGCTGGGAAAACTTCCTAGCCATATGTAGAAAGCTGAAACTGGATCCCTTCCTTACACCTTATACAAAAATCAATTCAAGATGGATTAAAGACTTAAACGTTAGACCTAAAACCATAAAAACCCTAGAAGAAAACCTAGGCTTTACCATTCAGAACATAGGCATGGGGAAGGACTTCATGTCTAAAACACCAAAAGCAATGGCAACAAAAGCCAAAATTGACAAATGGGATCTAATTAAACTAAAGAGCTTCTGCACAGCAAAAGAAACTACCATCAGAGTGAACAGGCAACCTATAAAATGAGAGAAAATTTTCACAACCTACTCATCAGACAAAGGGCTAATATCCAGAATCTACAATGAACTCAAACAAATTTACAAGGAAAAAACAAACAACCCCATCAAAAAGTGGGCAAAGGACATGAACAGACAATTCTCAAAAGATGACATTTATGCAGCCAAAAGACACATGAAAAAATGATTACCATCACTGGCCATCAGAGAAATGCAAGTCAAACCACAATGAGATACCATCTCACACCAGTTAGAATGGCAATCATTAAAAAGTCAGGAAACAACAGGTGCTGGAGAGGATGTGGAGAAGTAGGAACACTTTTACACTGTTGGTGGGACTGTAAACTAGTTCAACCATTGTGGAAGTCAGTGTGGCGATTCCTCAGGGATCTAGAACTAGAAATACCATTTGACCCAGCCATCCCATTACTGGGTATATACCCAAAGGACTATAAATCATGCTGCTATAAAGACACATGCACATGTATGTTTATTGCGACATTATTCACAATAGCAAAGACTTGGAACCAACCCAAATGTCCAACAATGATAGATTGGATTAAGAAAATGTGGCACATATACACCATGGAATACTATGCAGCCATAAAAAATGATGAGTTCATGTCCTTTGTAGGGACATGGATGAAATTGGAAATCATCATTCTCAGTAAACTATGGGAAGAAAAAAAACCAAACACCGCATATTCTCACTCATAGGTGTGAATTGAACAATAAGAGCACATGGACACAGGAAGGGGAACATCACCCTCTGGGGCCTGTTGTGGGGTGAGGGGAAGGAGGAGGGACAGCATTGGGAGATATACCTAATGCTAGATGACGAGTTAGTGGGTGCAGCACACCAGCATGGCACATATATACATATGTAACTAACCTGCACATGTGCACATGTACCCTAAAACTTAAAATATAATAATAAAAAAATATAAAAAATAAAAATAAATTTAAAAAAGCAGCTTATCTTGGTACATTAAAAAATTGACTGGTAGAAATTATTTGAGAATATTGTCCTTTATGTGTATAAGCAGCTGCCAATAGTTAAATTTAGATTATAAAAAGTATATTTCTTATTAGTTATTTAAAGTTGTATTTCTTTTTACTTTACTTTCCGTGTCTATTTTTACCCTGGGAAAAAAGTAAAATGGTGTTTTACGTGTCTAAGTAACACCTTTGTTCCTGGTCACAACTGCTTCAAAGATGGAAAAATACAAATTTGGAGTTTCTCTAATTGGACTACATTGTTCAATGACAGAAGGATGCTTCATGCCAGAAGGATGCCCAGATTCCACTGGATTTGAGCAGCGGTGAGACTTTAAAATACTAGGTTTGAAGAATTTGATGACTTACTGAAATGTTGACATGTAAACTTACATTAAGATTTATTTTGAATTTCTATCCCCACAGTAAAAACCACAAGGAAGGAAATCTGGCTTGTATTTATTGCTCAGTAAGAGTTGTTATATCCGTTAAAATAATGCTGCAAGGTACTGGTCTGTGCTTTCTGAGGTCTTTGCAGAGCGGGATCTTTAAATTTTCATTTTGGTGGCATTATTAAAGTCAGATGTAATCTCACAGGGTGGAGCACATGGTTCATTTTTCCATGTTGTAGACACATTTTTCATCATAACATAATACCACAAATAAAGTCATTTTCTGACCAGTGGATCTGAACTAGGAGTAATTTTCCTCACTAGGCAAAATTTAGAAAGGTTTTACAAGTCATTCTCACATTGCTTGTTGGGACGCAGTATTCAGGTTTGCTACATAAATTGTGTGTCATGGGAGTTTGGTGTACAGATTATTTTGTCACCCGGGTGATAAGCATCATATCGAATAGTAGTTTTTTTTTTGTTTTTTTTTTTTTGTTTGTTTGTTTGTTTGTTTGTTTATTGCTGTGGTTGTTGCTGTTGTTGTTCTTTGAGATTGAGTCTTTCACTCTGTAGTCAGGCTGGAATGCCGTGGTGAGAACATGCAGGTTTTGGATTTCTGTTCTTGCATTAGTTTGCTAAGGATGATAGCCTCCATATGCATTCGTCTTCCTGCAAAAACAGGATCTCATTCTTCTTAGGACTGTCCATTGAGTATAGGCACTATGTTTTCTTTATTCAGTCTACCGGTGATGGGTATTTAGGTTGATTCTATGTCTTTGCTATTGTGAATAGTACTGTGATGAACATGTGAGTGCATGTGTAGTTTGATAGAAGGACTTATCTTCCTTTGTATATATATCCAATTATAGGATAGCTGGGTCAAATGGCCATTATAAGTTCTTTGAGAAATTGCAAAGCTGCTTTCCATGGCAGCTGAACTAATTTACACCCACATCAGCAGTGTACAAGTGAGAGGAGAAGCCAGCTGGACTTTCTGGGTCGAGTGGGGACTTGGAGAACTTTTCTGTCTTACAAGAAGGTTGCAAAATGCACAAGTCCACACTCTGTAAAAATGCAGCAATCAGCTCTCTGTAGCTAGCAAAGCAACTGTAAAATTCACCAATCAGTACTCTGTAAAAACACACCAATCAGCAGTCTGTAGCTAGCAAAAGGATTGTAAAATGCACCAATCAGCCCTCAGTAAAATGGACCTATCAGTGCTCTGTAAAACACACCAATCAGCAGAATCATAAAAGTAGCCAATCACAGGAAGGATTGAAAAAAAGGCATTCTGATAGGACAGAAACAGAACATGGGTGGGGTCAAATAAGGGAATAAAAGCTGGCCACACAAGCCAGCAGCCTCAACCCACTCTGTTCCCATGCCATGGTGTGGTAGCTTTGTTCTTTCACTTTTTACAGTAAACTTTTCTACCACTCACTCTTTGCATCCTTGCCATCTTTAAGAGCCGTAACATTCACCTCAGAAGTTCATGGCTTCATTCTTGGATTCAGCAAGACCACGAACCCACCAGCAGGAACCAACTCCAGATACACAAGCATTCTCTTTTCTCAACAACCTCATCAGCATCTGTTATTTTTTTACATTTTTAATAGTCATGCAAGAAGCACTATTTTAGGTAACTGATTTTATTTCGGCGAAAAAATAAAATCTCTTTAGATGGGATAAAATTAAGACTTTATGTATTTGCAACATTATATCTTATCTGTCGATCTATATTCATCTATATCTATTTATATTTGTACGTACATATGTGTAAATTCACATAGAAATTTACGTATTTTAAGTATAAATCACAATAAAATATTAATTTTATCAATATTTGCGTATTTCTTTACTTATTTACTATTTATTTAAAAATATATTGTTTATTTCAATATTTATTAATATAAATTCATATGTGTGTTTTTAAGCATTTTTAAAACTTTTTTAAGACTTTTCTTGTTATCCCCAAAACACAAATGACAGAGTGGTAAGTCCAAAAACTCATTTTAAATACACACATCCCTCAAAATAGTATAAACTTTTTTCTCCTGTTAAAAGCACTATTTTAGGTATTCTATTAACCAGCCCTAGTTGTCTATTGAATGAAGGGGTCACCCATAATTTTTTCTTCACCTGCTGCTGAGCAGTTCAGCCACTGCAGGGATTCCCCTCACTTCTAAGGGAGCCCAGCAATTTCTGCCTTGCTTAGCTGCTTGCATTCTTCACACTCCATAGGGAAAATCCAGCCCCCGCTGGGGTCGCCAAATCATGTCATGAGTCTGCATCCACCTGGCTAACTCCCTACAACAAAGCAGAGTCAATAATGAATAGTACTGCCTCCAAGAAACCCTGCTGTCCTGAAATTCTAGGTGTCCTTGCACTGTGGCAACTGCTGAGAGTTCTACTTAAGTTTGGCCATTTTTAACTTCCCTGCGCATATCTTACATAAATCCCCATCATCTGAAATAATTTGTTTGCATCCCCATCCTCGTGATCTAAAATTGCCAAAATGCATCATTTACACATACCATTTTCTAGGAGGTTTGGACCCATCAATGCCGATGACTAATATACTTGGGGTCAAGGCTTGATGTCATGAATCTTGAAGAATTTTCTGCAAACATGTACTTCAGACTTGTCATAAAACAGCGGGATATCCTGTCCATGTTTATTATTTTTAGTTTTGTACTGGGGCAGGTAATGATTAAAACACCATTCAATAAAATTGAAAACAAAAATTGGAAAGAAATTTAAAGAGATGTTTATAATTGTTAAAAAATGACTGAGACTGACAGAAAGCGCAGATTACCAAAGTAAAAAATCAAAAGGAGAACTACAGATCATGGACACTGAAAGGAAAATAAGAGAGTATTATAACCAACCAAATTTATGACTATGTATGACTATACATCTGATGACTTAGAGGAAATAGAAACATTCTGAGAAAAGCATAACATTGTGAAACCAACACAAGAAGCCACAGAAAATTTGGGCACTATATCTAGTAAAGAAAGAAAAAAAATTATTAATTATGGATTTCAATATTAATTTGGGTCTCAAAAATTGAAGATGGGTTTCAACATTTCCCATAAATGAAACTTCAGATACTGATTGTTTTCCTAGTAAATTCCACCAAATATTTATGATGGAAACAATGCTAAATGTATACAAACTCAATGTTACAGAATTACAGAATAAGGAAAATGTATGTAACTTCTTTAATGTCATTAATATAATCCTAATACCTAAATCTTACTACAACATTATCCCTTCCCATCCCATCAGGCCATATCTTTCATGACATACATACCAAAATTCTTTATAAAAATGAGCCATATGTAATATGGACTGTACATAAAGACAGTCCATATTTCAAACAACAATTATTTAAACTGATTTCTGTGACAAAATATAAAAGAACTATCAATATAGAAAAATTGTGGACCACATGAATTTGTTTATTTTTAAACCAGCAAATGAATTTTAAGCTGAGAAATCAACACTTTTATCCTAAACCATCTGGATAAAACATGTAAAATATTGCATATCTAAAACTATAGTATGAATAAAGCTGAAGAGACATCCCCAAAGGTAAACACCTTTAATAATAAACAAATGAACATGAATCAATTATACTCAACTTGTTTAAAAGAAAACAAAATATTATTAAATAGATAAGAAAAAAATAATTCTTAAATATAATAACTTCCTGCTTAGTTGAGGGGTTGGTTCTGTTGGATACAAAATCAAAGTTATATAAATAGCTAATCTCTCTGAGAAAAAGAAGAAAAGAATCAATGGAAAAATTTATAAAAAACAAAAAGGAAGCAAATAGAAAAACTAAATTTAACACAATTAAGAGTGTGACAACAGGCTGGGCATGGAGGCTCATGCCTGTAATCCCAACTCTTTGGGAGCCCAAGGCAGATGGGTCACCTGAGGTCAGGAGTTCGAGCTCAGCATGGCCAACATGGTGAAACTCCATCTCTACTAACTATAAAAAAAAAAAAAATTAGCCAGATGTGGTGGTGGGTGCCCATAATCCCAGCTACTCAGGAGGTCAATGCTACAGTGAGCCATGATTGCACTCTGCATTCTGGGTGACAGAGAGAGACCCTGTCTCAAACTAGGTTAGAAACGGACTCTTTTTGTAAAAAATAAATAAATAAATGTAAGTGTACTGATTGCTTAATGAATTGATGAGTATTTACTGGAAGAGTGTGTCATAGAATTTAGGTTTGGAAATTCTGTGTTAGAGCAGCACTTTTCTACCATGCTTCAAGTATTTCAATCCCCTGGGATTCTGCTTAGTGCAGGTTTCAATTCTTTATTTCTAGGGTCGTGTCTTTGATTCTGCATTTCTAACAATCTCCCAGCTTAGACTAATTCTATCCATTCATGGACCACCCTTGGAGTGGAATGAGGTCAGAGCAGAAAGTTAAGAGGTAGAGAGTATGGAGAAATGAGGCTTGCACAGCTTGGACTAGTGTGTTAATTAGTTTTGATGATATCCTGCAGGTGACAGGCAGCCATTGAAGAGTTAGAAGGAGCTAAATGATCATGCATGTTTTCAGGAGTATCTTCTGAATGGAGGGTAGGTTTGACATCATTAACCTTAGGGGAAAGACCCATGTAGACAACTTTGTAACAGGCAAACTAGGAGAAGACAAAGGTGTGAACCAAACTAGTAATCTATAGGAGAGTTGTGAGATTTTCAGGAAATGTTTGGAAGTTTCAATAATCAGAATGTGACCATTTATCTGGGGAGGTGATGAATGTGGGAGGTAAAGCTTAAGGCAGCAGTTTCCAACCTTTTTAGCACCAGGGACTGGTTTAGTGAAAGACAATTTTTCCACAGGCCAGCAGTGGGGAGGATGGTTTTGAAATGATTCAAATGCATGACATTTAATTGCACACTTTTTTTGCTATTATTATTACACTGTAATATATAATGAAATAATTTTACAACTCAAACTCAGCATCATGTAGAATCAGTGGGATCCCAGGGCTTGTTTTCCTAGAACTAGATGGTCCTATATGGAGTGATGGAAGACAGCGACAGATCATCAGGCATTAGATTCTAATAAGAAGCACACAACTTAGAACCTTTGCATGTCCAGTTCACAATAGGGTTAAAATTCCTATGATAATCTAATGCCACTGCTGATCTGACAGGAGGCAGAGCTCCGGTGGTGACACAAGTGATTGGGAGAGGTTGTAAATACAGATGAAGCTTCACTCATTTGCCTGTCACTCACTTCCTGCTGTGTAACCTGGTTTCTAACAAGCCACAGACTAGTACCTGCCCATTGCTCAGAGTTTGAGCACCCCAGTCTTAACAGGAAAATAAGATAAGCTTGATGATTTTTTTTTTCTAGCATGAGTGGTTGGTACATCACATGGAAAGAGGAAATGCATACAGGTGGACCAGCCACTTAGGCAGAGACATGCTGAGTGTTTTGTAGCCTTGCTGACTTTAAGTGTCTGTGCACATCCAGGAAGGCACCATCAGTATGAGGTTGGAAGTGTGAGAATGAAACTAGTGGAAGTGCATCTGTGATATAGATACAAAAGAGGTGCAGAGCTGGTAAGTGAAAAAAAGTGTGCATGCTGTGACAGCTCAGGGAACAATGTAAAGTGAGGAAATCAATGGACCTTATAACATAGAAAACACCAGCAAGTTAAGGTAGATAAAGGGAGAAAAATCAACAGACCCAATAACAAAACAACAGCAAGTAGGGTTAGATAAATGGAGAAGAAACCCTTGAGGAAGGCAGAGGGGAGAAGTTCAAGGAAAACAGACATACATCATGTCACCATAGGAGAGTTTTCTAGACATGATGAACCTCTAGCTTAAGCTGGGATTGTGAAATGGATTCTACATTGTAAAAAGATGCCTGATGTGATTGGAATAACAGGTTGCAGTGTGATTAATCCTAAAATGGGAGCTGTTCCAGGGAGAGGCCAGTAAGACATTTCTGTGGAGTTTGAATGGATGTTTGTAGAGAGGAAGGATGGTTGAGGAATATGAGAGATGAGGGTAAGCAGACAGGTAACAGGTAACAGGTAACAGCCTGACTGTTAGTCAGGCTGAAGGGCAATGGTAAGTGGACTTTTTTTCTTGAATTCCAGTCTGCACAATGTCAGATTTTCTTAACTATTCATCTTCTTGGGTGTGTAAAGTAACTGATGAATGGGGAAAAAAGTAGGACTGGGGATCCGCACACAAGGAAGAGAGAGGAGAATACTGAATCCAGCCGGCTAGAGAGAATTGTTCAGATATTCAATCATGGGTGTATTAGTCTGTTCTTACACTAATAAAGTCATATCCAAGACTGCATAATATATAAAGGAAAGAAGTTTAGGCCGAGTGAAGTGGCTCACGTCTATAATCCCAGCACTTTGGGAGGCCGAGGTGGGTGGATCACGAGGTCAGGAGTTCAAGATCTGCCTGACCAATATGGTGAAACCCCATCTCTACTAAAAATAGAAAAATTAGCTAGGTGTGGTGGCACTTGCCTGTAATCTCAGCTACTCAGGAGGCTGAGGCAGGAGAATTGCTTGAACCACGGAGGCAAACGTTGCAGGGAGCCAAGATTGTACCACTCTACTCCAGCCTGGGCAACAGAATAAGACTTCATCTCAATGGAATAAACAATTAAAATAAAATGAAAATAAATAAAAGACAGAGACTCAATGGACTCACAGTTCCACATGGCTAGGGAAGCCTCACAGTCATGGCAGAAGGTGAAGGAGAAACAAAATCACATTTTACATTGCAGCAGGCAAGAGAGTGTATGCAGGGGAACTACCCTTTATAAAATCATCAGAACCCATTAGACATACTCACTATTGCAAGAACAGCATTGGAAAGACCCATGCTAGTGATTCGATTACCTCTCTTGTGGTCCCTCCAATGACACATGGGAATTCCTGGACCTACAATTTGAGATTAGGGTGGGGACACCGCCAAACCATATCAAAGGGTTAGAACCTTTCTAGGAAACAGTATGACTATTTCTCAAAGAACAAAAAGTAGAACCTGTGTTAGATCCAGCAATCCCACTACTAGATACATGTATCCAAAGGAAAAGAAATCCTTCTATCAAGAAGACAGCTGCACTTAATATGTTTATCACAGCACTATCCACAATTGCAAAGATGTGGAATCAACCTATGTGTCCATCAACAGGACATTGGATAAAGAAAATGTGGTGCACATACACTATGGAATATTACTCAGCTGTAGAAAAGGATGAAATTATGCCTTCTGCAGCAACATGGGTAGACCTGAAGACCATTATTCTAAGTGAATTAACTCAGAAGCAAAAAATCAAATACCACATGCTCTCACTTACAGTGGGAGCTAATGGACATATAGAAGGACATATGGACATATAGAAGGAAAAAATGGACATTGGGGCCTCCAAAAGAGGAGAGGGTGAGAGGGAGAAAGGGTTGAAAAATGACCTATTGGGTACAATGTTCACTATTTGGATGACGCGTTCACTGAAAGCCCAGACTTCACCACTGCACATTATATGCATGTAAAAAGCCTGCACTTGTAGCCCCTAAATATATTAGAAATAAAACAATATTGAAAAATAGCTGCTTAAAAAAAGTTTTGGAAGAAAACCCTTCAAAAGGGTTTTCCTGATAACCTAGAAAAAAGAAGGATGTTTCTGCCCTACCACTGGACAAACTAAATGGGAACCTATAAGAGAAAAATAAAGTTCTTCCCATCTCTAGAACATAAGTGAGAAAAGCCAAGAGAAAGATTAACTTTTTCTACCAAGTGTATTGGTAGGCAGATGTGGTTGACCTCTAAACAATAAAAGTTTGATTTTGTGAATTTTATTTTGCCTCTGCCGGTCCTGAGACAGCAAGACAGTTCAACTTATCCTCTTTCTCCTGTTCCTCAGCCTACTCATCCTGAAGATGATGAGGATAAAGAACTTTATAATGAACCAATTCCAATTAAGGAATAGTGAATATATTTTCTCTTCCTTAGGATTTTCTTAATAACATTTTTTCTCTAGCTTATTCTATTGTAACAATACAACATTAATATTCATTAGATTCTGATACAGTGGAACATGGGAAGAGATGGGGGGTACATTTGGTAAGTGGATGGTGGGTGGACAATAGACATATGTGGTCATCAGGATTGTATCTAAAGATGTTTGTTCTCATGTTGTTGAGGCTGACGAGGCAGGGGAAATCGAATAATTTTCAGATTTAGTATAAAGATCTGATTATTTCTACCCACAAAACTTCATGTTTCTCCATGGCTAAAAGTTGTGTTTATACCCCTAGCCAAGACACAATCTTACATGATACCTCTTTCCGCTTTTATCCCTGGGTCCACCTTTTAAATTTAATACCCCGACAAACTCATCCTTCACTGGGAAAGAATCTCTTGGAATGAAGCTGACCATTTACATTGAGCCTCTTGAGAGATTTGCTTGAGGCAGTCTTCCTGAGTGTGCTCTGGTGAAATGAGCCTTCTCTCCCAGATGCTTTTGTAAACTTAAACAGGAATAAATTGCCGCACTTTATACAATCTACAGTGAGTCTTGCTCTCATGCAGAAGAACATGAGTGATATAATTTGGACTGTGTCCCTGCCCAAATGATAATTTGTAATCTCCAACATTGGTGGTTGGGCCTGGTGGTAGAAGATTGGATCATAAGGACGGATTTCTCATTAGGATTAGCACCATCTTCTTGGTGCTGTCCTCATGATAGTGAGTTCTTAAAAGATTTGATTGTTTAAAAGTGTGTGGCACGACCCCAACACACACACACACAAACACACACACACACTTGCCCTAACTTCTGCCATGTGAAGGGCCTACTCCCCTTTCTCCTTGCACCATAATTACAAGATTCTTGAGTCCTCCCCAGGAGCAGAGGTTGACACCATCCTTCCTGTATGGTCTGCAGAACTGTGAGCTAATTAAACCCCTTTTCTTTACAAGTTATTCAGTCTAAAGTCTTCTCTTTATTTTCCTCCCTCCTTCCCTCTATCTCCTTCCCTCTGTCTCCCTCCCTCTCTCCCTCCCTCCCTCCCTCTCTCTTTCTTTCTTTCCTTCTTTCTTTCTTTCCTTCCTTCCTCCTTCCCTCCCTCCTTCCCTTCCTTCCTTCCTTCCTTCCTTCCTTCTTTCCTTCCTTCCTTCCTTCCTTTCTTCCAGAGTCTTACTCTATCACCCAGGCTGGAGTGCAGTGACATAATCTAAGCTGACAGTGAACTCCACCTTCCAGGTTCAAGTGATTCTCCTGCCTCAGCCTCCTAATTAGCTGAGATTACAGAAGCACACCAATATACTGGCTAATTTTTGTATTTTTATTAGAGAAAGTGTTTCACAATGTTGGTCAGGCTGGTCTCAAATTCCTGACCTCATGACCTTCCCACCTCAGCCTCCCAAAGTGTTGGGGTTACAGGTGTGAGACACCATGCCCAGCCAGGCATTTCTTCATAGTAATTCAAGAAAGGGCTAATACACTCGGTTTATAAAGAACAGAATGTGTTTGTATTGGTGAAATGCAGACACAAGTCAGGGGACTGTATTTTCCATGGGTGCTGTCTTTTCTAAGGAAAAAGGGGTTGGGTAAGCTTTGTTTGTGTTGGACCAAGGAGTACAGATAGGGCATGGTGGTATCCAGGCATCTGTATTATCATCTATGTATTGCTAGTATCTACATAATTGTTGTTATTTCCATTGGTTTTCAATACATAGATGATCATTTATGCTGTTATCTTCATTTACATTCAGAGAGTTCAAATCACTCAGCCTGAGGAAAGCCCTAGACCTTCCTCCCTCCTACTTGTCTGCACTTTTTTCTTTCCTTTTTATCTTACTCTGAAGGCAATTCACAGTCTCCAACTCCTTTTCTCTTGTAACCATGTTCGGCATCCCCTGGGGCACCTGCAGCAAGCAGCAAATAGCAATAGTGCAGACATCCCAGTAAGTTTGTGTATCGTGTTCACTCAACTACTTAATTCTCCAACCAAGCACTTCCACCATTTAGAAAAAATGAATTTTCTTTCATTAACTTATAGATTCAAGAATTATTTCATAGCTACTTAACTAAGCTCTCAATATACAAATATGTTCAGATTTTATTTAAGAATTCATAAGCTTTGTCTTCTAGATTTTTTGCATTACTTCAATCGCTCATGTTCTTTTACAGACAGTAAGCTACATATTTTATTTCCATTCTTTAAAATAAAAAGGGTCTGCATTTTAACTCATTCATCACCACCATCTTTTGGAAAAGATCAGAGCTGATATTAATGAGTTGAGGCTGTGCTTCCTAAAAAAAAAAAAAAAAAAAAAAAAAAAATTCATGGTGATCTTTCTATGCCCTCCTATGGTCCAAATTTTCCTAATGGTGTTGGCATGACCAAACTTCCAAATGGATTTATGGCATCAAAAAAACAATAAGTAGATTCAAAGTGGTCAAAATTGTTGGCTGTTATATTTGAGCAGTCTCAGGACATTTCTGCTTGGAAAATCTAGTAACAAGATGATTCCATATTCCCACAGACTAACCTAAGGGAAAGGAATGTTTAAGGGGTATTGTGGTTGAGAACAAAGGTCAACCCAGGAGGACCTGCACAGCAATAAAGTGAACCTTTGTCTCTTAAAACAAAAAGAAGAAACATAGAAAAAAAACAAAAACAAAACCACTGGGGACTCCAAAAAAGGGGGATGGAGGAGGATTAACCACTAAAAAATTATCTATTGGGTACAATGTTCATTGTTTGGGTGATGGGTTCACTAGAAGCCCAAACCCCAGCATTATGCCATATATCTATGTAACAAACCTGAACATGTAACCCCTAAATCTAAAGTAAAAATAATTTTGTTTCAAAGACATGCCTGCATCTACATGTTGAGATATCAGGAATGCTCCTTTAATGGAGAACTTTATGTGTCAATTTAACTGGGCCATGGAATGCCAAGATCCCTGATTATGCATTATTTTTTAGTATGTCTGTAATGGTGTTTCTGGAAAAGATTAGCATTTGAATCCACATATTAAAGCAGATGAACCCTCCACAATGTAGGCAGGAATCATTCAATCCCCTGAAAGCCAGAAGAGATTAAAAAAAAAAAGTGGAGGAAGGTTGACTCTCCCCCTTTCTTCCTCACTGCTGAGATGGGACATCAATCTTCTGCCTTGGTGCTCCTGTTTCTCAGGTCTTCAGACTTGGGCTGGAATCTATACCATTGGCTCTCCAGATTTCAGAACTTCTTCAATGATACCACTAGCTTTCCTGGGTCTCCAGCTTGTAGACAAAACAACGTGGGACTTCTCAGCCTCCATAAATCCATGAGACAATAGCTAAACTACATCTCTTTCTAGCCATCTATCATTCTACTGTTCTGTCATTATGTCATTCTGTCTATTTTTCTAGCCATCCAGTTTTATTCATCTGCCCATCTATCTCTCCACACCTGCACCCCACTGAAACATCCAGGTCCCTTTTCCTACAATATTATATCCCCTTCTGTGTGTCTGATAATTTTCTTGTGCCATTGTTTAATTTGGCTGTTGACTTTCAAATTTCTATTATCTCTTTAGAAATGGCAACTGTTAAGTGAATAAAGTGTCTTATTTCAAAGAGAACTGGTGGACATTTGTGAATTCTGCATAATGTATGAGGAAGGAGGTCAAGTATGAGACTTGTCATCTGCAAACACTTCTAAGGATGTTTCTTAATGTCATCATCTGATTTTTCAAGGTCTCTGTATTGTCCTCTGATTATATGAATACTTACTGGCTACAAATGTAATTAAAACCAATGCCACCTGTGTATCGACTCTGTAATTTCTTCTTTCATTAATTTACTGAAATTTATTTATCAGTCAATTTGCTTTTATAGGCTTTTATAATTATGAGGATCCTTGAAGGGTAAATAGGGTGGTGTTGAAATCACATTAGCTGGTCAGTAAGGGAAATGCTAATATAAACACAAATTTTTCTTCGCAATCCATATCAGTTTGATTAATTGATCATTCCCCTCAGCTTTATCATGGTCTCTGTGTAGCAGAACAATAAGGAAAAGAAACAGAATTGCTACATTACAGATTATGCTTCAGATTTCTAAAAACAAACATTTGTAGTTTTACATTATTACATGAGGAAATTAATGGCTTAAGTAGTTACCATGTTTGTAGCTGTTTTAGACCTAGGTCTTTTTTTTATAACAGCACTCTGCCTTATAATTGATTTACTGAGTTATAGTGAGATATTGCTCACATGCCCTAAAGCTTCCTCTTGTAATGTGTCCAGTTCAGTGGTTCTTTGAATATTCAGAGTTGTCCAACCATCACCTCTAATGCCAGAACATTTTTATCACCCCAGAAGGGAAACCTCATATTTGTTAAACACCCACTCCCCATTACCTCTCTCCCCAGTCCGTGGCAACCACTAATCTATATTCTGTCTATAGATTTGCTTAGTCTTGCCATGTTATATAAATGTCATCATATTACACGTGGCTCTCCCTGTCTGGTTTCTTTCACTGAGCATTGTATTTTCAACATATAACAGTGTTGTAGTCTGTGTTCGCATTTTCTTTCTTTTTACGGCCAAATATTACTCCTTTGTATGGATTGACCACTCCTTTGGATAGATGAACATATCAATGTTTATGTATGCATTCATTGATGGGTATGTGTGTGGTTTCCATGTTGTGCTACTATGCACATTTGTATGCCAGTTATTGTGTGGTTCTATATGTTTATTTATTTTGGGTATATACATATGAGTAGAATACATGGGGACTTCAAAGGATCACTCTATATTTAACATTTTGAAAAACTGCCAGACTTTTTCCCAAAATGGCTGTGTCTTTTTGTAGTAGTGTGGGAAAATTCCATCAATAGTGTAGGGAGGTTCCATCATTAGTGTAGGAAGTTTTCTGTAGTAGTGTAAGAAGATTCCATCAGAAGTGTGGGAAGGTTGCATCAGTAGTGTAGGAAGTCTTCTGTAGTAGTATGGGAAAGTTCCATCAGTAGTGTAGGAAGGTTCCCAACAGTAGTATAGGAAGCTTCCTGCAGTAGTGTGAAGGTTTCATCCCAGTTTGGGAAGGTTCCATCAGTAGTATAGGAAGTTCCATCAGTAGGGTGGAAAGATTCTATCAGTAGTGTAGGAAGGTTTCCATAATAGTGTAGGAAGATTCTATCAGCAGTGTGGGAAGGTTCCCATCGGTAGTGTGGGAAGGCTTCCATCAGTAGTGTAGGAAGGTTCCCATCAGTAGTGTAGGAAGGTTCCCATCAGCAGTGTAGGAGGTTCCATTTTTGTTTCTGTATCCTTTCCAACACTCGTTGTTATCTCTCTTTTTCATTTCTAATTTTGGCTACATCACACACATTGGATGTGCTACACTGACCCTATAAAAATGCTAATTTCATAAACCAAAATGGAGGTTCTGCTTTTAATAACAAAAGATTATTTCTGCCCAATCTTAGTAATCATCAGGGAAATACAAATTAAAACCACAATGAAGTTTTATCTTATCCCACTCAGAATGGCTATTATTAAAAAGACCCACACCCCCCAAAAAAAGATGTTGATGAGGATACAGAGAAAAAGGAATGCTTAGATACTGTTTGTTGAGTTACTGTTAGTTAGTACAACCTTTAGGGAAACAAATGTGAAGATTTCTCTAATAGCTAAAATTAGAACTTCCATTCAATCCAGCAATTTCACTACTCGATAAGTACTCAGGGAAAATAAACCATTATAGCAAAAAGATACAATCACATATTTATGGCAGTTTTATTCACAATAGCAAAGATAGGGAATCAATGTAAATGTCCATCAATAGTAGGCTGGAAAAAGAAAATGCAGTACATATACACCACAGAATACTATTAGCCATGAAAAACATGAAATTATGTCTTTTGCAGCACATGGATGAAACTGAAGGTAACTGTCTTTAGTGAAACAAACCAGGCACAGAAAGTCAAATACCACATATTCTCACTCAGAAGTGGGTGCTAAAATGTGTACACATGGACACAGAGAGTAGAATAATAAACAATACAGATGCAAATGGGTGAGTGGGTGGGAGGGAGGAGTGAATGATGAGACATTAGTTAATATGTACAATGTAGGTTGATTAGATGATACATATCCTAAAAGTCCTATTTGACCACTATGCAATCTATGCATGTAACAAATGCCACATGTAGCTCATAAATTTGTACAAAAAAGATTGCTTCATTGACAGAGAATGAACAAGAGGGTTTTTTTTTAAATTAAATTATTTCTATACATTTTTAAATGCTGCTTGATATACTTCTCAACAATGATCACCTTAGATGCAAGCTGGCCTCATAACTCAATACACAATACTTTGAGTATACTGATTTACAGAAATGAAAACAATTCTAGCAATAACTAATCTTTTGCAGGTGAGAACATCCATCCAGCAGGGCCTCTGGTATTCCCATATCTCTGAGCTGCTTCCATTTCAACAACATTCACAGAGGGCTTCAGTCATGTCTCAAATACCTTCTAGAGTTTCCCTAGAAGGATGGCCAGCCCTTTCATGTGGTCATGACTTTGATCATCCTCCACAATCTCAGCATTTTCTATCATAAAGTTGACCCCACCTCAATGATGAAATATCTCTCCTCTTTCTCAGTTTGTCCCACATCTTCATCCCTGTTATATTTTTCCCTTACTTAAATTGGTGTATCATTTCCTTCTCACTGGTTTTATGCTATTTTAGGAGCCTGTTAAGTATTTTTCTTTAGCCAGAAAACTGGAGAAGGGAATCACCTCCAGGTTAAGTCAAAGGAGACTTAAATTGCAACACTCAGAAGATCAAATGTACACTTGCCTTCCCACAGAAAACCAAATTGTGCATGAGATGGAAACCAGGGACCTTTAACATCTGTTAACCATACACGTGGGTGCCTTTGTGCGTGACAGGTTTCCCCATAGATGCAAACAGCCCTGTTTCTGCTTGACTCAAAGGTCCTCTCCTTCTCATTCAGTGTCATTGTACAAACTACAGTTTAGAGACTGCTCTCTGGGTCAGGCATCTAACTGCCCACTAAGGAATGAGTGAGAATAAAGTCTTTCCTCTCCAGCTGTTTTGGTTTGTAAAGAGGCAATCCAGTGTAATAAAGGCGAGATGCTCTGCAGTTCTTCTTGCACAATGCACCTGTCTATGATACAGTGAGCACCAATGCAATTGAATTCACAGTGACACTCCTAACTCAGACTGGGGTCACAGATGTTCTTCTGGGGAGATGGGAAGGTTAAGAGGACCTATGAGTTCTTGCAGTTCACCTGCGGAAAGAAGTTCACAGGTGACGTCCAAGCAGAATATAGCTTGTTAAGAGGAGGCGAAAACCTTGCTGTAGGAAGCAGGATTCAGTCCTCAACAGATGGTGACCAGTTAAGTTGGTTAGAGCACAATGGACACCACACTTTCCTACTGGCTCTTTTGTAACTTGTTTTCTGTCCAGCACACAGATTACTTGTCATGATCTGCTGTGTCAAAAACTCTCTTCAGTCTACACATCTCAGGCTGGCTATGTCTGTCCCCTGGCAGAGACCCTCTCTAAACTCCAACGCCAGGCTACCTAAATTGAACATCTTACCCCCTGCTCTCTCAGCACCTTCTTTTTCTGCCTTTTTACTCTAACCATGATGATTGTAATGACATATTTATTGATGTTTGTTTGATGTTTCCCCCACATCGAGCCCCATGAAGGCACGCACCCTATTTCTTTTGTTTCTCTACAGCAGAGTTCCCCAGTCCACAGGCCATAGACCAGTATCAGCCCATGGCCTGTTAGGAACAAAGCTGCACAGCACGTGAGCAGCAGGGGAGCAAGTGAAATTTTATCTGTATTTGGAGCTGCTCCCCATCACTCACAGTGCATTACTGCCTGAGCTCCACATCCTGCACATCAGCATCAGTATTGGATTCTCATGGGAGGGTGAACCATAATTGCGAACTGCACGAGTGAGGAATCTAGGCCGCACGTTCCTTATGAGAATCTAATGATGTCTCCCATCACCCGAGGTAGGACTGTCTAGTTGCAGGAAAACAAGCTTATGGCTCCCACAGATTCTGCATCACAGTGAGTTATATAATTATTTCATTGCCTATTACAGTGAAATAATAATAGAAATAAAGTGCACATTAAATGTAAAGCCATTGAATCACTCCAAACCACCCCCATCCCCCCCCACCTCCATCCCACCACGGTTCCTGGAAAAAGTGTCTTCCAACATACCCATCCCTGCTTCCAAAAACATTTGGGGCTGCTTCTCTATAGTATTTACAGCTTCTGAGACCATGATTAGCCTATGGTAAACTCCGAAGTATTTGAACGAATAAATAAAAGTAGAGGGTGTGACGAACCTATGAGAGAGCGTCTTTCAGCTTTAACTTATCCAGTGTCTTCTATCTCTTTTGTGCATACTGGTTGCCATGGTTTGAGATTTTGCATCCCCTCCAAAATTCATTTGTGAAAACCTAATCCTTAATAGGTTAGTATTAAAAGTTTGCGCCTATAACAGTTAATAAAATAATAAGCATAAAGTTCTCACAAATGCGAGGGAGGAAACCTTTTATATAAGGGCTCAATTTGAAGGTGAAAGTCTCTCTTTACCCTTTAACTTTCTGCTACATGAGGAGAAAGCATTTCTCCCCAACAGATAATGCAGCATTCAAGGTGCCATCTTGGAATCAGAATCACAAACCTACTGGATCCTCAGTCTTGAACTTCCCAGCCTCCAGAACTGTGAGCCAGTAAATTTCTGCTTGTAAATTACTCAGTTTGTGGTATTCTGTTACAGCAGCACAAATAAGCTAAGACACTGGTTTGTTTTTTGGGAATGACTTAATTATCTTTCCAAACCTATTTCCTTATCTGATGATTTAGCTCACATCACCTCTTTCATTGAGCTATCTTCAGCTTCCATTAGCTGAGGGGTGTGCAGAAAAGTGTGCACACAGCAAGCCTGAAACAGTTATCTTTAGAAGATCGTGCTTGCAAGGTCAGCCCTTGGCTGGTGACTGGGAACACAGCTTGTAAAACGTTCCTACACTAGTGGGTAGTTTCCTAGATGAGCTTCTTAGGGTTGTCATGCACATCGCTTCAAACGGGTTGGCTTGAAACAACATATTTATTATCTCACCATTTTTGACACCAAAGTCTGAAATCAAATTGGCAGTAGGACTCCGCTGCCACTGAAGTCTTTAGGGGATGGTCCATGCTTATTTCTTTCAGTTCTTCGTGGTTGCTGACTGTCCTGGGCATTCTTTAGCCTATGGGAGCATCACTCCAATCTCTACCTCCATTGTCATATGGAATTGTCCGCTAATTACATCTCTGAAGACATTATTTTGGAGAAAGGTCATATTCTGAGATTTTAGATGAACATGAGTTTCAGAGGAACACTATTCAATCCAGTACATTCCCTAACTGATATATATTTTGTTTATTTGTTTTTATTTGTGCTGTGACTAGATGGTGCAAACAATGCAATTTATGGTGCAAATCTGCTTTTCTTCTGGGAGTCCAGCATTTCGGAAAGTGGTAAGCAGAGGGTGCCTATGTGACCAGCCCCTAATAAAATCTTTGGTTGTGGAGTCCCTGATGGGTAGAAACACTCTTTGTGCAAGATTGTTTTTGTTACTGTTACTCCTAAGAAGCCTGTGCTTGGAAACATTATTGTTAACTGTGGACATCCTACAGTAGTATAGACAACCAGAATGTATTCCTCCTATCTGGCAGTAATTTTGTAAACTTTAATCTCTCCCTATCTCCCTCTTCCAACCACCCTTCCCAGGCTGTAGTATCCTCTGGTCTAGTTTTTACTTCTGTGAAATCAACTTTTAACTTTTATATTAAGTTCAGGGGTACAAATGGGGGTGGTATGGTTAGGCTCTGTGTCCCCACCAATATCTCATCTTGAATTATAATTCCCATAATTCCCACAATTCCCACGTGTCAAGGGAGAGACGAGGTAGAGGTGATTTGATCATGCTGGTGTTTTCCCCCATGCTGTTCTCATGATAGTGAGTGAGTTCCCGCGAGATATGATGGTTTCATAAGAGGCTTTTCACCCCTCACTCTTCACACTCTTTCACCTGCCACCAGGTAAGGCATGCCTCTTCCCCTCGTGCCATGATCATAACTTTTCTGAGGCCTCCCCAGCCATGCAGAACTGTGAGTCAATTAAACTTCTTTTCTTCATAAATTACGCAGTCTCAGGTTGTATCTTTATAGCAGTGTGAAGGCAGACTAATATAGAACATTTATTACATAGGTAAAATTGTGTGATGAGGATTTGTTGCACAGATTATTTTATCACCTAAGCATTAATTGTAGTACTCAATTGATGTATTTTCTGCTCTTCTCCCTCCTCCCATTCTCCACCCTCTTGTGGGTCCCAGTGTCTGTTGTTCCCTTCTTTGGGTCCATGTGTTCTCGTCATTTAGTTTTCACATTTTTTTTAATTTTTTCTTTCTTTTTTTTTTTTTTTTTGAGATGGAGTCTCACTTTGTCACCCAGGCTGGAGTGCAGTGGCATGACATCGGCTCACCTCAACCTCCACCTCCCGGGTTAATGCAATTGTCCTGCCTCAGCCTTCTGAGTAGCATGGATTACAGGCATGTGTCACCACACTGGCTAATTTTTGTATTTTTAGTAGAGATGAGGCTTCACCACGTAGGTCAGGCTGGTCTCCTGACCTCATGATCTGTCCCCCTTGGCCTCCAAAGTGCTATGACTACAGGCATGAGCCACCACACCTAGCCTAGTTTCTACTTTTAAGTGAGGACATGTGGTATTTGGTTTGTTTTGTTTTCTGTTTCTACATTAGTTTGAGAAAGACAATGGCCTCCAGCTCCATCTATATTACTGAAAACAACATAATCTCATTCTTTTTTATGGCTGTACAATATTCCATGGTCTCACTCAGCTTTGTTTTCTTTCTTCCTAGTGCAGGATGCAATTCTTGGCTTATGATAGGTCCTCCATGAATATATACCAAACAAATCAGAATGAAGAGGTTGGTAATGATTCAGCAGTTTTCTCTCATCCATTTTTCATTATTATTCTTACTATTTTATATATTTAGCAGGTACAATTACAGATGTCTTAACATGCATATATTGCAGAGCGGTGAAGTCTCGGCAGTTTTAACCAATAGATAATGTAACAATCATCACTCCCCTTCCACTTTTCCCATTTTGGTATTCCTCAATTGTCTATTATTCCACTCTTTACGTCCATGTGTACTCATTGTTTATCTCCACATATAAGTGAAAATATGTAGTATTTGACTTTCTGTTTCTGAGTTATTTTACCTAGAATAATGGCTTCTAGTTTCATCTATGTTGCAAAAGAGATGATTTCCTTCTTTTGTATGGCTGATTATTTTTCCACAGTGCACATGTACCACATTATCTTTATCCAGCCCTCTATTGATGGGCACTTAGGTTGATTTCATTTCTTTGCTATTGTGACTAGTTCTGCAACAAACATGCAAGTGTAGTTTTCTTTTTGATATGACGATTTATTTTCCTTTGAATACATACCGGAAGTTCACCACTTTGATTACTGAATGCAGAATTTCTAAGGGCATATCATTAATCTATTGAAATCAATCAGAAGAGACTGGGTACTATGTAATTGCAACTTTGAAGTTAGTGTGTCCAGAATTGGTGAGTTCTTGGTCTCCCTGACTTCAAGAATGAAGCCCCGGACCCTTTGCGGTGAGTGTTACAGTTCTTAAAGATGGTGTGTTCAGAGTCTGTTCCTTCAGATGTTCAGATGTGCCCAGAGTTTCTTCCTTCTGGTGGGTTCGTGGTCTCTCGGACTTCAGGAGTGAAGCTGCAGACCTTCATGATGAGTGTTACAGCTCTTAACAGTGTCGTGTCCAGAGTTGTTCATTCCTCCCCATTCCAGAGTTGTTCCTCCCTCCCAGCCAGTTTGTGGTCTCGCTGGCTTCAGGAGTGAAGCTGCAGACCTTCATGGCTAGCCTTACAGCTCATAAAGACCATGGAGACCCAAAGAGTGAGCAGCCACAAGATTTATTGTGAAGACCTAAAGAACAGGGCAAAAGAACAAAGCTGCCACAACGTGGAACAGGACCCAAGAAGTTGCACTGCTGGCTCAGATGACCCGCTTTTATTCCCTTATCTGGCCCCACCCACATCATGCTGATTGGTCCATTTTACAGAGAGCTGATTGATCTATTTTACAGAGAGCTGATTGGTCCATTTTACAGAGAGCTGATTGGTCCGTTTTGACAGAGTGCTGATTGGTGTGTTTAGAAACCTTTAGCTAGACACAGAGTGCTGATTGGTGTGTTTACAATCCTCAGGCTAGACAGAAAAGTTCTCCAAGTCCCCACCAGATTAGCTAGACACAGAGTGCTGATTGGTGCATTTACAAACCTTTAACTAGACACAGATTGCTGATTGGTGCATTTACAATCCTTTAGCTAGACAGAAAATTTCTCCAAGTCCCCACCCAACCCAGAAGCCCAGGGGATTCACCTCTCACTGCTGGCACTCGCTGCTTTGCGGCACCTCCTCCTGGCATTCTGGCAGCGCAGAGGGAGCTCCTTAAAAGCAAAAGAGGGGAAGTGAGAAAGAGATGGGAGATCTGCTATCATGGCCAAGGATCTCGCCAAGAGGAAAAGGCAGTCAACGCTCCAGATTCAGCCTCCAATCAAGCCCAGCAAGCGCCGGCTGGCTGCCCCTAGCGCCGTCTTGCTGAGCCAGCGCTCACCTGGAACCTGCTGGCCTGCGATCACTGCTTGCAGCCCTGGCCAAGCCGGTGCCTCTCTCTTCACACTTTCTCGCTAGCACAGGGAGCCGGCTTCGGCCTCAGCCAGCCCCAGAGAGGGGCCCTCATAGTGCATCGGCAGGCTGAAGGGATCCTCTAGAGTGGCCAGAGTGGACACCAAGGCCGAAGAGGCACAAGAGCGAGTGAGGGCTGCTAGCACGTTGTCACCTTTCATTAGTAAAGGCTAATTTGTATTTGAGGAAAAAAATCATCCTTTCAGAAATGTATTACAAAATACCAGGCAGGCTTATCACAGCTGGGATCACTGCCACTATGACACTGTGTGGGGAGTCCATGTCCTCTTACAAATCAGCCTGACTCTTCATATATTTTGTGGCTGACTTGTCATTTACCTTTCTTGGAAAGAAGCCAGAAAAAGCTGAGCCTAACCCCAACTTTCTTGTATCCTCCAATATATGCAGCCCTGATGAGATTTCATGGAATGTTTTCACACACAGAATATGAAAATTTATTTTGAAAATAGCAGATATATCAGATATTTTATGATAAAATAAGGCACATATACTGGTTGACAGGTCATGGAGTGTGGCTTTTACTACTAAAGAAGTAACAAGGAAAGTCCATAAAATTAAAAACAAAAATACTTTTCCCTCATCGTTTTGTTTATATGAGATGAATGTCACACTGTCTTTTAATATTTCTGTTCGTTTCCTTTTTTTTTTTTTTTCTTTTTGAGACAAGATCTTGCTCTGTCACCCAGGCTAGAGTAAAATGTGATCATAACTCTCTCCCACCTCAACTTCCTGGGCTCAGGTGATCTTCCCATCTCAGCGTCCTGAGTAGTCAGAACCACAGGCACATATCACCACACCCAGCTATTTTATTATTATTATTTGTAGAGATAGGGTCTTGCTATGTTGTCCAGGATGGTCTAAAACTCCTGGGCTCAAGTGATTCTTCCACCTCAGCCTCCCGAGTTGTTGGAATCACAGGCACATACCACTGTGCCCAGCTATTTTAAAAAATTATTTGTAGAGACAGGGTCTTACTATATTGCCTAGGCTGGTATCAAACTCCTGGGCTCAAACAATCCTCCCACCTCAGCCTCCCAAAGTCCTGAGATTAGAGGAATGAGCCACAGCACCCAGCCAACATTTCTATTTTTTCTACTAAAATGCTCTTTGTGCAAAATATTTTTAGCAATGGGTCGGGCGCGGTGGCTCACGCCTGTAATCCCAGCACTTTGGGAGGCCGAGGCGGGCGGATCACGAGGTCAGGAGATCGAGATCATCCTGGCTAACACGGTGAAACCCCGTCTCTACTAAAAATACAAAAAATTAGCCGGGCATGGTAGCGGGCGCCTGTAGTCCCAGCTACTCGGGGGGCTGAGGCAGGAGAATGGCGTGAACCCGGGAGGCGGAGCTTGCAGTGAGCCGAGATCGCGCCACTGCACTCCAGCCTGGGCGACAGAGAGAGACTCCGTCTCAAAAAAAAAAAAAAAAAAAAAAAATTTTTAGCAATGACAGTGCATATCCTCCAAGAAGAGAGAAGGCAAAGTCTACAGATAAGATAAGAACTAGTATCATTTTGTGATAGTGCCTCCCTCCTGTGTTCACAAACTTCATTATGCCTTTTAAGATGGTTTTATGAGCCCAACTTATGAGAAGGTTGGTGTGCTCACGTATCTCCAAGACCACCTCCAGATTTGACGATCTACCAGGATAACTCGAAGGACTTAGCAGATAATCATACTTTAAGCTATGATTTATATAAGCGAAACTATAGCAAGAGAAATTGGCAAAAGGCAGAAGCACATGAGGTGAACTCCACAGGAAACCAGTTGCAAGCTTCCAAGGAAATCGTCTCTCATTGGAGTCACAGAGGATGTGATTCATTCCTCCAGTGATGAGTTTTGACAACACATTTGCAATGCTCTCTACCGGCCGGGTGCTGTGGCTCATGCCTGTAATCCCAGCACTTTGGGAGGCCGAGATGGGCCAATTGCCTGAGCTCAGGAGTCAAGGCAAGTCTGGCCAACATGGTGAAATTCTGTCTCTACTACAAATACAAAAAAATTTAGCTGGGCATGTTGGTGTGCACCTGTAATCCCACCTACTCAGGAGGCTGAGTCAGGGGAATTGCTTGAACCACGGAAGTGGAGGTTGCAGTGAGCCGAAATTGCAACACTGCACTCCAGACTGGGCAACAGAGTGAGACTCTGTCTCACCAAAAAAAAAAAAAAAAAAAAAAAAATGTAAAGAAAAGAAATGCTCTCTACCAAAGAAGCTTCTGGGAGACTCGGTACCCAGGGTTTTTAATGGGGGGATCTTCACAAAGACATCTACCAAAGTTTCAGCCATCTGCAAGGAAAGCATTTTCTTTCCCCAGATTACATTTTTGGGGTGTAGTTTAGACATCATAAACCATGCTTACCAATTAGGGTAGCGGGAAGTTCCCTAAGTCCAAATTCTTAAATAGCAGTCTTGGGCCAACCTTGTAAGTATGACTTTCTCAGGATAGAATCTCAGCCATTTAGCTCAACTTTTTTTTAGTAGATTTTTTTAAAAAAATATTTATAGCCCAGTATGAAGGAATATCCAGGTTCATAGGAAGTTTTTAACAGATGTCTGCAATGCTGTCTCTATACCAAAGATGATTTTCAGAGAAAATCCCTCATATATTGCTAAATAGAACTTATTTCCCCTTCTATTGGGTATATTAATTATGGCAGCATATATTTCTTATTTTTAAGCTGGATATGTAAACTCTTTTTTTATGTATTTGTATAAATTTAAGGGGTCCAAGTGCACTTGTGTTACGTTGATATATTGCCTGGTGGTAAAATCTTGTCTTTTAGCTTACCCATCATGTTAATAATGTACATTGTACACAAGAAATAATTTCTCATCCCTTAACCCTAACACACCCTTTCAGTTTTCTGAGCCTCTGGTGTCTATTTTTCCATTCTCTACATCCATGTGTACACATTATTTACCTCCCACTTATGAGTGAGAATATGCAGTATTTGACTTTTTGTTTCTGAGCTGTCTCACTTAAGATAATGTCTTCTAGCTCTATCCATGTTCCTACATATGGCAGAAAATTCTAATGGCAACCACACCTGATGTGAAACTATTTCTCTGTGTGTGAAATAAAATTATATACCATAATAGTCACCCTTTTAAAGTGCACAATTTAGTGGCTTTTAGTACATTCATAATTGTGCAATCTCAGCACTATCCAACTGCAGAATATTTTTATAATTGCACAAAGAAGGCTCATATCCATTAAAAGTTGCTGGGCTGGGTGCAATGACTCATGCCTATAATCCTGGCACTTTGAGAGGCCAAGGTGGGTGAATGGCTTGAGTCCAGAAGTTTGAGACTAGCCTGGGTAACATAGTGTGACCCTGTCTCTACAAAAAAAAAAAAAAAAATATATATATATATATATATATATACACACACACACACACACACACACACACACACACACAAAAATTAGCTGGGCATGGCAGTATGCACCTGTAGTCCCAGCTACTCAGGAGACTGAGGTGGGAGGATCATCTGAGCCCAGGGAGGTGGAGGCTGCAGTGAGGACTAATCACACCACTGCACTCCAGCCTGCGTGATAGAGCAAGTCTCTGTCTCAAAAAAAAAAAAAAAAATTCCCTCCTCTTTCTCTCACCCACTCAAGTCCCTGAAAACCATGAGTCTACTTTTTGACTCCATGAATTTGCCTCTTCTGGACATTTCTTGTAAATAGAATCATACACCGTGTATTCTTCTTTCACTCAGCGTAACTTCTTCAAAGTTTATCTACATATTAGTGTGTGTAAGTACTTCACTTTTTTTTTTTTTTGGAAAGACTGATAGGGTTTTCAAGTAGTGAGTGCAGGGGTGTAACACTGGGTGAAATGTTACCAGTAAGCAAGGCAAAGACAGTTATTTGCTTGATCCAATTATGTTTATTCTCTATTGTTAATAGTGGAAACATTAATATTTAAGATTACACATTTGCCCTCTGAGTAAGGCATTGGAAACATCCCATAACTTTAGTAATGCCATGTTTTCTAGTAGTTTAGTAATGAACTATTTTCTAATTAATGTTTATTGCAATTTTGATTTCCTCTTACATCCAATATTTCCACCAGAGTTTCTTATTAGTGGTAGTTGATTGTCTCAAACATTTCTTTTTATTTTGATGTCATTGTGAATTGATGAATCAACTATAAATTAGTGATAAAATGCTGCCTGGATCATATTAGCTTTTATAAATTTATTAAGGTTTTCTTTATAAATTTATTAAGATTTTATTAAGGCATGGCGGCTTATGCCTATAATCCCAGCACTTTAGTGGGCTGAGGCGGGTGGATCATAAGGTCAAGATTTTGAGACAAGCCTAGCCAATATGGTGAAATCTCATCTCTACCAAAAATACAAAAATTAGCTGGGTGTGGTAGCTTGTGCCTGTAGTATCAGCTGCTCAGGAGGCTGAGGCAGGAGATTCACTTGAACCCAGGAGGTTGAGGTTGCAGTGAGCTGAGATCGTTCCACTGCACTCCAGCCTGGGTGACAGAGTGAGACTCTGTCTCAAGAAAAAAAAAAAAAAAAAAGATTTTCTTTTAGGTGTGGTATATTATCAGTACTTGGGAGCATCCTGTGGACAAATGAAAAGAGGACATGGAATCTGTTTAAAAATATATGTTCTGTTCCTTAGTGTTGATCACACAGGGCAGTACTTTGTGTAGTGCAAAGTGATTTCTCAAAGAACTTAAAGTAGAACTACCATTTGACCCAGCAATCCCATTATTGGGTACATATCCAAAGGAATGGAAATCCTTGCTTTTTTTTTTTTTTTTCCGGAGGCAGAGTCTCTCTTCTCCAGGCTGGAGTGCAATGGTGTGATCTTGGCTCACTGCAACCTCCACCTCCCATGTTCAAGTGATTCTCCTGCCTCAGCTTCCCAAGTACCTGGGATTACAGGCTCCTGCCACCATGCCTAGCTAATATTTGTATTTTTAATAGAGACGGGGTTTCACTGTGTTGGTCAGGCTGGTCTTGAGCACCTGACCTCAAGTGATCCACCCACCTCTGCCTACCAAACTGCTGGGATTACAGGCATGAGCCCCTGCACCAGGCCAGGAATAGAAATCATTCTGCCTTAAAGGCACATACATGCATATCTTTATCTCAGCATTATTCACAATAGCCAAGACATGGAATCAACCTACATGCACATTAGTGGTAGGCTGAATAAAGAAAATGTAGTACGTAGACACTATGGAATACTGTGCAGCCATAAAATGAATAAGATCGTATCTTTGCAGCAATGTGGATGGAGGTGGAGGCCATTATCCTCTGTGAACTAACACAGGACCAGAAAGCCGAATGCACATGTTCTCACTGAGAAGTAGGAGCTAAACATTGAGAACACATGAACAGAAAGAGGGGAACAATAGACACCAGGGCCTACTTGAGGTTGGAGGGTGGGATGAGGGTGAAGATTAAAAAACTACCTATCAGGTACTGTGCTCCTGGGTGATGAAATAATCTGTACACCAACCTAAAATAAAAGTTTTCATTAAAAAAAAAAAAACAAGAAAACAACAACAGCTGTAGGCAGGTGACCTCTTAGATCTCTGCAAGTGAGCCTCCTAGACTTTGGATGCATCTGTTTACATTTTGTTAATGATGGTTTCACAGAGATAATTTCTTATTCATTAGGGGTCTGCAATGTGGAGCCTTATGTTAGCAAAAGCACTATGTATGTCAACATTGTCAAAGTCCAGGTTCCATTGCAAGGAGTAGATCCCTAGCATCCACATGGCCTTCATCAGTATGTATCGGCTGACCATGGCACTGCCCACATTACAGATATAGAGGTGGAGAGCCTCTTCCCAGTGGCATGGGTCCTGGAAAACTGGCAAGTCATCTTATTTCCACTGTGCTTATGCAGTTCCCCTGAACAATGCCCTGTAATAGACAGCCCAGAGAATCTGAGCTATGTTCCTGTTGTGAACATAGTTGATCACTGTCTGCCACTGAGTACTTGAGCTCCCAGCTCCTGACATTCCATCAGTCAACATTTGCCAAGCCCTCATGGTGCGGGAAAAAAATGTGTCGCATAGACAGGGAAAAGGTCAATGAAAGAGGAAAATGTGGTATATGCTCTTTAATAATTTAATTTGATTACACTTATTTTCCACTGTTAAAAGAAAAGCCTGTGGCTGGAATAAAATTTTGAAGAGAACCACCAACAGTGCAGCATTTAATTGCCCTAGATTTCAATGTTCTTATTTGTAAAAATGGGGACTAGATGATAGTATCAGTTTAAAAACCTCTTTGCTTATTATTTATTTATTTATTTATTGGACATATGATCTCACTCTGTCACCCAGGCTGGAATGCAGTGGTGCATTCAAAGCTCACTGCAGCCTCTAACCCTAGCTCAAGCGATCCTCCCCTTGGAGTCTCCCAAGCTGCTGGAAGTACAGGTGGGCACCACCACATCCAGCTATTTCTTTTTTCTTTTTTTTTTTTTTTTTTTTTTTTTTTTTTTTTGCAAAGAAGGACTCTACTATGTTGCCCAGGCTGGTCTTGAGCTCCTGGGCTCAAGTGGTCCTCCTTCCTTGGCTTCCCAAAGTACTGGAATTAAAGGCATGAGACAGCTCACTGGGCCTGCACTTTTAAAATAATGGGAGATTTTGAAGGTCTGTAACCTTCTTCTGTTTTCCCTCTTCACCGCCTAGTATGGGAATAAGTATGCATGGTTGCAAATTCCTAGTTTGTTTGCTAAGTAGGATACCATATGAGAAGAGAGAGAAGAAGAGTCAGAAGGAAAGACAGAGAGAGAGAGAGAAAGAGAGAAAGAGAGGAGGGAGGGAATGAGAACTATTTCTCTACTACTATTGTCTTTAAAATGTTAAGATATTAGTTGACAAGGTGGCATAAAGAACTAAGTGAAATTAAATATAACGGGCACTGAACATCAATTTGGGGAAAAGGCCAATTCACAACACCTTACTCATAGTGGTGTTTTGGAACATTAATGGATGAATCACCTTAGTTTTCATTCACCCTATACTATGAAATAGGAATTTAAAAAGTTAACTGAAGTTTAGAATTTTCATGAGTATTATGCCTGATTCTAAATACAATCATTCTAAACAACAGAACACATATGATTTTATTTCTTTTCGTCTTAAGGAACTTATCCTACAGGAAAATTTATAGTACTTGCTTCTGCAATATCTTCTGGCAATGTGAGGTGAGCTGAAGTTGTTTTTTAAAATGCATGAATAAATTGTTTTATTAAGGGAAAATATTCTTAATCTTAGATGCAGGCTCATGATTTGCCAACTTCAAATTTCTATTTGGATTTCCTTTTAGGGGAAGATTTAGTGTCAAAATTACCATTTCTGGAGACTGTTCCAAACTTCCATATGTGATTCCTTGATCAGATACTTCCACTCTGAAAAAAACTTCCTTTGATATCAAAATTTTTAAAGAATAAAAAGTTCACTAATTAATTAAATTTTAATTTAAAAATGGTGAGATTCTTGGTTTCTAGAATTTAACTACATAATTTTCAGCATCAAGCATTTTAACAATTTAATATGTTAGAAATAACAGATTTAAATATTTAAAGTTTAGAGGCTTTCTTAAAAATACAACTCATAGACCATAACATTCACCTTTTCAAAGCATAGAGTTTAATGTCTTTTTCTATGTTCAGTTGTGCAGCCATCACCACTATCTAACTTCAGAATATTTTTATAATCACAGAAAAACTCAGTACCCATTAAGTAGTCACTTCCCACACACTCTCCCTCCAGCTCTGACAATCACCAATCTGTTTTCTGACACAATCTTTCAGCTACTATGATAGTCAGTGACAAAAACATTTGAGTTCAAAGACGGTATAATCAAAGACTGGTGGCTTGCTTGGAGAATTGTCTTACTGCTCTGCAGGTGTCTTTGCCAAAAGTATGTTCACTTGATCCTCAATTCATTGCTGATATGATTTGGCTCTGTGTCCCCATCCAATCTCATGTCAAATTGTAATTCTCAGTGTTAAGGGAGGTACCCGGTGGGAGGTGATAGTCATGGGGGCGGACTTTCCTCTTGCTGTTCTCATGATAATGAGTGATTTCTTATGAGACCTGATGGTTTAAAAGTGTGTGGCACTTCCCCCTTGGCTCTCTCTCTCCTGCCTCCATGTGAAGAGCATGCTTGCTTCCCATTAGCCTTCCACCATGATTATAAGTTTCCTGAGGCCTCCTAGTCACGCTTCCTGTTAAGCCCAAGGAACTGTGAGTCAACTAAAGCTCTTTTCTTTATAAATTACCCAGTCTCTGGAGGCTGAGACAGGATAATGGCTTGAACTCAGGAGGCAGAAGTTGCGGTGAGCCGAGATCATGCCACTGCCCTCCAGCCTAGGCAACAGAGCAAGACTCTGTCCCCCCCAAAAAAAAGAAATGAAAGAAAAAATTACCCAGTCTCAGGTAGTCCTTTATAGTACTGTGAGAATGAACCAATACAATTCCCTTTGCTGTACATGCATCCAACATAAACAACCCCATCCCCCACACTTATTTGGGGCATAAAAGCAATTGAATCACTTTTTCCATAGACATTGCTGTTTTTCTTTTGTAAATTCAGGGATTGAGTCCTTGGTTTATGATTGCTGTCATCTGTGTATGAGCTGGACACAAGGTTGAAAGAAGTGACTGAAGATCACTTTACTCACCATCTTAAAAATCCCAGCCTTGCATTGTGGAGCTTGAGGGCCCTGATACAGCATTATTAGTGCTTTGGAAATATAACATGAGTGACCAGCAGCCAGCACAGATTAAAAAAAAATGCCCAGTTGTCCTGTTAATTGCTCAAAATCTGTTATTCAAGCTACACAAAAACACACAGCTAAGAGGTCATAAATAAGTTAATTAGCTTGATTTAGCCACCCCACAATGTATACAAATATCAAAATACCTTGATGAACACAATATATATTTTTTGTCAAATAGTAAATACAATTTTTAAAATCTATTTACTTTAATCTATTTTTATTTTTAAGAAATGGAGTCTGACTATCTTTCCCAGTCTGGATTTGAACTCTTGGCCTCAATTGATCTTCCTACCTTGGCCTAAATGCAGATGTGGTGGTGCATGCCTGTAGTCCCAGGTGTAATTTATTTCAGATCACTCACTATCTTCACTACAATGAAGTATGAATCTACAGGGCACGATTTTATGATTCTAGGGATTAGGACCAAGAGTGTGTTTTTGAATATTTACATAGAGGGGTTGAAAAATGAATCCCCGTAGAAGGTCTTATTATGAAATTGCATTGGAAATGTGAAGAAAATTGAATATGTGAAGTATATTGAATATCAACAAATACATATAATCATGATCCATATTGAAATCTCAAAGACGAATACAGTTTAGGGCAAAAATAGGGACCCTAAACTTAATAACAAAGAGAGGCTATTTTATCCTTCCAAAATGAGAAGACATTAGTGATTAAAGAAAAACCCTGTCAAAAGAACTCCATTAACCATTGTTCTGCTCATTTATTTAGTGCAGGTGAAGGCATTGCTCTCAATGGACTTGGAGTGGCCTTAGAAAGCCACAGGACACAAAAATATAAGTATTAAAAATGATAGATCATTAATTAATAATTGGTAACTTCTACAATATATTTCTTCTACATAAAATTAAGTTTATCAATTAAATTAATAATATATGAACATGTGGATAATTTAACATTAATAACCCAGATTTGAGTCAACCAGGAAAATAAAAGTGGAATTCTGCAGTGTGGTCCTGCATCTTATAAATAAAAGAAACTTTAAGACATACCCACCTCTGCCTCTTTGCTAGCACAATGTGTTCTCTCTTATATTGCCTGAAACAATGCAAAACAGCAAAGATACTTTTTTTAATGACCCAAAACATTACTTTTCCACCTGGAAATTTTGTTTTCCTTTAGAAATTACTTTTTTTTAAAACAAAATCATGAGGCACTCCAGTTAAGAAGCAAAGTGTGTTGTTTTTCTTCCTAGATGGAATGTTTTGTTGTAACTCACAGGAACATATATGGGCAGTACAATCTTTCTCAAGGTAGCTTCTGAAATGCATCACATCTAAACAGACACTGTATTGTGTCTCCTCTACATAAACAAGCCTTTATTAGCCATGATGAAAAAAATCAACATTTTGATTATGTGAACTTTGGTTACACTATTAAAATAATAATAATAATAAAAACTTTAGAAAAATTTAGCAGAGTTTATCTGAGCAGAGTGATTCAAGAGTGGGCAGCACTTGGAAGCAGAGGAGGTTCAGAAAGCAGTGCCAAGCTGTGTAACAAGAGAGGTTTTTTAGACCAAACACAGAAGCAAAGTAGAAAAATCATCTGATTGGCCAAAGCTGGCCATCTCCTTTATTTGGGCGTAATGTGATATGGCATTCACCTTATTTAAGAAGAATCTGATTCATTGGATAGCTATGATTAACTGAAGCTCAACTGTTTGTAATCTGGTGAAACCTTAATGGGTTTTTTTCTGCATATTACATTAGCTCTCTGTTATGCAGAGACTCAAAGTATGAAAGCATGACCACTTCATTTAGTTGTGTTGTTGTTGTTGTTGTTGTTGTTGTTGTTGTTGTTGACACAAAGTCTCGTCTTGTCACCCAGGCTGGAGTGCAATGGTGCGATCTCTCTCTCGGCTCACTCCAACTTCCACTTCCCAGGTTCAAGGGATTCTCCTGCCTCAGCCTCCCAAGTTGCTGGGATTACTACAGGTGTGTGCTACCACACCCAGCTAATTTTTTAAATCTTTAGTAGAGATGGGGTTTTACCATTTTTGCCAGGCTGGTCTCGAACTCTTGACCTCTTGATCTGCCCTCCTTGGCCTCCCAAAATCCTGGGATTACACATGTGAGCCAATGTGCCTGGCCCACCTCATTTAACAAGATTTACAGTCCACCATTGGAGTCAGAATTGTAAAAGTAATGTGTGTGAATCTTTCAAGAGCTGTGGCTTCCTTCAGCATCAAAGTTATTTTGCACTGACGTGTACCCCACCTTTGGAATTTTTGTTTTTGTTTTGAAACAGGGTCTTTCTCAACCCAGGCTGGAGTATAGCAGTGTGATCTCAGCTCACCACAACCTCTGCTTCCCAGGTTCAAGCAATTCTCATGGCTTAGCCTCCCAAGCAGCTGTGGCTTCAGGCATGTGCCACAAAGCCCAGATAATTTTTTATTTTTGGTAAAGACAGGGTTTTGCCATGTTGGCCAGGCTGGTCCTGAACTTCTGGCCTCAAGTAGTCCAGCCACCTTTGCCTCCCATAGTGTTGGGATTATAGGTGTGAGCCACAACGTCCAGCCTGGATTCTTTTGATGAGGTCGGCAAGGGAATGAGGAAAGCTTTCAAATGCTATGAAAACAGCACCGGAAATCCTGTTAATGGCTAATCCTGCATCCTAGAGAAACCCAGTGAATTGTGTGGCTGTTACAAGTATGAGCAGTTATGATTATTTTGAATATACTATTTAATCCTTTTTAAATGTGTGACTTTTGTTGTGTGTGTGTATGTGTCTGTGTGTGTGTGTGCGTCCCAATAATGGACTTTATTAGTGTTCCTCATCCCCTAGACAGATGTTAGCTGTGCAGATATGCTGGCCTAAGGAGGGGGAGGGGAAACATAAGACACATGCATTATAAGTGGAGAGTTTTTTTGGTCCAAGTTTGAAGATTATAACCAGAACCATAGATTCAATGTGCCCAGAACATATGCTCGGATTAACAGCAGGAACAAGTGAGTTTTTAAAGGAACAAAGGAGGCAGTTCCTAAATTGTTTACCAATAATTTACATGAAAATAACATAAAATATTGATTGGCTATAAATTGTTCTTTATATTACAAATTCCAGAGACATGAAGCTAATAGGTGAGGCTGCTAATTAGAAATAAAATGCATTCAAACAATTGCCCCCAGGCATGGGTTTGCCAGGCAGTGAGTGTGGCTGAAATCTCACACACTCTTGTCTCCCTGGGCCTGATAAGTTTTGCATACCTCATATAACTCAGACTTCTCTGGCTGTTTTATTTCTATCATGTGAGAGAAAAATATCTATAAATATAATGTTGTTAACATTCTCTTGAAATTTGAGTAGGACTGGAAAAATCTTTAAAAAAATCATAAACTTCTACCTCAAATTTCCCTCAAAATGTCTTAATGACATCTATGCAAACCTAATTTGGAAAATAAATTGTGAGCAAAAAAAAAAATCACTTTAGAACTTACCAGTTTTAATAGAATTTCAAGAAAACCCAAAAACAAACAAAAATACATGGAGAAAATCTCTTTTTGTAGAAATCACTCAACTGTAATATCCTTGAAGTTCATTTCTTTGCATGGAATAAACTGATAATAAAATTTGTTTAAAATGAGTTGAATGAGCTACTTTAAGAATAATGTTCAATACATTTTGATTTAAATAATAGATTCATCATGGAAAAAGTGTATGTTGATTTAAGCCTTCATTTTCTCATAATAGGAAATTTTATAGCTTTCCACACAGTATGTCGGTTTGAGTTATAACATAGTGGGTCAGAGCAAGATCAACAATTGAGAACCACGTGCACACAATTATGCAAATCCTTTGTCATGTCCCCTACGCTAGGAGTCATTTAATTGTCTTCTTCTTTATATGAAGACTAGTATTTCTGGAATCAGGGAAATGAAGGAAATAGAAATGAATAGAGCTTTATTCAAAGCCAGAAGCGAATGAACACAATCATTAAACAGGACAATATGCAGAATAAAAATAGTAGGAAATTCCCATAAGGAACTAAACACCAAAGAGAGATAAAATCCTTTAAGACTTAGTCTCTTTCTGTTGTAAACCACATGAATGTTCCAAACCAAAACAACTACTTTGGTAAAGTTGGAAGGCAATTTGTATAAAAGGAATAAATTCTTGTTTTATCTCTGATTTAAATTTTTCACCATTTTCATCCTTTATTCTTTTCCTGATTTAAGGCAATTTGTTTTTTCTTTTGGAGACTGAAAATGGACACAAGCTGAACCCTATAAGGAACTTTCATGACTTCTTGTTTGAAATTTATATTCTTTAAATTGTATGTGGGGACTGCATTAAATTTGTAGATTGCTTTTGGCAGTAAGGTCATTTTCACAACATTGATTTTACCCATCCATGAGCCTGGGATGTGTTTCCATTTGTTTGTGTCATCTATGATTTCTTTCAGCAGTATTTTGTAGTTTTCCTTATAGAGGTCTTTCGACTCCTTGGTTAGGTATATTCCTAAGTATTTTATTTTATTTTTTTGCAGCTACTGTAAACAGGGTTGAGTTCTTGATTTGATTATTTGCTTGGTCACTGTTGGTATATAGAAGAGCTACTGATTTGTGTACATTAAACTTGTATCCAGAAACTTTGTTGAATTATTTTATCAGTTACAGAAGCTTTCTAAAGGGGTCCTCAGGGTTTTCAAGGTAAATGATCATATCCTTAGCAAACAGTGACAGTTTGACTTACTCTTTACAGATTTGGATGCCCTTTATTTCTTTCTCTTGTCTAATTGTTCGGGCGGGGACTTCCAGTACTATGTTGAAGAGAAGTGGTGAGAGTGGGCCACCCTTTGATACAGCAGTCCCGCTACTGGGTATCTTCCTAGAGGAAAACAAGTCATTATTCAAAAAAGATACTTGCACACACACTATTATAGTTGCATAATTAACAATAGCAAAATTGTGTATCCAACCCAAATGCCCATCAATCAACAAGTGGATAAAGAAACTGGAATATATATATTCCACTATATATATATATATATATATTCCACTATATATATATATATATATATTCCACTATATATATATATATATATTCCACTATATATAAATATATATATTCCACTAGTGGAATATATTTATATATATATAGTGGAATATATATATATAGTGGAATATATATATATAGTGGAATATATATATATATAGTGGAATATATATATTCCAGTTTCTTTATCCATATATATATAAAATAGTCTCCAATCTCATCCAGGTCACTGCAAATGGTGTTAATTCATTCCTCTCTCTCTCTCTCTCTATATATATATATATATATATAGTGGAATATATATATACATACTATATATAGTGGAATATATATATATATACTGTATATAGTGGAATATATATATATACTGTATATAGTGGAACATATATATACTATAAATATAGTGGAATATATATATACACACACTATATATATATACACTATATATATATACACTATATATATACACT
The DNA here is from genome assembly GCF_000001405.40 of Homo sapiens. NCBI lineage: Eukaryota > Metazoa > Chordata > Mammalia > Primates > Hominidae > Homo > Homo sapiens. Next base: position 17,026,671 of record NC_000024.10, read on the forward strand.
ATATATATATACACTATATATATATACACTATATATATAGTGGAATACTATGTAGCATAAAAAGGAATGAATTAACACCATTTGCAGTGACCTGGATGAGATTGGAGACTATTATTTTTAAGTGATGTGACTCAGAAATGGAAAACCAAACATCTTATGTTCTCACTGGTATATGGGAGCTAAACTATGAGGACACAAAGGTATAAGAATGATCCAGTGGGCTTTGGGGATTTGTGGGGAAGAGTGGGAGGGGGCAAGGGATAATAGACTGCAAATATCGTGTAGTGTATATCGCTTGTGAGATGTGAGCATCAAAATCTCACAGATCACTACTAAAGAACTTACTCATGTAACCAAAAGCCACCTGTACCCCAGTAACTTATGGAAAAAAATTTTAAAAACTTGTATGTAAGAGCGTGATTAAATAATTATGTCTTAGATGTTGTTCATGACATTTTTTCTTTTTTCTTTTACCTTCCTTCCTTTTTTCCTCCTTCCTTTCCCCTTCCTTCCTTTTATTTTTTCTTTTCTAGCTTTCACTGATTGCCACTAGTTCCTGGTGTTCCTGGATTTGCAGCTGAATAACTCCTATTGCTGGCTGCATCTTCACATGGACTTTTTCTTTATCGTTTGCCTCTATCTCCATGTTTCCTTTCTTCTTAGAAGGACAGCATCATTGGCTTTATAACCAACCCTAATGAGGGATAACCGTATTGTAACTTGACTGACATTGGAATAACTTGTGTGGGTCAGAGTCCTATGAATAGGTGGAGTAACTTAGATTCCAAGACTGGATTCTAAACCTCGTCTTGATCACTGTCTGATACTGGGGAATTTTCTCATCCAAACTTCATTTTTCTTATTTATCAAAGCATTGGTGTCAGCAATTCTCATTTCAATATATCCATGTAAAAGTTAAATGAAACTGTGTAACATGAGGTTGTTGGAATGCCTTGGTCAGATCCTATATAAGATTCAAACATCACCAGATAAGCACCACAGAATAAACAGAGCATGCCTATTTTCTAACTCACCCTGAATCAAAAGTTTCAAATATTTTTTCCCAAAAACTAAAAGTGTTGTTCTAAAGGACAAAACAGGATAATGACAGAATTCCTGGGAAAATTTGTTTCTTGAAGAATTAGCTTACTTGTTAAATTACAGCGAAGCTAGAAAGTGGCGTAAAATTCAGTACTTCCACTAATATGCACACATTGAGCCCATGTTCAATTACATGCCATTATTGAACCAGCTCCAGTTATATAAAGCAAAGGGGCCTTTCTGGACATTCAACATCCGCCATCTTTTTTTGCACAGGGAACAGATTAAAAGAAATGAGAACACTTCTTGTTTGAGGCATTTTCCTTGCTGGTCCCATGGAGTTTGGCTGTGGGGTCCCAGCTCATTCTTTTGTTTTCCTCTTCTCTCTGTGTGAATGATGCTTTCTGCAGGGCCTATGTTTGTTCAGATATTTCTATGATGACCAACTCATCCAAGTTTGGTCAGGAACTTTCTTGTTCTACCTCTGAAAGTCCTGCACCCAGGAACTCACTCTGTCATAAGCAAACTGGCATGATTGTCATAGCCACCACAGGGTTTGACTGACTCTATCCTTTGTCAGAGGTAAACAGAATTGAGGTGAGGTCCAAATGCTGTACCTTGTCTTGTACAGGAGAATAAAGTTACAACAAAAATCTTTTTTCTTCTATCACTTTTTATATTGCCTCATGTAAGATGAGACTCATCTCTTATTTGGCAGATTGTAAATTATGCATGTAGCACAATCTCTACCTACCTATGTAGCCAGTTTCCTAGCTGGCTACCTACCTATATACTTACAAACTTATCTATTTACTTAACTACCTACCTATCCACCTATCTATTTGTCTACTACCTACTAAATATGGCCTAAGTACCTATGTACCTATCTATATTTCTTTCTATTTACCTACCTACCTACATATCTGCCCATCTATTTAGCTACCTACCCATCTACCTACCTCTGTACCTCTCTATTTACCTGTCTACCACTTACTAAATATGACCTAAATACCTCTTGATTACAGATATTATATATCTTCTTACCTAATAGCATACCTAGCTGTCTACCTATCTACATATCTACATATTTACTTAGCTACCTACCTTCTCACCTACTTACTAACCAAGCTACCTATATTCTCACTACGTACCTACCTACCTGCCTGTCTACTACATACTAAATATGACCTAAGTACCTATCTATATAGCCTTTCTATCTACTAAGCTACCTATCTATATAGCTGGTTAGCTAGCTACATACCAACTTATACCTACATACTTATCTACTTATCTATGTACCTATCAACTTATGAATATACCTACCTATCTACCCTACCTACCTATCTGCCTATGAAATATGACCTAAGTACTTATCTGTATACCTTTATACCTACTAAACTACCTATCTACCTAGCTAATTAGCTACCTATCAATGTATACTTATCTACTTATCTACTTAAGTATCTACTAGTTATGAATATACTTACCTAACTATCCACTTATCTACCCCACCTACCAGTATACCTGTTTACTACCTATTAAATATGACCTAAGCACCTATTTATTTATCTTTCTACCTACTAACCTACCTACCTACCAAGCTACCTACTAAACTACCTATTTATCTACCTACTTACCGAACAATCCACCTACCTACATGCCTACCTGTCTAAGTACTGTGTTTGCTAACTATTAAATATGACCTAAAAACCTATCTATATACCTTTCAACCTACTTACCTACCTATCCACCTACCTATATAAACCCACTACCTATCTACATACCTATGGGAAACCTAGATCCCAAGAAAAAAGTCAGTTTTGGAAATCAAATCCCAGACCCTGTTATTATATTGTCAGGTTAAGATGTAGTTATCCTTTCTTTTTCATTAACTCCTCTGTGGCAACACTTGCATACTGTCACCCACATTTCTGGTCAAGTGTATACCTGACTTGGGAATTGACGGTTGGAGGGAAACTTAGCCACTGTCATTGGCCTGAATCCCCCAATATCTTGGTCCTTGCATCACCCATTGTTCAGCCATTTGTGCCTAGTCTTGGCTGCCCTCAATGGGCAACAGTCAACATTACAGGGCTCTGATAATAAACACCTCAACAGTTTCCTCGATGTCCTTTGTAAAATGCATACTCACTTACACCATGCTTCACACATTGATTTGAAAAAAGAGATTCAGTACCTGATTTAAATATACCACCAATTTAGTAAACTACATGATGCAAAGCATTGAGTTGTCAAATCATACCCTCTGGAGTCAACCGGGCCAGGCTTTAATGAGAATGTCACAGGAATGAGTCATTTTGCAACACAGTAAAGAAGGGAGTTTCTTTTCTTCCATCACCACTACTCAAGTTTCCTCTTTGCACATTGTATGTTTCTAGCCAGGTTGATGGATGAGGTTTCTAACAAAGACCAATGACCCCTTTACCATCAAAAAATAAAAATTTGGGGTCAGAAAATATATTTTTTTCTTTACTCAGTTGCACAGCTTAGTTAAATGTGTCCAGGGAGCTATTTCACATAAATCCATAGATGCCATGTTTCTTTGCCGTAAAAGGTTCCTAAACAACTAGGTACATCATGCTGAAACAGACCATAGATAAGGATTATTTTGCTAGCAAAAACCATTTGGTTGGTTCACTATAAGGTCTGCAAGGAGGATAATTAGAATAAAATGAGCCTGAATCTCTTGTGCTAACTCCCACACCAAAGGAAATAAATGGGTAGAAAGCCTGTTACTTTAATTGTTGGCTTCCCAGTGAAGAAACCTAAAGATTTTTATTGATATTAATATACACAGGCACTATCCCAACATTCTCTCTCTCTCCCTTAACTTAGTTAGCTTTAAGCCTTCCAAGTCTATAAAAGTACACTTTAAGTTAGTTAAAGTGTAGAATTTGAAGAGTTGATAAAGACATCTCTAAAGATGACCAGGAGTGAATTAATCACATTAATTCCATTCTGCTCAAAACATATTACAATGAGGAAAAGCATGAAAGAAAATATCAGAGCAAAAAGAAAAAAAGGATAATTACATGACTTTGCTATAGAGTCCTACTCCTCTTTTCATTATATCTCTTTTCTACATCCACCTTGGCAATCTACTGGTACCTCTATGTTCAGATCCAAAATTATGACCTGCCCCTGGGATTCCCTCTCTTGCTCTTGGTCCCACTTACATGTTCCAATGTCTTACATAGCATTACCAAAAACAAGCACAAATCCTTAGAGATCCTTGATTTTTTTTCTTCTTATTAATGGGTCAGCGAATGTCTGTAGAATCCAAGTCTTGCACTATATTGATTCAATCATTTTCTTTCATTGATTTTTTTCTGTAAGAGTCACAAACTTCAGCTTCCTGAGTCCCAAGAATTTGAAGATACATTCTGGAGTGTTTCCCAATGTAATTTGTTAGTAGCTGCTGCACATTATGTTTATTGTTTTAGTTTGAGTAGACCCTTCTGTCAGGGAAGGTCTGTCCAGTGCATGAAGGAAGGACTATCTGGGTTGCGGGAATTTTTTTTTTTTTTTTTGAGACAGAGACTCACTCTGTCACCCAGGCTGGAGGGCAGTGGCATGATCTTGGCTCACTGAAAGCTCTGCCTCCAGGATTCACACCATTCTCCCTTCTCAGCCTCCTGAGTAGTTGGAACTATGGGCATCCGCCACTATGCCTGGCTAATTTTTTGTATTTTTACTAGAGAGGGGTTTTCACCACATTAGCAAGGATAGTCTTGATCTCTTGACCTCGTAATCCACCTGCCTTGGCCTCCCAATGTGCTGGGATTACAGGCTTGAGCCACCACACATAGCCTGGGTTGCTGTTTTATTTGCAATTGCAGATGGCTTTCTCCTCAACTTCCATCTAGGGTGCCTTCTCTAGAGCCCATGATAAATTATGTTGTCATACATTTTATTAATTAAAAAAATTAAAATTATCTCAGACCTCATGGGATTCCCTTACCTAACACACATTCCCTTACCTCCCTAAGTTCTAATTTCTGGAAGCCTCCACTTGCCTCTGGTACTCATAATTTTTTATTATACTTTAAGTTTTAGGGTACATGTTCACAATGTGCAGGTTTGTTACATATGTATACATGTGCCATGTTGGTGTGCTGCACCCATTTTAGCAAAATTATTTTTACGCTAAACACTTTTGGAACATTTCCTTTACTTTATTTTTCTTATTGAAAGCTTGGCCCTTCCTTGGGAAGTAGCAATTCATTGGCAGCACCTTTCAATAGAGACAGTTCTCTTTTTCAGTTTTCTCATCCCCAGGGCTAGAGGCGGCATGATCTCCTTTTGCCTGATGACAGCTTCCTGCAGAATCTCCTTTTTTAAAAAGGCCAGCTTTGGAGCTTATATTATTGGTCATGTTGGCTATGTCACTTTCCCCCTCCCTCCTAAGGGACAACCATGGAGGAATCCATTGTTTGCTGAAAATTTTAGCATGGGATTCACAGACACTACTTTTGTTTTAGTAAGTGAATATTTTAAAATTAATGGAGTTTCAACCTCAGGTACATATTGACATCTTGGAGGAGATTTGAAAATTATAAAGCCTACAAAATAATAAAGCCTCTGTCCTCAGAGAGTTTCAGATTCTGTGACTTGGACTCTGCTTTCAGAAGTTCCCCAACTGAGCATAATGCATAGCCAGGATTGAAAACCACACACATAAATGGTCTTTTCAATACCTTGGTTATTTCAGTTTCTTGATCTCTTGCATGGTTTTCCTTGTTGCTAATTCTGACATGCATTCTTATATTCTCAACCTTCTCATTACTCACAACCAAAAAGCATAGACAATCTTTCCAGTGCATTCATATTTCCATTTCTTTATGTCTTCTCTTGCATATTTTTTATTTTTCCTGACTCTGGAATGCATGCCCATAATCTCCACATTCTCATTACTCATAACTCTGACATCAGTTTTAAAGATTTACATCCTCTAATTACCATTTATCACTTTTTCTTTTCTGTTCCTCATGCTGACAGTCTTCAGTTCTGCTAGGACTGAAACTTACTGTTTTTGGTTTGATTTTTACCATTGCATTGCTATTTGTTGCCCCGTTCCTGTTCTTATGGCTACTCTTATTTACCTTCAATGATGTGTGCCACCATGATATTCCTTGTTTGCCTTCACCTATAACTCCATTTACTCTCTGGAAAGGAACCTCATTTGAAAACATGAAAAAAAAATATGATGACAGATTGGTATTTTGTTATATAGAATAGACAAGGTGATAACTGCAGTAAGAAAATCATATACTAATTCAGAGTCCCTTAAGATAGCAAGGGTTTGTTTCTAACTCTTGACAACTGTTCAGAAAAGTTATTTCCCATGCAGATGGCTCTGTTCCTAATTTGTAGCTCAACAATCTGGAAAAGGTGGCCTCCTTAGTGTATACAGGAAAGGAAGGAAAACTGGATAACTCCACATAGAATTGTTTGTGTGTATTTCATTAGTGAGAAATAGGTGTATCATCTCACTGAATAGCCAGGAGCCTGAGATGCAGTCTCTTCAAGGCTGGAAGGGATGACAATCATTTACTGATGAATACTAGTAATTGTGGGGGATTTTGGGGGGTTTACAGATCATATTATTTATTTTTTCAACTATCTTACTTTATTCCAGATTACGGGTAACAGGCAATAACAATATATTATTAGGTAACACAGTGAATTGACTCCTCTGCTAATCCCTTGATTTAAAAAAAAATTTTCAAAAGTTTTGAAGGGAAAGGTGGTATTTGCTGCACAGAAAAGTTCTTCAGTGGTGATTTCCAAGATTTTTGCTGCACCCATCCACCGAGTAGTGTACACTTTACCCAATGTGTGGTCTTTTACTCTCACCCCCACTTCCACCCTTCCCCCCAAGTCCCCACAGTCCCTTATACCATCCTTATGCCTTTGTGTCCTCATAGCTTAGCTCCCACTTATAAGAGAGAACATGTAATATTAGGTTTTTTATTTCTGAGTTACTTTGCTTAGAATAATGGTCTCCAACCCCAACCAGGTTGCTGTGAATGCCATTATTTTTTTCCTTTTTATGGCTCAATAGTAAGTTAGTGTATATATATATTACATTTTCTTTATTCACTTGTTGGTTGATGGGCATTTAGTCTAAATACTTATTTTAGCAATTGAAAATTTTACTGTTGTAAACATGCTTGTGCAAGTGTCTTTTTTATATAGACACTGACTTAACTTTTCTTTGGGTAGATATCCACTAGTGGGATTGGTGAATCAAATGGTAGTTGTGATGGTTAATATTGAGTTCAACTTGATTGGATTGAAGAATGCAAGGTATTGTTCCTGAGTGTGTCTGTGAGGATATTGACAAAGGAGATTAACATTTGAATTGGTGGACTGGCAGAGGCAGATCACCATTATTCTTGGTAGCCACCATCTAGTCAGCTGCCAGTGCAGCTAGGATAAAAGCAGGCAGAGGAAGGTGGAAGAACTAGACTGGCTGAGTTTTCTGGCCTCCATCTTTCTCCCATGCTGGATGCTTCATGGCCTCAAACATCAGGCTACAAGCTTTTGGACTTTTGAACTTACACCAGTGGTTTGCCAGGGGCTCTCAGGCCCTTGGCCACAGACCGAAGGCTGCACTGTTGGCTTCCCTACTTTTGAGATTTTTGGGATTCAGAATGGCTTCTTTGCTCCTCCGCTTGCAGATGGCTTATTGTGGGATTTCACCTTGTGATTATGTGATTCAATACTCCTTAATAAACTCCCTTTAATATTTATATCTATCCTATTACTCCTATCCCTCTAGGGAACCCTGACTAATACAGTAGTTCTTCTAGTTCTTTAAGGAATCTCTGTACTGTTTTCCACAGTGGTTGTACTAGTTTACATTCCTGCCAGTAGTATAAAAGTGTCCACTTTTCACCACATCCAGGCCAACATCTGTTATTTGTTCAGTAAGACTGAGCACATTTTCTTTTCTTTTTTTTTTTTTTTTTTTTTTTTTTTTGAGGCGGAGTCTGGCTCTCGCCCAGGCTGGAGTGCAGTGGCGCGATCTCAGCTCACTGCAAGCTCTGCCTCCCAGGTTCACGCCATTCTCCTGCCTCAGCCTCCCAAGTAGCTGGGACTACAGGCGCCGGCTACCTTGCCTGGCTAATTTTTTTGTATTTTTAGTAGAGACGGGGTTTCACCATGTTAGCCAGGATGGTCTCAATCTCCTGACCTCGTGATCCACCTGCCTCGGCCTCCCAAAGCCCATTTTCTTGATCAGCAATTGAAGGTCAGAGTTGTAATCTAATTTATTCAAACTTCACTACCATTAAGAATGATAAGATGTCAATAACGATTTGCCTATAAGTTACACCATGAGTTCTACTCCTATAGCAGAACAATTAAGCCCAGAACAGAATGTCACACCTGGATTAGAGGTGTGATTTGAAGACCAGTGTCATGTTTCTTCTTTGTGCATTCATTTGTGATAGACACCTTAATTTTTAGTATCTTCAGAATGAGCTCCATTTTGGTTCCCAAAGCTCCTGGTTGTTTCATCCTAAACAAGTTCACATATTTGAGTTGTCTTCCTGACCAAGAAAGCCATCTGAGCTTGTGGTTCTACCTTTTAACCTCTATAAGGCACAATAACCTGAGATGCAATAACCCAAGGCAAGTTTATTTTGGTGGAATATCAATCCTATCTGCTAACTAGCTTTAAAACAAATACCTCTACAATTAATTTGTTTAATCTGTTGCCAACCAGCTGAAAAAGTACAATAAAAACTGATTACTTGTTTTATTTCTTGAGACCTTGATGCTGCAAATATTAGACCAGCCATGGCACACAAGCCTTGAATAAACCAGTTGAAAAAAATTTCATTTAAATGACCAGCATCCTCCTCACTTTGTCTCCTGATCTTAGTGAACTGATGTTATCCTTTCCAATAAATAATATTTCAGGATTATGAGTGCTTTATTGTGTTGATCTCTTCCCTCCAAGGAGTAGAGTGGACATCAGGGATCATCTACTTAATACTGGAACTTGACTCTGTCTGATTTAGCTTCCAGCTTCAGAAGCATTTTGGTTTTAATTGTGTTTACCTTTTAATGACTACAGTCAAAGATCAGCAATAATAAATATTCATCTACCACTGCATCTGAGGGAGAGGTGCTCCAAAAATCAACTGCAGTAAGTTAAAACATCATCAGTCGCATTAAATATCACTATTTATACAATTCTTCTCCTTGTACTCTTGTCTCAGGAAATTGTTTGGAAATGCAAATTCAGACTTTAAGGTCACAGTCAGGGATATTCTGTAACTCTGGATTGAATGAATATTTCAGACATCCATACCTAGTACCCAAAATATTCTGTTTCATGAAACTTTGGCAAATAACTGAGGCAGGGAGGAGTATGGGGGTTAATGTATATTGATTAGGAAACAGCAGGTCATCAAACTTCTTTTCCCAGCATTTTGAACAAGATTTTGAACTGTTCCTACCCTGCTTACACCAGAATAAAAATTTCCATGACTTTACTGATGTGTGGATTCTTTTTACTGGCTACATGATCACAGTAAGTTCACAACCCCAATGCCTCCCTTTCCTTACCTGTTAACAGGATCACAGTGCATCCATCATGAGGCTACAATTAGGTAATACAAGCAGAGAGGGTGGCAGAAATCCTGTAAAGAGAAATACCCCCCAAAGACATTGGCTGTTACGATTAATCCATTCTGCCTGCAGTACTGTTCTAAGAAGTCACAGAACAAAATCAGCTACCCAGATTCACAAGTAATTCCATCTGATCATGCACATCTAACCATTTCAAAAACATGGAAACAAAAGTTACCAGTTGATGGAATGTGCTGAATACAGGAAAATAGTGTTCCATCTGCTGATTTATTGACCTTCCAGTTGAACAGAAATAGTGAATCCCTGTATAGAGTTAAAATTCTTTTCACATACAAACTTCCATCCATTAAGTGTGGTTGAACCTCAAACAACATGTTGGATATTGATTCCTGAATAGAAACTCTAAATATAATGCTTAATGCTTGTAGGATTTACTGTGAATATATTTACATGTTCTTACAGGAGTTAAATGTCAGGATTTAAAGGTTATGCCAATGGATTGTCCACATGGATTCCAAAATTGATTCTTACTAATCTCTTTCTTCATTTTTCAGTCAGAAAATATGATTTAATTCACGAGCATGATGTTGTAATCAAGACCACATTAGAATCCCAGGGTTAGCTCTTACCCTGTTTGTCACCATGGGCAAACCAAGATGTCCAAGATCTCTCATCTGAAAGGTGAAAATAAAAAATATGTCCTACATAGCTCTTTCAGTTATTATGAATATAAAATGACTGATTGCGTATGTGATGGCTTTATAAATTATAAAGTGCTATGATATGTAAGACTCTTGAATTGACTCCAAAATGTATGAGTGGAGCATGTCTTCTCTTTTCTCCTAATTTATTTGGATTTCCTTGTCCATTATCCCTGGACTGTTTGCTCCTCAACTTTTTAGGCTACCAAAAGAAAGTCCTAAAGTTGGTAGAACTAGCTTTTCCTAACTTGTCCCTGGAGGTGCTGGAGAAAAGCAGCATGGCAAATGGTGGTAACCTTAAGTTATGACAATGACCCCTAAGGTAGACTGTGGTACTGCCCAGAAGTCCTACTATATTATCTTTCTTAATTTAGTCTCCCAATCCCATGCAAGCCAACTTTGCATTTTGTCCTTTCTGCTTAAACTTCTAAAGCCTGTTTGTGCTCTTCAAACTTGGCTAATGACCTCGTTTTGGGTTTCTCTAAGAAAAAAAAAGCATATTAGAGGGAATTTGCTCATTGTATTTGTCCATTCTCACACTATACCTGAGACTGGGTAATTTATAAAGAAAATAGGTTTAATCAGCTTGTGGTTCTGTGGACTGTACAGGCTTTTTCTTCTGGGGGAGGCCTCAGGAAACTTACAGTCATGGTGGAAGGCAAAGGGGAAGTAAGAATGTCTTTACATGGCTGGCAGGAGAGACAGAGAAAAGTGTGACACTTTCAAACAACCAGGTCTTGTGAGAACTTACTTATGAGACACCACTAGGAGGATTGTCCTAAACCATTAAAAATTACCCTTATATCCAATCTCCTCCCATCAGGCCCCACCTCCAAAGTTGGGAACTACAGTTGAACATGAGATTGGGGTGGGGACACAGAAACAAACCATATCATCTGTGGTATCACATCTATAGGTATTCTTCTTGAGGAAATAGTTAATGTGGTAGGTCTATTTTACTTAATTCTAGCTTATCTCTGCAGCCTTGACAATGACCCTTGATCAAACTGTGAGAACAACACTAGTGAAACATTCAGATATGTATTTTATGTATTAGTCAGGGGTCTCTAGAGAAACAAAAACATATAAGATATATACAGTGATATATAGAAAGATATTTATTATGGGGAATTGACTTACATTACTATAGAGGCTGAGACATCCCACAATCTGCCTTCTGCAATTTGCAAGCCCAAGAATGCTTGTGGTGTAGTTACAGTCTAAATGAAATGACTGAGCACAGAAGACAGATGTCCCACATACAGAAGAGAGAGTAAATTTGCTCTTAACCTTTAATTTTAATTCTTTTATTCAGTTCAGGAATTCAAGGGATTGGATAATGCCAACGTACATTGGTGAGAGCAATCTTCTTTATTCAGTCTACTGACTCAAATGTTAATCTCCTCTGGAAACACCATCACTAACATATACAGAAATAATGTGTTTCTCACTATTTGGGCATCCCTTAGCTCAGACAAACTGACAAAAAAAAATTGTCTATGCCACTAGGAAAATATGTTGTTCTGTATACCCAAGCAGTGGGTCAAGATGAACTGGTCTGTCAACCTTATTTGCTGTAAATATGATGATTCATGATGTGAGCCTTTTGTGGTTTTTGGGCTCAGCACCATGGCTAGTCATCTAAGAATATATACGTATTTGAGTAGCCTTCTTTTATAACTCTGAACCCTGGGACTTGAGTTAGATTCCCTGTGTAGAAATCTTGCATGCGTCTTTAAGGTTTATGCTGGAGAGTGTGACCATCACAGAAAAGGAGAAGGAAGTTTCAGAAAATTATGTGATTTTCCCAGCCTTTGTCTAGGAATGTATTTTTCCTGTTGTTCCTTTCTGAAATATCCACTCCACTTGGACACTCGTGCTTATATCCTCTCATCTACACAAGGATGATTCATCTATTATATCCTCTCTCTTTTCTCCATGGATAACCTTTTCCATCATCAATACTTGTTTTGTTTCAGAGACAGGGCCTCACTGTGTCACCTGGGCTGGAGTGCAGTGAGGCAATCACAGTTCACTGCAGCCTCAAACTCTTAGGCTCCAACCATCCTCATTCCTAAGCCTTCCAAGTAGCTGATACTATAGGTGAGCACCACCATGACCAGCTAATTTGTTTATTTTTATTTTTGTAGAGATGGAATCTCACCAAGTTGTCCGGTCTGGTTTTGAAATCGTGGCCTTAGCCAATCTTCCTACCTCTGCTTCCCAAAGTGTTAGGAATATAGGCATGAGCCATTGTGCCTGGCCATTCCTTCATAAATCTTTAAGTTGATCATTCCATCAATTCAAAACACGCTGAAATATAAGCTACCTTAAAACAAACACACACACAAACCATCTAGACTTGGCAAAACTCAGATACTTACTTCAGTAATGCCAAGTGTCTCCAGTTATACTCACCATCTTTAATTCATTTCCTGATATTCTTTGAGAAGCTACTCCAATAAGATTTTCCTTATTGTTGTGCAGACACTACTATAGCCTAGGCCACTAGTGCCTCTTTGGTGACATTTCCAGCAGTCATTTGTATAATTTCAACATACTAGTTCTACCAGCTTCATTTGAAGTAGGTGATGATTTCCTTACTTTTTCTCTGACATGATGCCATTTCTTGGACTTCCTTTTAGAACAATGGCAACTTCTTTCTCTGTATTTTTGATATTTTTCTGTATTTCCCTTATACTCTAAAATTTTGAGAGTTCCAGAGCTCAGTTTTAGAGTGAGCTTATATTTTGTACATTAACTCTGTATTTGATATCATCCTGTTCTACAGGGTTAAATAGCTTTCATTTCTTGATAATGCCTACATTTATATCTGGACCAATGACTTTTTTTCTTCTCCCAGAATCTTGGAAGAAAACTCCAAAATTTTATATCCCACCACGAATTTGCACTCACAACAAGATGCATTATTGACATCTCCAGATGTTTTAAATATCTTTCTTTCCATTTATTGAGGCAATTATTTATTTATTTATTATTGATACATAATAGTTGTGTATATTTTGGGAGTGCATATAATATTTTGATACAGATATACAATGTTCAATGATCCAAACAGGGTAATCGAGGTAACCATCACCTCAAACACGTATTATTTTGTTTTGCTTAGTATATTTTAAATCTAGCTATTTTGAAATATATTGTAAATTCTTGATAACTTTCATCCCCCTACTGTGCTACAGAACAATAGAACTTATTTTTTTCTAGCATATTGCATTTTTATTTTATTTTATTTGAGAAGGTGATTTACCCTGTCACCCAGGCTAGATTGCAGTGCCACAATTATAGTTCATTGCAGCCTCAGCCTCCTGGGCTCAAGCGATCCTACCCCTCATTCATCCTTCCAAGTAGCTGGGATGATAGACATCCACAACCATCCTGGCCAAACATTTTAAAAAATTTTTGTAGAGACAGAGTCTTCCTGTGTTGCCTAGTCTGATCTCAAACCCTTGGACTCAACAATTGTCCCATTTCAGCCTCCTAAAGTGCTGGGTTGACACATAAATCACCTCACCTGGCTCTTAACTGTATTTTTGTGCTCATTTTATCAAGGTCTTTTAAAATTTCTCTAAACAATATAGTTTTCTGGATAAGATACTTCACATCTGTCATTCTATTAGTTCCTAGGTCCTTGATGTTTTTAAGACATTGGAAGCATCCCCTTATAAAATTAATTTTGCTATTTGTTCCTGACTGTGTTAATATCAGCAGGTGCATAGTGGGAATCAGCTGAGCTGTTTTGCTGGAATAGGAGGCATAGCTTCATGGCATTGATCCCTGATTGAACATCTCTGGATTAACTTGTTAAAAATACTGTCTTGAGCACTACCTCCCACCTGAGTTTGTCCCTGAAATATTTCCCACTTACACAAAAAAGTTATACCATTACTCTAACAGTTCTCTAACAGTTGCATAGCCTAATTTTCTTTTTAGATGAAGTCACGATCTGTCACCCAGGCTGCAGTGCAATGGCGCAATCTCAGCTCACTGTAGCCTCCACCCCCCAGTTTCCAGTGATTCTCCTGCCTCAGCCTCCCGAGTAGCAGAGACTACAACATGCATCACCACATCTAGCTAATTTTTGTATTTTTAGTACAGACAGCATTTCACCATGCTGGCCAGGATGGGGCTAAGAATCTTAAAATATTTCTGTTGCCCTTTTGTGAACAGCCCACACTTAAATCTACTAACTTCCTCTATGTACTAGCCTTACAAAATATATCCAGAACAAATACTTTCCCGTGCCACAATGTTGTCCTTTTTCATACCTCATCCTCTTTTTCACTGCCAGTTATGATAACCTCATATCAGTCTTCTTTCTGTTATCCCGTGTCCTCCTTCAGTCTGTAGTTGATTTTTTAAAAACTGAGTAAAAGAACATCTCTAATTTTCTCAAAACTCTCCAAGGATTCCCATCTCAACGGAGTAAAAGCAAGTCCTTAGAAGGCCTATGAAATCCTCACCCACCTCTCCTCCCATTCTCTCCAATTTCTTTTTGTCACCTCCATTTTCTGTGTTCCAACCACTCTTCTGCACCCATATCCTCAAACATCTCAATCCCACTGCTATATTAGGAGATTTTTCTTGCCATTGTTTTCCTTCTTTCTTGTTTGCTTTTCCCAGCAGCTATCAACTTCATATGCTTTCTCACTTCCTTCAAAATATAATATTTTCAGAGAGGTATTCCTAAACCAGTTTCTACAAAAACAATCTCCGTGAGTTGCTATTCTTAATATTGCTGTTCTTCTTTCCGGTTATTACCGTTACCTGACGAAAAATATATCCATTTGTTCATTACTATTCTTATCCTACTAGAATATCAGTTTCATAAAAGATGAGTTTTATTTGTTTTGTATGATATTGTATCTCAAATGCTTAGAAGAGTACTCAGCCTATAGAATAGTATTGTGTTTTGTACAAAAGTAATTGCAGTTTTTATTGCAAAAATATGGAACCAACCCAAATGCCCATCAATCAATGAGTGGACTCTGGTGTGTGTCTGTGTGTGTGTCTGTGTGTATACACACACACTCTGTGGTGTATAAGTGGGTGTGTATATATATATACACACACACATATATATTCACACACATACATACAGTGAAATAAATACAGTGAAATACTACTCAGCCATAAAAAGCACTAAATTAATGGCATTTGCAGCTACCTGGATAGAACGGGAGACTATTCTAAGTAGCTCAGGAAAGGAAGACCAAACATCATATATTCTCACATATAAGCAGGAGCTAAGCTTTGAGGAGGCAAAGACATTAGAATGATAGAATGGACTTTGGGGACTTGGGGGAAATAGTGGGAGCGGGTGAGGGATTAAAAAAACCTACAAATTAGGTTCAGCACAAGGGAGAAACAGGAACTGTGTCCTGTACAGGGCATGCAGGAGGTGTGTCACACACAAGAGAGGAACAGAAGCTATGCGCTGCACAGGGGAGAAACAGGAAGTACGTCATGCAAAGGGGAGGTATAGAAATATGTGTGTCCTGCACATGGGAGACACAGGAAATGTGTCAAGCACAGGGGCCACACAGGAAGTGTGTCCTGCAAAGAGGAGGAACAGAAAGCGTGGCCTGCAGTATGACCTGAACAATAGAAGAACAGAAAGTGTGTCCTGCACAAAGGAGACACAGGAAGTGTATGCTGCACAGAAGACAAACAGGAAGTGTATCTGTCTCAGGAGGGTAACAAGAAGTGTTTCCTGCACAAAGAAGAAACAAAGTGTGTCCTGCACAGGGGAGACACAGGAAGTGTGTCCTGCACAGGGGAGAAATAGAAAGTATATCATGCAGACAGAAGAAACAAGAAGTGTGCCTTTCAGAGAAAAGACACAGAAAGTGTGTCATGCACATGATAAGAGGTGACAGCGTGCTGGCAGTCCTCAGAACCCTCGCTTGCTCTGGGCACCTCCTCTGCCTGGGCTCCCACTTTGGCGGCACTTGAGGAGCCCTTCAACCCACCACTGCACTGTGGGAGCCCCTTTCTGAGCTGGCCAAGGCTGGAGCCCACTCCCTCAGCTTGCAGGAAGGTGTGGAGGGAGAGGCGCGAGAGGGAACCGGGGCTGCGTGCAGCGCTTGCGGGCCAGCTGGAGTTCCGGGTGGGCGTGGGCTTGGCGGGCCCGCACTCGGAGCAGTCGGCCAGCCCTGCTGGCCCCAGGCAATAAGGGACTTAGCACCCGGGCCAGCAGCTGCGGAGGGTGTACTGGGTCCCAGTGGCAGGTGGGTGCCAGCCCACCGGCGCTGCGCTAGATTTCTCACAGAGCCTTAGCTGCCTTCCCGCCCGGCAGGGCTCGGGACCTGCAGCCCGCCATACCTGAGCCTCCCACCCACTCCGTGGGTTCCTGTGGAGCCGGAGCCTCCCCAACGAGCGCCACCCCCTGCTCCATGGCACCCAGTCCCATCGACCACCCAAGGGCTGAGGAGTGCGGGCGCACGGCACCGGGACTGGCAGGCAGCTCCACCTGCAGCCCCGGTGAGGGATCCACTGGGTGAAGCCAGCTGGGCTCCTGAGTCTGGTGGGGCCTTGGAGGACCTTTATGTCTAGCTCAGGGATTGTAAACACACCAATCAGCACCCTGTGCATAGCTCAAGGTTTGTGAGTGCACCAATTGACACTCTGTATCTAGCTGCTCTGGTGGGGCCTTGGAGAACCTGTGTGTCAAAACTGTATCTAACTAATCTGATGGGGACGTGGAGAACCTTTGTATCTAGCTCAGGGATTGTAAACGGGCCAATCAGCGCCCTGTCAAAACAGGCCACTCGGCTCTACCAATCAGCAGGATGTGGGTGGGGCCAGATAAGAGAATAAAAGCAGGCTGCCGGAGCCAGCAGTGGCAACCCCTGGGGTCCCCTTCCACAGTGTGGAAGCTTTGTTGTTTCCCTCTTTGCAATAAGTCTTGCTACTGCTCACTCTTTGGGTCCCCGCTGCTATTATGAGCTGTAACACTCACTGCGAAGATTTGCAGCTTCACTTCTGAGCCCACCGAGACAACAAGCCCACCCGGAGGAACGAACAACTCCAGACGCTCTGCCTTAAGGGCTGTAACACTCACCGCGAAGGTCTGCAGCTTCACTCCTGAGTCAGCGAGACCACGAACCCACCAGAAGGAAGAAACTCCGAACACATCTGAACATCAGAAGGGACAGACTCCAGACACGCCACCTTAAGAGCTGTAACACTCACCGCGAGGATCCGCGGCTTCGTTCTTGAAGTCAGTGAGACCAAGAACCCACCAATTCTGGACACAATGAGAGTAATAGAAAACGTGTCATGCACAGAGGAGGAATGGAAAGTGTGTGCTACACAGGGGAGAAGCATGGAGTGTGCCCTCTACAGGGAGAAACAGGAAGTGTGTCATGTACAGAGGAGAAACAAAAAGTATGTGCTACACTGAGAGAAAAACAGAAATAGTGTCATTCACAAGGGAGAAAGAGGAAGTGAGTCATGCAGATGGGACTAACAGAAAATGTGTCATGCACAGAGGAAGAACGGAAAGTATGTGCTACACACAGAGAAACAGGATGGGTGCTATGCATGGGAGAGACAAAGGAAGTGTGTCCTGCACAGTGGAGAAACAGAAAGTGTGCCACGCACAGAGGAGGAGTAGAAAGTGTGTCCTGCACAGGGAAAAACCAGGAAGGGTGTGGTGCACAGGGGAGAAACAGGAAGTGTGTCCTACACAGCAGAAGCATAGAAAGCATATATTACACAGGGAAGAAACAGCGTTTCTTCCACAAGGATAAAACAGAAAATGTGTCATGCACACAGGAATAACAGAAAATGTGTCATGAATAGAGGAACAGAAAGTCTTTGCTACGCAGGAAAGAGGAAGTGTGTCCTGCACAAGAGAGACACAGGAAGTGTGTCCTTCACAGCAGAGAAATATGAAGTTTCTCAGAGAAACAAAAAGTATGTCCTGCACAAAGACGACACAGGAAGTGTGTTCTGCACATTGGAGAAACAGGTAGTGTGTCATGCACAGAGGAGGAAGGAAAAGTGTGCTGCACAGGAGAGACGAAGGAAGTGGGTCCTGCAAAAGGAAAAACAGGAAGTGTGTCCTGTGCAAGGATGAAACAAGAAGTGTGTCCTACACATCAAAGGAAAAGGAACTGTGTCCTGTACATTGGAGAAATAAGAAGGGGGTAATGCACAGAAAATGAACAGAAAGTGGGTGCTGCATAGAGAAGAAACCGGAAGTGTGTCATGCACATGGGAGTAACAGAAAATGTGTCATCACAGAGGAATGCAAAGTGTTTACTACACTGAGGATAAATAGGAAAGGTGTTATTCACAGGGGAGGGACAGGAAGTGTGTCTTGCATACGGGAGAAACAGAAAATGTGTCCTGCAGAGGAGAAACAGAGGAAGTGTATCCTGCACAGAGGAGGAATGAAAGTATGTGCTACATTGAGGAGACACAGGAAAGCTGTTATTCACAGGGGAGGCACAGGAAGTGTGTCCTGCACTAAGAAGACACAGGAAGTGTGTCCTGCACATGGAAGAAACAGCAAGTGTGTCTTACATATGTGAGTAACAGAAAATATATCAGGTACAGAGGAGAAATGGAAAATGTGTGCTGCACTGGAAAGAAAAAGTGAATCCCCAACAGGGGAGACACTGGAAGTGTGTCATGCACAGGAGAGAAACAGGAACTGTGTCCTGCACTGTGGAGAAACAGGAAGTATGTCATGCACAGGAGAGGGATGGAAAGTGTTTGCAACACAGAGGAGAGACAGGAAGGTTGTCATTCAAAGGAGAGGCATAGGAAGGAAGTGTGTCTTTCACAGGGAAGAAACAGAAAGTAAGTCCTGCACAGAAGAAAAACATGAGGTGTATTTTGCATAAGTAAGACACAGGAAGCGTGTCATGGGCATGTCAGTAAGTAACAGAAAATGTGTCATGTACAGAGAAGGAACAGAAGGTGTGTGCTACACAGGAAAGAAAAATGTGTCCCCCACACGGGAGATATAGGAAGTGTGTTATACGTAGATTTAAAACAGAAAGCATGCCCTGCACAGGGGAAAAACAGGAAGCGTGTCTTCCACAGGGAAAAAAAAGCTGGAAATGTGTCATGCACATGGGAGTAACACAAAATGGGTCATGTACAGACAGGGAATGGAAAGTGAGTGCTACACAGGGAAGAAAGGAAAAATGGGTCCCCCTCAAGGGAGACACAGGAAATGTGTCCTGCACAGTGGAGAAACAGAAAGTATGTCATGCATATAGAAGGACAGAAAGTATGTGCTACACAGAGGAGAAACAAGAACAATGTCATTCACAGGGAAGGCACAGGAAGTCTGTCTTGCACAGGGGGAACAGAAAATGTGTCTTGCACAGGAAGTGTGTCATGCACAGAGGAAAAATAGGAAGTATGTCATGCACCTGGGAGTAACAGAAAATGGATCATAAACAGGAGGAATGGAAAGTGTCTGCTACACAGGGAAGAAACTAGAAGTGTGTCATTCACAGGAGAAACACGAAAAGTGTGTATTGCACAGCAGAGAAACAAAAAGTGCATCAGGCACAAAGGAGAAACAGAAAGTGTGTCCTGCACAGGCGAAAAACATGAAGTGTGTTCTACATAGGGGAGCAAAAGAAAATGTGTCCTGCACAGGGAAGAAACAAGAAGTGAGTCTTCCTTAGGAAAGAAACAGGAAGTGTGTCATGCACATGGGAATAACTGAAAATGTGTCATGCACAGAGGAGGAATGAAAAGTATGTTCTACACAGGAAATAAAGTGGAAGAGGATTCCTCACAGGGAAGACACAAGTGTATCCTGCAGAGTGAAGAAACAGGAAGTGTGTCATGCACAGAGAAGGAATAGAAAGTGTATGCTACATGGAGGAGAAACAGGAAGGGTGTCATTCACAGGGTAGGCACAGGAAGTGTGTCTTAAACAAAAAAGTAACAGGAAGTTTGTTATGCACAGAAGAGAAACAGGAAATATGTCATGCACAGAGGAGAAATAGTGTGTGCTAAACAGAGGAGAAACAGGAAGGGTGTAATTCACAGCCGTGGCACAGGAAGTGTGCATTGCACAGGAAAGAAACAGGAAGTGTATCATACACAGAGGAGAAACAGGTAGCGTGTCTTACACAGAAAAGGAATGGAATGTATGTCCTGCACAGGGGTGAAGCAGGGGGTCTGTCCTCCACAGGGAAGAAACAGGAAGTGTTTCATGCACAGGGGAGACACAGGAAGTGTGTCAAAGTGCACTCAATAGAGAAACAGGAAGTGTGTCATGCACATGGAAGTAACAGAAAATGTGTCACTCACAGAGGAGGGACAAAAAATGTATGCTACACAGGAAAGAGAGAGGAAGTATGTTCCCCACAGGGGAGACACAGGAAGTTTGTCCTGCACACTGGGGAAACAAGAAGTTTGTCAGGTACAGTAAAGGAACAGAAAGTGTGTGCTACACAGAGGAGAGACAGGAAGGGTGTCATTCCCAGGGGAAGCACAGGAAGTGTGTCTTGCATAGGGGAGAAACAGAAAGTGTGTCATGCACAGAAGAGAAACAGGAAGTGTATACTGCACACCCAGGGAAAGAAAGTGTGTCCTGCACAGGGGAGAGTCAGGAAGTGTGTCCTTCACAGACAAGCAGGAAGTGTGTCATGCACAGGAGAGGCCCAGGAAGTGTCAAAACAATGCAACCAGTTTTGTCTCACTTAGCGGTGACCCAGAAGCCCCCTCTCTGCTTTGAGTTCTCTCTGTCTTTCTAGACAGGACCAATGTACTTCTTACATACATTGATTGATGTCTCATGTCTCCCTAAAATGTATAAAATCAAGCTGTTCCCCAACCCCACTGATTTTACATTATAGTGAGTTGTATAGTTATTTCATTGTCTATTACTATGTAATAATAATAGAAATACAGTGCACAATCAATGTAATGTGACTGAATCATTCTGAAGCCATCACCCTCCTCTCCCCATCCTGGTCCATGGAAAAATTGTCTTCCACAAAACCGGTTCCTGGTGCCAAAAAGGTTGGGGATTGCTGCTTTAAAAGTTCATAATGTACGTGTTTTATAACTCAGACATTCTGATCATGGTTATTTATCCAAAATATATACAAGCACTTACCCAATCAAAGTCATGTATACAAGTATAAATAACAGTTTTATTTTTATTAGCAAAAACCTGGGGACAACCTGAAACCCCATCAAGAGTTGAATGGATAAACAAACTCTACTGTATACATACAGTGAAATACAATCCAGAAATTAAAAAGAATAAAAACTACCAATACATAAAACAACACTGATTAACTTCAAAATAATTTTATTGAGTAACACTATAAAATAAAAAAGAATGTGTAAGACACCATAGCATTTATGTAAAATTCTAGAAAGTAAAATCTGTAGTGGAGGGAAAAATTTTAAGGGAACATGAAAGAATATGGGGAATTAACGGATATGCTTATTTTCTTAATAGTGCTGAAGGTTCAATGTACAGATGTGTCGAAATGTTATCAAAAGTACAGATTTTAAACACCCATGCAGTTGTTTATGCCTCAGTTATATAACTGAAAATATAGTGGGTTCAGTGTAATTTCTACTTTGATGGTGCTTGGAAAAAGGGCATTTATAACCAACCCAACAAGCATAGTTACTGTTTCAAAGGAGAAGCGTTATCACTTCCTCATTAGGGAATTTGTGTTATCACAAGTAAAAATATTTCATCATAAAAATGTATAATTAGATACTATAAAGAGACACCACTGGTTTATCAATTCAATTCAACACTAGCTGATATTCTAGAATTCCCATTTCCCTTCTCCCAGATGAGATTATTCCAGTCATTATTTCTGAGCCTGAACTTAAATGAGCATGCCAACATTCAGAAGAATGCCAGGATGGAATTTGGGTTTTAATTAACTAAGAAACCTGAATGGAGGCCAGGCACAGTGACTCACATCTATAATCCCAGCACTTTTGGAGGCCAAAGCCGGTGGATCACCTGAGTCCGGGAGTTCAAGACCAGCCTGACCAACAGGGAGAAACCCTGTCTCTACTAAAAATACAAAATTAGCTGAGCATGGTGCTGCATGCCTGTAATTACAGCTACTTTGGAGGCTGAGGCAGCAGAATGGCTTGAACCCAGGAAACAGAGTTTGCCAGGAGCCGAGATCACACCACTGCACTCCAGTCTGGGCAACAAAAGCAAAACTCTGTCTCAAAAAGAAGGAAGGGAGGGAGGGAAGGGGTGGAAAGCTGAGTGGAGATAGGAAACTTACTATAAGTATCTGAGAAGAGAGACTCAAGGCAGGAATGGAGAAAGCTTTCATCAGAGTTTAGAAATCTTCTTCCCTCTGATTCAGAAAAATGCTAAGTTGTTTTGACCTTCAACATATATCCTTCCACATTGAGTGAAAACTTCATCTAAAATGTGTCTGAAGCATCCCCAGCAGTAACTGGAGTCCAGGATTCCTGATAGAACTTGAAACCTGTGAATCCAACCATCTGGGACTTTTGGAGAAACCTCAGGAAGGTGGAGAGGTGTAGCTTACTTCCTAATATTACTGGCAATGGAATCATATGGGCCACTAAAATTGATTTTCAGGGAAAAGATCAAAGAGATTTAAATCTTCTGATTGGCTTTTATCTTGGCAAAACATTATGTTATAAATGTGCTCAGAGAACAAACCCTGTTATATTTTTATGTTGAAGATGTATACAGAGAACAAAAGGTACATAATTTAAAACAACATATTTGATCAGTTTTTAGTTATGTAATTAATACACAAATATACAGGAGGTGATGACATATGATTGAAGAGAAGACATAATAGGATTTTGATAGGTGGTTGCATAAGTAACTCATTTATAGAACAGGTTAATATTAAAACTCTTGGCATTAGTTTTTCCAATTTTGTTCAACTTTTGTTTTAGATTCAGGGAGTATATGTATTGCCCCCGGGTTTGTTACATGGATGTATCACATGATGCTGAGGTTTTGGGTACAATTGATTCCCATACTCAGGCACTAAGCATAGTGGCCAGTAGTTTTTCAGCCCTTGGCCCCCACCCTGCAGTTTCTATTGTCTCCATCTTTATGTTAACGATTACTTAATGTTTAGCTCCCACTTTTAAGTGAGAACATGCAGTATTTAACTTTCTGTTTCTGCATTAATTTGCTTAGATAATGGCCTCCAGCTCCATTTGTGTTGCTGCAAAGTCATGATTTTTTTCTTTTTTTATGGCTGCATAGTATCTCATGGTGTATATGTACCACATTTTCTTTACCCAGTCCACTGTTGACGGGCAGCTAGATAAATTACATGTCTCTACTATTGTGAATGAGTTTCTCCAATTTTAAAATAATGGTGGTAGATTAGTTTTCAGTCATATAAAAAAAGACTGTGTGGCGTGCTGTAATCTCTCAGAATCAATGATTTGTTTTACTTGAAATTGTATTTATTTTCCTAATTCCTAGAAAATTTACAAAGAATTTTATCCTTCTTTGACCAATTATTTTCAGATCTGTGACGTCATAGTCAATAGTAAATTACCACAAGGCAAGTGAGCAATCTCCAACTTAAAGAAACATATTGTGTCAATATTTAGATGAATAGTGAAAATTTTTCAGAGTGAACATTTTAGCAAATGTAGCTTTCTAATATAAACATGTATTAAAACAATTTATAGGTAAATATGCCTTAAATGATAATGATTTAAACAAACCCCTAAATATTATGGGAAGCTCTTTGATTTGTTTTAGCAACAGACTTAGAAACTCAACTTTACCATAACAACAAATGACAGAAGAGTAAAGTTTACTTTTTATGACAACTGCTATATTAATAACCTCTGGCTGCTTCCTTTTCTCAGAAAAGAAAAATACTAATTCATTTGTTTGCATTTTCAAATCTCTTGCTTCAGCAACTTCATGCAAAGTCTGTAAATGGGTACCATTGAATTTTAGGTGATAAAATATTTTCAAGAGAAAAGAAATCAAGAAAACATGGAGGTAACTAACCCAGAAAAAGAAAACCAAATACTGCATGTTCTCATTTATGAGGGAGATGAACAGTGGGTACGTGGGAACACAAATATAAGAACAACAAACACTAGGGACTGAAAAATTTCCTGCTGGAAGCAGGGCAAGGACTGAAACATTTTCTATGGGGTACCATGTTCACTATTTGGGTGACAGGATCAACAGAAGACTAAACCTCATCATCATAATTGTAACACACCTGCACAGGTACCTCTGAACCTAAAATAAAAAAAATATCAATACATAAATAATTAAATAAGAACAAGTCAGAACAAAATCACTGATATAATTTTTGTTGATAATTTATGGGGAAGACTGTCATGTAGTTACTTTTACTTTATAATAAATTGATACTTTTTCTTCCGAAGTGTGGTAGAGATTTTTAGTTACACTCAAGGGTTTATGCCATTTGGGCATACTGACTTCCTTTCAAAAGCAGCCTTATGTGTTACCATATGAAATGGATATTTCTAGGTTCCTTGAGGGAGTTCACCTAAGATTTTCCCCTAGATATACAATACTGACTAGATTTTTCCGCCTGTACAACACTTCATCTACATGAAATAGGTTAAGCCTTTATGGAAAATTTGAATTAGTAAAGGTTTAAAATGTTCATGAATTCATGAATGTTCCATGACCACACACCTAAAAAAAATAGAAGAAAAGAAAATAAAACACAGAAGTGTTTTAATTGAAGACAGTTGAATTGGAGTATCATTTACTGACATAAAGTAGGTGATGTTGGAAAGGCATGGCATTTCCTGGGAAGGCAAGTGACAATTGGGTTTACTGAATAAAACGGCTTCTGGGTTGATGCTGGATTGAGGCTTATCTGTCAGCTTTGTTCTTTCTCTATACGTACTGTCTAGAGAGCACAAAATCAGGACCTGCCAAAACATACTGCAGAGCAGAGATGTCTCTCTGAGCCTAAGTTTTCAGGGGGTCCTCAGAGAGAGCTGATTGAATGGCATTCTTCTTGTTAGAAGGTGAGGGCTGAGGTAACAAGCGGGCAGGACAATTTGAGATGGAAGAAGAGGAAGAAAAAGTCTCTTTACCTCCAGTGTCAGCCTCCACATCCCTAGAGGTGCAGAGGAGTCTGTTTCTTGATCATAAGCAGGTCTAGATGGGAGGCCAAAAGAAAGTTGAAATCTGGGACAATTTCCAAAGGTAAAAGGAACTAAAGCTCAAACTAATGTCTCTATTGGGAAGGACTTACAGAAGGTGTTATATCTAGAGTAGATCGACTTCAGAAAGTGGTTGAGAATAAACTAAAAATAAATGGTTTCCCCAACCAGTTACTACCAAGACGGAAGATCAGATGCGTACACAGAATAAGACACAAAAACTATGAGAATAAAAATATTTGGCATAGATATTATATGCTTAAAAAGGAAAAAAAAGAACAGCCTCAGGGAAAGTCTCAGTCTGTTTTGTGTCTGAAACCTTTCAGTTGCAGCTTCAGTTCTTATATCTAGAAGAGTATCGAATATGAAAGATGGTGCTTTGTTTTGTTTTGTTTTGCTTACCTCGAAAGTCAATATAAAGGTGTTTGGGAATTTTTTGTATAGGCTTACAACCTTTCTTTGTTTACTGGAGTTTCATGTCTTTGCAGGTGATGAAAGTATGTGCTCACACGTGGGTATTCAGTTCCATTCAAAGTTTCATCTCCTCTAATGCTATCGTGCCAACATCAATGTCCACCCCATAGACACCTATCACAGAAACTTGAGTCTGCCTCTGGCCAGTGCTGAGGCACAAACAGCTTTATGAGCAATTGACACTCCACAGAGGACTCACCCTTTGACATGATGAAGCAGGATATTTACTACCACTTGGTAAACACATGTTTCTGCAAGGAAGGTCTATCATTTAAAAAATATCTTTCCACATTTTCGTTTCCCTGCACCTACTTTTAGAGTTTAAGTCCAGGAGAAATACAGTCTCAATGCCTGAGGTTAAAAATGGACAGTATTTAATCCTTGAAAACAATGTACATTGACTCATTCCTAGGGTTCACTTCATGGTGTGTCTCTTGCATCCAGGCATTGTTTTCTGAAACAATCTTTGCATGTCTGTTGCTATCTGTAATGCAAACTCCACTCTGGGACCTGATGGCACTTATTCAAATGCAAATTGCCACAAACTGCTTCCATCTTAAACTTATTCTAAGAAAGACAGCCCTAGCTTGAATAGAACATGAGAAGCCCAGTGATGACTACAGGGATCTTTGTTTCTCTGCAGCTACTTTCCTTTTTCACCTGCTTTCTTTTGGGTTCTCTGACATTCCTTGCACATCTCCTAGGCCTTTGCTATGCCTGGTGGCTCCCATTCATCCTTTTGATGCCTGCTTAGCCAAACTAGAGCAATTCACTCTGTTTGCTCACTCTCTTTTCCTCATCCACAGCAACTTGCATTTCAGATACCTCCCACTAATTTCCTTTTAATTTCAACCTCTTGCTCCATTTCAAATCCCTGTCTGCCCTATCAGCTTCCAAGCTCCTTGAGTCTCGTTTTGTTTAGTTATTTGTCATTTTTTCGAGTCAGACTGCCTGCATGTGTCTCTCCCACTATGAACAGTCCATGTAGTTCTGAGACATTACTTAATATTTTATGCCTCACTCTTCCATCTGTAAAATGGGGAGAGTACACCAATTGATTTATAAGATGAGGATTCAGCAGAATGATTCTGGAAAGTTGCTCAACACCTTGGCCTACTATGGATATTAACCAATGTAATCCCAGTCCTACAACCAGATATTGAGGGGTAGAGGGAAGAAATTAGTATGTAATTTTCATGGCTGTAATTGACAAACTACAAAAGCATAAAGATGGTCTCTTAGTTCCATAGGGCTGTTACACATCAATAGAACTTTGATAGAATTATGAGGCCCCCACAGTTCCAAAGTAATGTAAGTCCTTCTGTTTTATGTGATACATGGATAATTTTAATACTTAATACAAATTTTATACATTATATTAAAATTTTAATGAATAATTAAATTAATAATTTGTATTACAAACTACAACAAATTGGTGTCCCTTTTTTTTTTCTTGAAAGAGACAGCATTTTGCTCTGTTGCCCAGGCTGGAGTGCAGCAGTGCAATCACAGCTCACTGTAGTCTCAAATTCCTGGGCTCAAGTGATCCTCCAGGCTCAGCCTCATGAGTAGCTAGGGCTACAGGTGCTTGGCACCACACCTGGCTAATTTTTATTTACGTAAAGAAGGGGTCTCACACCTGGATAATTTTTCTGTGTATAAAGAAGGGGTCTCACTATGTTGCTCAGGCTGATGTCTCTCTTTTCAATAGTGAATAAGAATTCAATGAATAATGATAAAACTATTTCGTGATTGACCTCATTTTTAATCAGCTGTTTCTATTATCAGCACTATTGCTCCATCTTCCAAAGATAGTTATTTCAAGAAATATTATTTTCGGTAAGCTTTAATGCTTGATGTGTTTTGTTTTAACAGGTTTTTTTGAGGCCATATGAAACAAAATAATTATATCTAATGGTCATTTTCTGCATGTTGGGACATGTAGTTAGAGTACATATGTCATCTCCAGATGCTACCAGGAATCACAAACAAAATGATGACTGTCATGATTCAACTTATGAATGTATGAAACTTACCTTGAACTTAATGTTAAAAGGGTGTGTAATGAAGTGATATCAGTCTAACAGGTTTAGCTTCCAGTAGATCATAGATTTCAAAAAAAGACATCTTCCCAAAATAGGGTAAGTGGATACTTAAGTTGTACTTTACAGTATATTTAGATTTTTGGAGTGTTAAATTCACATTGTTCATTTGAGTATAATTTCATTCCAACCACTCAGTCAAGAATATTCCAAATATCCACCCCAAAACCCCTAAATTAGGTATTCCTATGTGGCTGGTCTGTTGTCTTCCAACAAAGTGTATCAAAAAACTATGAGATTCTCAATATGCTGACAGTAAAGATAAATCTGTAAGGATCCTGACTTTTAAAGTACACCAAAATTTACTTTCACCCTCTCGTGAATCAATATCATAAAGATATAGGTACACAGAAAAAAAAAAATCCTAAGATGGAAACAGGTCCAAAGAATGACTGCATCTCTTCAGTGCTGTGTAGGAACATTAACTTAATGGGGCAACCAATTTTGTTTTTAATTATTAAAAATGAAGGTAATTGTCTTTGACCATTTGATTATTACACTAATTAATTATTACACTATGAGAAGTCTCGCATTAACTTGTAGAAGTCTAATAAGTTGCAAATGGTTAGGGACAGGTAGGAAAATAAAATGACCTTAAAGATTATAGTTGTATTGCTCCTTAAAACTTTAACTAGCTTTGGATGTAATTTACCCAAATGATTTCTGCATGTTTTCCCTCATTTTATGTAAATATCTGTATCTCAAAGGCTCATTTAAGTCAACTGGGTCATTTTGGTATGTGCCTTGTGTGATGGTCAATATTAAATGTTGATTTGATTGGATTGAAGGATGGAAAGTATTATTCCTGAGTGTGTCTGTGAGGATGTTGCCAGAGGAGATTAACATTTGAGTCAGTGGACTGGGAGAGGAAGACCTACCGTCAATGTGGGTGTACACTCTCCAACTGGCTGCCAGTGTGGCTTGAGAAAGCAGGCAAAAGAAGGTAGGGAAGCTGATTTGCTGGGTCTTTTGTCTTTCATCTTTCTCCCATCCTAGATGCTTCCTTTCCTCAAACATCTCACTCCATGTTCAGCTTCCTGACTTTTGAGGCTTTTGGACATGGACTGAGCCATTACCGGCTTCTCTCTTCCCCAGCTTGCAGACAGCCTATTGCGGAACCACACCTTGTGATCATGTGAGCCAATTCTTACTAATAAACTCTCTTTCATGTAGATGTAGATCCTATTGGTTCTGTTTCTCTGGAAAACCATGACTAATATGCCTTGTTAATGTGTTGGGTAAATATCTGACATAAATTCTTCATGTATCTCCATGATAGTCAGGTTTTTCACTGTTTGAACACTTTATGCTTTGGCAGTGGTATAATGATCTCCAAAAAAGAGATCCTACCATGTGGTTAAGCAAATTTATATTTTTCTTACCTGTAGTTGTTGAGTGAACTTGGGTGTGTTGTCTAATTTTTCTAAACCACTCAGCTTGTTAGTCTCCACAATGAAGTTTGCATGGCACAATGTGATCCAAACACGACAGCATCTGGTATATAGCACACAATCCATCATATTAGGACTTGCATGTATTAGTTTACTTTAAGATAATATGGCAGAATAATGCCTGTCTCTCCTCTGTCATCATACTTCCCTGTGGATTGCTGAGCAAAGAGAAAACTGTACTATGGTGTTCCAAAAAAGATTCATCATTTAAAGGTGGAAGAAATAAACTGCTATGACACCTTTCTAAAGATGACATACACATGACCAACAAGCATTATAAAAAATGGTCAATATCACTAATCATTAGAGAAGTGCAAATCAAAATTACAGTGAAATACCATCTCCACCAATCAAAATGACTGTTATTAAAAAGTCAAAAAGCAACAGATGCTGGCAAGACTGTGGAGAAAAGGGAACATTTATACACAGCTTGTGAGAATGCAAATTAGTTCAGCCACTGTGGAAAGCAGTGTGGTGATTCCTCAAAGAAATTAAAACAGAAGTATCATTTGACCCAGAAATCCCATTATTGGGTATATTCCCAAAGGAATATAGTTGATTCTAACATAACGACACATGCACATGTATGCTCATTGCAGCACTATTCACAATAGTAAAAACAGGGAATAAACCTACATGGCCATAAGTGGTAGACTGGACAAAGGAAATGTGGTACTTGTATATCATGGAATACTATACAGTCATAAAAAACAACAAGATAACGTCCCTTGCGGCAACATGGATGGAGCTTAAGGCCATTATCCTAAGAGAATTAACACAGAAACAGAAAACCAAATACCACATCTTCTAATTTCCAAGTGGGAGCTAAATATTGAGAAGATGTGAACACAAAGAAAGGAACAACAGATACGCGGACATATATGAGAGTGGAGGGTGGGAGGAGGTACTATTACCTGGGTGACAAAATAATCTTTACATCAAACCCACATGACACACAATTTACTTTTATGACAAACTTAAATATGTACCCCTGAACCTAAAATAAAAGTTAAAAACCAAAAGGAAAAAGAAGTAGCAAAGGAGGAGAGCAGAGCAGATAAAGGAAGCACAATTGATCTGGATTTTAAAGACAGTCTTACAGAAGTTGATTGATCCTCCCTGGGCAAGAGATGGCTTAACTATCCCTGCTTCTTACTATTCCTGTTCTTGACATCAATTATTGTTGGTGTCTTTTTCCTTAGCAAAGTCCTGATGTAGCCTGGGATATCTTTGCAACCCCAGGCTCCAGGCAGCCACTCTTTGAGGTGTTCAG
Organism: Homo sapiens; assembly: GCF_000001405.40. Classification (NCBI taxonomy): domain Eukaryota; kingdom Metazoa; phylum Chordata; class Mammalia; order Primates; family Hominidae; genus Homo; species Homo sapiens. The sequence goes on from NC_000024.10 coordinate 17,057,497, forward strand.
AGCTGATTTGTGATGTAAGACTTCTATTCCCACCCTTTCTGTGTCTGTTCCTGCAATTTAAGAGATCACTTGCAGATATCCTCTTGATTCAACTCACACCAGAAAACTGATCTACTTCTGAATGTGTGCTTTAATAATTTAGGAAGCTGTTACAGTCACAAACACGGATCATACAGTTGCTAAATCCAGAAAGAAATATTTGGGATTCTATAAATCAGTGGGAAAGTCCTATGTCATATCAATTATGTAAATTGTGGAATACTCTGTGGGTATACAATAAATTGGACAATAGCTGGAAGCCTGAGATTTAAGATTTTTTAAAAATTCCATTAAAAATAAAATGTAACAGAGGTTTTGCAAGTGGTTTTTGTTGTTTTGTTTTTTCATACTGCTGTAGTGTTTCTATGCAGTCAAATATTTGGAGCAAAGATATGAATATGTGTAAAAATTTTAGATGCATATGTGTAAATTCCCTTCCACAAAACTGGTAATCACTTAAAATTCGAATGTGCATGTATGTAATCTTTTACTTTCAGTTATCTTCAAAAAAATTCCACCACTTTGTAATGCTTACCAGTTTAATAGACAAATTTTGAATCTGACTAAAAGTTCTGCTTTGTAATGTACACTGACTTTTGATGTTGGTTATGTTTTTTAAACTTTCTTTGTTTGGATTTTAGTTTTTGTGACTTCTACAACTTAACAATTTGGGGTGCTGTCTTCTTCCAAATATTTAATAAATTCTTATTCTGTCTTCTTCTAGTTGTTTCTGTGCATTGGTTTGTAATTTTACTTATTTGTACATCATGATATCTCATTCTAAATATTTAAATCCAAATTTTCTTTCAACTCACTTGCCAAAGGCAGTGATACAATGCAATCAATTATTCCTGAAGGAGTTTTTCTCACCAAGGATGTTTCCTTCAAAGAAAGAGGAGCAGAGATTAAATCAATTGGTTACAAGGAAGATAACAAACTAGAGTGCCTTCCTCTTAACCCCTTCGGACATCAGTGACTAATACAGAACAAAGTCTACCCAGTACTTGTTTCTGTCCTGGTTCAATCAAACAGTGGTGCCATTTTACAGAAAGTCAAACATGCTTTTTTTTTTTCAGGCTTCTTCCCCCCTGCCCCCATTTTCCTAGCTCTGTCACCCAGGCTAGAGTGCGGTGGTGTTATCATAGCTCACTCAGGTCTGAACTCCTGGGCTCAAGTTATCCTACCGCCAAAGCCTCCCACATAGCTGGAATCGTAGGTATGAACAACTATGCCCAACTATTTCTTTTGTATTCTTTGTAGAGATGAGATGTCATTACATTGTCCAGGCTGGTCTAAAACAACTGGGCTTAAGCCATCCTCCTGCCTCAGTCTCCTAAAGTGTTGAGATTACATGGATGGAGACCATGCCTCGCCTCCACGCTGCTTCTTCTGTTTTTCATGAAAATTTTCTTCCCAGTTTGCTAGATGGTTCACTGTGCTGTATCTCTAAAAAAGAAATCAATTTAAGAAAATATTTGTTTAGAAAAGTAAAATAATAACAGGTGTTGGTGAGTTTGTGGAGGAAGAGGAATATTCCTACTTTGTTGATAGGAAATTAGCTCAGCCACTGTGGAAAGCAGTTTGAAGATTTCTCAAAGAGCTTAAAACACTTACCATTTGACTGAGCAATTCTATTGCTGGGCATATACCCAAATGAAAATAAGTAATTCCACCAAAAGAGAGCAGCGCTTGTCTGTTTATCGCAGCATTATTCACAATGACAAAGACATGAAATCAACCTAGATGCCCATCAACAATCAATTGGATTTTTAAAAATGTGATACATAGATACCATGAAATACTATGCAGCCATAAAAAAGATCATGCCCTTTACAGGAAGAAGGATGGAGTTGGAATCCATTATTCAAAGCAAACTATACCAAAATGGAAAACCAAATATCACACATTCTCACTTATAATTGGGAACTAAATATTGAGTACACGTGAACACAAAGATGGGAACAACAGACACTGGGGACTACTTGGCAGAAGGGTGAAGGGAAGCAAGGGTTAAAAATCTACGTGTTGGGTACTATGCTCAGTACCTGGGTAAAAGGATAGTTCATACCCCAACTTCAACATCATGCAATATACACATGTAACAAAACTGTATATGTATCAGCTGAACCCAAAATAAAAATTGAAATTGTATTTAAAAAAATAAAATAGATGTTTTCAGACTTAGTGACAGTAAAAGAAGATCACGACTTCTAGTAATGAAAGTGGAGCAACATTATAAGTCTAATCCAGTGGGAATATGAAGTATTCATGTATTGCATATGATTCTCTTGTCCAACAATTAATGTTTGGAAAGAGGTCACTTGACATCCCTTATTGTTTTAGAAATTGTATTTTTTAGTGCAAATGAAAGCACTTCAAAAATGATGTGGTATAATATGAAGTAAATGAATATAGACATTATTACCATCACCTGGCACTGAGAGGAAGGAACCCTCCAGTAGAGAGGAATGGTCTAGGAGAGCTTGGTTTCATTGGTAAGATGCATACTGTGGAGTGACATGAAATTTACTACGGCTCTCTACAAACAAATAAGATTTTCTCTTTCCTAAATGTCTTGTTCCACCCTTTTCCTGCAATCTGAACAGCTAAGCAAAGTCTCCCTTCTTTGTTAAATATTGTTGTTGTTAATTTTTGGATAAAACTTCATGGATCATCATTTACTACTGTTATAGGAAGTAACTTGTACATGATTGGGTATGGATGCTTATGTATATATTATATATTAAGTTTAAATTTGGGTATAAATAGAGCTAAGCAGTCTCCTTTCTTTGTTATATATTGTCATAATTTTTGGATAAATCTTCATGGATCATCATTTACTACTGTTATAGGAAGATACTTGTACATGATTGTGTATGGATGCTCATGAAATATTATATATAAAGTTTAAATTTGGATATAAATACAAATATGCATATAAATATATATGTCCACTTCCAGACCAGTATAGCAGACTGAATGTTGAAAAACCCTGTCTTTAAATTAGTATAAATCAAAATGTTTTTTGCATCAATTAAAATATTACATGGTTAAGCTGTGCATTTGTAAAAATAATTTACTCTTTGCATTTAAAAATTAATTTGCTCTCTCTGTTTGAATTTTTTTAACTTCATTAGTTAGGTAAATGCTTCATAGGGTAGTGGGCTGGTTGCATATGTTGTAGGAAACACAAAAATGAACGAGATAAATCCCTGACTCAGTAAGCTTATATCACAGGGCCTAAGATTTTACACATTTTGTTCTTCAATTACATTATGCATTACAGTCATTTTAAAATATTTAAAGAATTGAAACTGCAAAATTTATTTTTAAAAATCAATTAAATATCTGCTTTCAGTTTATTCTAAATGGTCAATAATACAGTTTTTTTTTTTTTTTTTATACTTTAAGTTTTAGTGTACATGTGCACATTGTGCAGGTTAGTTACTTATGTATACATGTGCCATGCTGGTGCGCTGCACCCACTAACGTGTCATCTATCATTAGGTATATCTCCCAATGCTATCCCTCCCCCCTACCCCGACCCCACAACAGTCCCCAGAGTGTGATATTCCCCTTCCTGTGTCCATGTGATCTCACTGTTCAATTCCCACCTATGAGTGAGAATATGCGGTGTTTGGTTTTTTGTTCTTGAGATAGTTTACTGAGAATGATGGTATCCAATTTCATCCATGTCCCTACAAAGGACATGAACTCATCATTTTTTATGGCTTCATAGTATTCCATGGTGTATATGTGCCACATTTTCTTAATCCAGACTATCATTGTTGGACATTTGGGTTGGTTCCAAGTCTTTGCTATTGTGAATAATGCCGCAATAAACATACGTGTGCATGTGTCTTTATAGCAGCATGATTTATAGTCATTTGGGTATATACCCAGTAATGGGATGGCTGGGTCAAATGGTATTTCTAGTTCTAGATCCCTGAGGAATCGCCACACTGACTTCCACAATGGTTGAACTAGTTTACAGTCCCACCAACAGTGTAAAAGTGTTCCTATTTCTCCACAACCTCTCCAGCACCTGTTGTTTCCTGACTTTTTAATGATTGCCATTCTAACTGGTGTGAGATGATATCTCATAGTGGTTTTGATTTGCATTTCTCTGATGGCCAGTGATGATGAGCATTTTTTCATGTGTTTTTTGGCTGCATAAATGTCTTCTTTTGAGAAGTGTCTGTTCATGTCCTTCGCCCACTTTTTGATGGGGTTGTTTGTTTTTTTCTTGTAAATTTGTTTGAGTTCATTGTAGATTCTGGATATTAGCCCTTTGTCAGATGAGTAGGTTGCGAAAATTTTCTCCCATGTTGTAGGTTGCCTGTTCACTCTGATGGTAGTTTCTTTTGCTGTGCAGAAGCTCTTTAGTTTAATTAGATCCCGTTTGTCAATTTTGGCTTTTGTTGCCATTGCTTTTGGTGTTTTGGACATGAAGTCCTTGCCCACGCCTATGTCCTGAATGGTAATGCCTAGGTTTTCTTCTAGGGTTTTTATGGTTTTAGGTCTAACGTTTAAATCTTTAATCCATCTTGAATTGATTTTTGTATAAGGTGTAAGGAAGGGATCCAGTTTCAGCTTTCTACATATGGCTAGCCAGTTTTCCCAGCACCATTTTTTAAATAGGGAATCCTTTCCCTATTGCTTGTTTTTCTCAGGTTTGTCAAAGATCAGATAGTTGTAGATATGCGGCATTATTTCTGAGGGTTCTGTTCTGTTCCATTGATCTATATCTCTGTTTTGGTACCAGTACCATGCTGTTTTGGTTACTGTAGTCTTGTAGTATAGTTTGAAGTCAGGTAGTGTGATGCCTCCAGCTTTGTTCTTTTGGCTTAGGATTGACTTGGAGATATGGGCTCTTTTTTGGTTCCATATGAACTTTAAAGTAGTTTTTTCCAATTCTGTGAAGAAAGTCATTGGTAGCTTGATGGGGATGGCATTGAATCTGTAAATTACCTTGGGCAGTATGGCCATTTTCACGATATTGATTCTTCCTACCCATGAGCATGGAATGTTCTTCCATTTGTTTGTGTCCTCTTTTATTTCCTTGAGCAGTGGTTTGTAGTTCTCCTTGAAGAGGTCCTTCACATCCCTTGTAAGTTGGATTCCTAGGTATTTTATTCTCTTTGAAGCAATTGTGAATGGGAGTTCACTCATGATTTGGCTCTCTGTTTGTCTGTTGTTGGTGTATAAGAATGCTTGTGATTTTTGTACATTGATTTTGTATCCTGAGACTTTGCTGAAGTTGCTTATCAGCTTAAGGAGATTTTGGGCTGAGACGATGGGGTTTTCTAGATAAACAATCATGTCGTCTGCAAACAGGGACAATTTGACTTCCTCTTTTCCTAATTGAATACCCTTTATTTCCTTCTCCTGCCTGATTGCCCTGGCCAGAACTTCCAACACTATGTTGAATAGGAGCGGTGAGAGAGGGCATCCCTGTCTTGTGCCAGTTTTCAAAGGGAATGCTTCCAGTTTTTGCCCATTCAGTATGATATTGGCTGTGGGTTTGTCATAGATAGCTCTTATTATTTTGAAATACGTCCCATCAATACCTAATTTATTGAGAGTTTTTAGCATGAAGGGTTGTTGAATTTTGTCAAAGGCTTTTTCTGCATCTATTGAGATAATCATGTGGTTTTTGTCTTTGGCTCTGTTTATATGCTGGATTACATTTATTGATTTGTGTATATTGAACCAGCCTTGCATCCCAGGGATGAAGCCCACTTGATCATGGTGGATAAGCTTTTTGATGTGCTGCTGGATTCGGTTTGCCAGTATTTTATTGAGGATTTTTGCATCAATGTTCATCAAGGATATTGGTCTAAAATTCTCTTTTTTGGTTGTGTCTCTGCCCGGCTTTGGTATCAGAATGATGCTGGCCTCATAAAATGAGTTAGGGAGGATTCCCTCTTTTTCTATTGATTGGAATAGTTTCAGAAGGAATGGTACCAGTTCCTCCTTCTACCTCTGGTAGAATTCGGCTGTGAATCGATCTGGTTCTGGACTCTTTTTGGTTGGTAAACTATTGATTATTGCCACAATTTCAGAGCCTGTTATTGGTCTATTCAGAGATTCAACTTCTTCCTGGTTTAGTCTTGGGAGAGTGTATGTGTCGAGGAATGTATCCATTTCTTGTAGATTTTCTAGTTTATTTGTGTAGAGGTGTTTGTAGTATTCTCTGATGGTAGTTTGTATTTCTGTGGGATCGGTGGTGATATCCCCTTTATCATTTTTTATTGGGTCTATTTGATTCTTCTCTCTTTTTTTCTTTATTAGTCTTGCTAGCGGTCTATCAATTTTGTTGATCCTTTCAAAAAACCAGCTCCTGGATTCATTGATTTTTTGAAGGGTTTTTTGTGTCTCTATTTCCTTCAGTTCTGCTCTGATTTTAGTTATTTCTTGCCTTCTGCTAGCTTTTGAATGTGTTTGCTCTTGCTTTTCTAGTTCTTTTAATTGTGATGTTAGGGTGTCAATTTTCGATCTTTCCTGCTTTCTCTTGTAGGCATTTAGTGCTATAAATTTCCCTCTACACACTGCTTTGAATGCGTCCCAGAGATTCTGGTATGTGGTGTCTTTGTTCTCGTTGGTTTCAAAGAACATCTTTATTTCTTCCTTCATTTCGTTATGTACACAGTAGTCGTTCAGGAGCAGGTTGTTCAGTTTCCATGTAGTTGAGCGGCTTTGAGTGAGATTCTTAATCCTGATTTCTAGTTTGATTGCACTGTGGTCTGAGAGATAGTTTGTTATAATTTCTGTTCTTTTACATTTGCTGAGGAGAGCTTTACTTCCAACTATGTGGTCAATTTTGGAATAGGTGTGGTGTGGTGCTGAAAAAATGTATATTGCTGTTGATTTGGGGTGGAGAGTTCTGTAGATTAGGTCTATTAGGTCTATTAGGTCCGCTTGGTGCAGAGCTGAGTTCAATTCCTGGGTATCCTTGTTGACTTTCTGTCTCGTTGCTCTGTCTAATGTTGACAGTGGGGTGTTAAAGTCTCCCATTATTAATGTGTGGGAGTCTAAGTCTCTTTGTAGGTCACTCAGGACTTGCTTTATGAATCTGGGTGCTCCTGTATTGGGTGCATAAATATTTAGGATAGTTAGCTCCTCTTGTTGAATTGATTCCTTTACCATTATGTAATGGCCTTCTTTGTCTCTTTTGAACTTTGTTGGTTTAAAGTCTGTTTTATCAGAGACTAGGATTGCAACCCCTGCCTTTTTTTGTTTTCCATTGGCTTGGTAGATCTTTCTCCATCCTTTTATTTTGAGCCTATGTGTGTCTCTGCACATGAGATGGGTTTCCTGAATACAGCACACTGATGGGTCTTGACTCTTTATCCAACTTGCCAGTCTGTGTCTTTTAATTGCAGAATTTAGTCCATTTATATTTAAAGTTAATATTGTTATGTGTGAATTTGAACCTGTCATTATGATGTTAGCTGGTGATTTTGCTCGTTAGTTGATGCAGTTTCTTCCTAGTCTCGATGGTCTTTACATTTTGGCATGATTTTGCAGCGGCTGGTACCGGTAGTTCCTTTCCATGTTTAGCGCTTCCTTCAGGAGCTCTTTTAGGGCAGGCCTGGTGGTGACAAAATCTCTCAGCATTTGCTTGTCTATAAAGTATTTTATTTCTCCTTCACTTATGAAGCTTAGTTTGGCTGGATATGAAATTCTGGGTTGAAAATTCTTTTCTTTAAGAATGTTGAATATTGGCCCCCACTCTCTTCTGGCTTGTAGGGTTTCTGCCGAGAGATCCGCTGTTAGTCTGATGGGCTTTCCTTTGAGGGTAACCCGACCTTTCTCTCTGGCTGCCCTTAACATTTTTTCCTTCATTTCAACTTTGGTGAATCTGACAATTATGTGTCTTGGAGTTGCTCTTCTCGAGGAGTATCGCTGTGGCGTTCTCTGTATTTCCTGAATCTGAACGTTGGCCTGCCTTGCTAGATTGGGGAAGTTCTCCTGGATAATATCCTGCAGAGTGTTTTCCAACTTGGTTCCACTCTCCACATCACTTTCAGGTACACCAATCAGACGTAGATTTGGTCTTTTCACATAGTCCCATATTTCTTGGAGGCTTTGCTCATTTCTTTTTATTCTTTTTTCTCTAAACTTCCCTTCTCGCTTCATTTCATTCATTTCATCTTCCATTGCTGATACCCTTTCTTCCAGTTGATCGCATCGGCTCCTGAGGCTTCTGCATTCTTCACATAGTTCTCGAGCCTTGGTTTTCAGCTCCATCAGCTCCTTTAAGCACTTCTCTGTATTGGTTATTCTAGTTATACATTCTTCTAAATTTTTTTCAAAGTTTTCAACTTCCTTGCCTTCGGTTTGAATGTCCTCCCGTAGCTCAGAGTAATTTGATCGTCTGAAGCCTTCTTCTCTCAGCTCGTCAAAATCATTCTCCATCCAGCTTTGTTCCGTTGCTGGTGAGGAACTGCGTTCCTTTGGAGGAGGAGAGGCGCTCTGCGTTTTAGAGTTTCCAGTTTTTCTGTTCTGTTTTTTCCCCATCTTTGTGGTTTTATCTACTTTTGGTCTTTGATAATGGTGATGTACAGATGGGTTTTTGGTGTAGATGTCCTTTCTGGTTGTTAGTTTTCCTTCTAACAGACAGGACCCTCAGCTGCAGGTCTGTTGGAATACCCTGCCGTGTGAGGTGTCAGTGTGCCCCTGCTGGGGGGTGCCTCCCAGTTAGGCTGCTCGGGGGTCAGGCGTCAGGGACCCAATTGAGGAGGCAGTCTGCCCGTTCTCAGATCTCCAGCTGCGTGCTGGGAGAACCACTGCTCTCTTCAAAGCTGTCAGACAGGGACACTTAAGTCTGCAGAGGTTACTGCTGTCTTTTTGTTTGTCTGTGCCCTGCCCCCAGAGGTGGAGCCTACAGAGGCAGGCAGGCCTCCTTGAGCTGTGGTGGGCTCCACCCAGTTCGAGCTTCCCGGCTGCTTTGTTTACCTAAGCAAGCCTGGGCAATGGCGGGCGCCCCTCCCCCAGCCTCGTTGCCGCCTTGCAGTTTGATCTCAGACTGCTGTGCTAGCAATCAGCGAGATTCCTTGGGCGTAGGACCCTCTGAGCCAGGTGTGGGATATAGTCTTCTGGTGCGCCGTTTTTTAAGCCGGTCTGAAAAGCGCAATATTCGGGTGGGAGTGACCCGATTTTCCAGGTGCATCCGTCACCCCTTTCTTTGACTCGGAAAGGGAACTCCCTGACCCTTGCGCTTCCCAGGTGAGGCAATGCCTCGCCCTGCTTCGGCTCACGCACGGTGCGCGCACACACTGGCCTGCGCCCACTGTCTGGCACTCCCTAGTGAGATGAACCCGGTACCTCAGATGGAAATGCAGAAATCACCCGTCTTCTGCGTCGCTCACGCTGGGAGCTGTAGACCGGAGCTGTTCCTATTCGGCCATCTTGGCTCCTCCTCCCAGATTTTTTTGATGTGTTTTTTTTTCCCTAAGAAGAACAAAATAAACATTGTACTTACCAGATTTTAAGCGTCATCCTGTTTAGATGCATTTTACATAATATTTTCCATGCACTAAGAAAGATAAGAATATTTCTATCTTTAAATTTATTTTTACCTATCCTGCAATCAATTTATCTTATGGAATCACTGGCTTGTCTATAGTAAAATACAGAAGCAATGATTACTTTTGCACTTTATTGTTCAGTATTTTGTGGTGAGTTTCTGAGTGAACTAGTTAATGTTGTTATGGAGACATTATACTTTAACCAAAGTGATTTAGTTTGTTTCATACATCATGTAGTGCTATTGCTCTAATCTGTTTGATTCTGGAGTTTGCTTATGAAGCCAAGGAAAATTTATACCTTATGGAACTCACCCAAGGACAAGATAAGAATGAAGAATTAGTCAAGAAGGCAGAATAGCTTTGATGTACTTCATCTCTGAGTCATTTTAATTGGATTCTGGTTTCTATCCGTGACCAACCAATGCTTAAATAAGTGGGGAAAACATTGCTTTCACCTCTGAGGCCAGCGAAATGATGACTAATTGGTTGCACAACAATCTGTTACAGACCTTCTGCTTGAAAGGTTATTACCCTTCTGCTGTCCTTCAGCAGAAACATGATTAGTTTTCAAACCCTTGTTTATTTAACTCAATCATCCTATGTAGCTTTCTCTAGTGGATTCAGTAATATACCTTACAAATGGATTTCAGATATTGACATAGAAATAGCCATTTAACTCCTTGAAAACAAATTTGGTAAAAGGAAGACAAAAGAATAGTCCTTAATTTACTAGTGAATGACCACACATAAGTGTTCTTAGAGAAACCACTTACCTGTTGTTTATTGAATAAGGTTAAGGTTCCTCCCTTCTCAGCTCTTGGGAAAGTTTGCTGAGAAAGTGAGACAGACAGTCCTTTCAACTTTTCTCTATGTTCTGGACTCCAAGTTCATAACCGTTTGGGCTCTTAATTCTTGAAACAACCCTGTGAGGTGGGGCATATTTCTGTACCCATTCTTTAAATAAAAACAATGTATCTTTTTAAGACTATTCAATTTATCTGTCATCATAGAGTGATTATGAATTACATAACTGGAGCTGAATTACAAACAGAGACATGTCTTTTATGGTACTGTATGCAGGGAAAAGAGCTGGGAAAAAGGAACATTTTGGTTAGCAGGCAATTAAAGGCTAAATTAAGATAGATTCTGTACTCAAAAAAATTATGGTGCATGATTTAATATAAATACAAGGAGTTTTTCTTGGAAAAATACAGCTATGACTCAAACTCCAAAAAGGATTGACATTTTGTTTTGTTCTTTTCCAATTTGCAAATATATGAAGGTATGTATTTGGTAATGACTTAAGATTTTTTCTGAGCTATAGAGGTAAAGATTCAACTCGATGTAAATCAGACACTGTGAGTAATCAAAAGCAAGAGAACATGAGGTTATGTTACTGAATTCATTGAAATCAATCGTGACCTCTGGCTACAACCTACACTCCAAGAAGTCACTGCAGTTTCTAGCTCCCAAACTTGTTAATCTAATGCAGAGATTTACACCACTAGTTTTCATTAAAAAAAAAGAACAGATACTGAAGAATTTAGGTTTTAATGGTTTAGTCTCTGACACAAGTGCTCAACTCTTTCCTTCTGTGAAAACGGCAATAAGCCATGTATAAATGAATGGGCATAGCTGTGTACCAATTAAACTTTATTTACAAAAAGAGGCTTTAGATGGCCGGATGTGGCCCATGGGTCATGCTAATTTCATAGGAACAGGAGTGTCAAACAGGCATAAATAGTAACAAATATGTATATGATTGTATACTTAGAAATGTAAAGAAAGACTAATGTTAATGTCCCCAAATAAACAAATATTGAACAAAAAATGACACACATTTTACTGCAGCTTTACCCATGTATCTTGGCCCATCTTATATCTTCCTCTTTCAAAACCTGTTTACAAAATTCTCCATTCAAAGTTTATTTCTATATTATACAGCATTGTATGACATCATATTTTTATGAGAAACATTTATTCAAGTGCTACCTAGCACGGTGTTAAGAAAATTACAGATCTTTAATAAATGTCTGTTGAATACAATTGTACTGATAAGAAATGTGTCAGGTGATTCTCAGAAGATAGAAATGAATGTTCTACTTCATTGACCATCCAGGTAACTGGAAATAATATTGAACTTTATAGATGCACATAAATAGGACTTAATTAGCAGAGGAAAATTCTATGGTCATTGGTTCTATGATAACTCTACTATCATTAATGGTCAAAGTTAGTTAAGTCTTGCTTTTATAAAATAGCAACCTACCCCAAATTCAGATATTGATTTTAAAAAATAATTTTTTTAAATTATAGTGAGCTATGTATAAGTTTCTAATGCAGTTTCTGATTTCTGCCCTATAAGACAGAAATAGTTTAAATTTACATGGCAAAAAAACAAACAACAACAAACAAAACAAAACACCACTGGAACAAAGTCAAAAAATCTGAAAAGGAGTAGTAAAAACCTACAAAAAAATCTATGATAATTCCTGTACTTCAGTATTGCCACAAATAAGATGGTGTTATGGAATAGAATAAAGTCCACAAATCATGCTAAATATTTACAGAAACTTGGAGTGTGAAAATATCATATGTTAGTTCTACAGGAAAAGCATGTTTATTTATAAATGGTGCTAGTATTTTATAAATGGTGATGGTCTTTTACAGATGAGAAACATTTTAAGCTAGCCCCAAAGATAGTGAAATATACAAAATTAAAATGAAAAAAATATAAAATCTTAAAAAGTTAAAATGTCCAGGAAGTAAAATAAAGTTAAATAAAGTTTAAAAAATTAAATAATTTAAATAAAGTTAAATAAAGTTAAAAAAAAGTTAAAGTAAAATAAACAGGAAATGTGTCCTTAACAGGGGTAAAACATGAAGCGTGTTCTGCACAGAGGAAGAACAAAAAGTATGTCCTGCAGAGGAGGAACAGGAAGTGTGTCTGTCTCAGGAGAGTGACAGGAAGTGTGACCTGGCCAGAGGAGGAACAGAAAATGTGTGCTGCACAGAGAAGAAACAGGAAGAGTATCAAGAACAGTGGACACTAGGAAGTGTGTGGGGCACAGGGAGAAACAGGAAGTGTGTCTGTCTGAAGAGAGTAACAGGAAGTGTGTCCTGCACAGAGGAAGAACAGAAAGTGTGTGCTGCACAGGGAAGAAACTGAAGTGTGTTACAGGGTGACACAGAAAGTGTGTCCTGCATAGGGGAGAAAAAGGAAATGTGTCAGGCATATGGGAGAGACGGAAAGTGTATCCTTAACAGGGGAAGAAGAGAAAGTGTGACCTGTTCAACAAAGAAACAGGAAGCGTGCCAAGTACATGGAAGAAACAGGAAGTGTGTCAGGGCCTGAGGAAGCATAGGAAGTGTGTTGGTTTCAGGAGAGTAACAAAGTGTGTCCTCCACAGAGAGGGAAACAGAAAATGTGCACTGCACAGAGGAGAAACAGGAAGTGTCAAGAACAGGAGACATTCAGGAAGTATATGGGGCATGGGGGAGAAACGGGAAATGTGTAGGGCCTAGTGGAGAGCAGGAAGCATGTCTGTCTCAGGAGAATAATAGGAAGTGTGTCCTGCACAGAGGAGGAACAAAGTGTGTGCTGCACCAGGGGAGAAAGAGGAAATGTGTTCATTACAGGAGAGACAAAGGAAGTGTGTTCTACACAAGGACAAAGGAAGTGTGTCCAGCTCAGGGGAGGTACAGAATGTGTGTGCTGCACAGGGGAGAAATAGGAAGTGTATTACTCATAGGACAACACAGAAAGTGTGTCCTGCCTAAGGGAGAAAAAGGAAGTGTGTCTTTAACATGAGAGAAACAGGAAGTGTGTTTTGCACAGAGGAGGAATAGAAAGTGTGTGCTACACAGGGGAGGAACAGGAAGCATTTCCTGCACAGAAGAGGAACAGAAAGTTCATCCTGCCCAGAGGAGTAACAGGAGAAAGTGTGTCCTGCACAGGCATGGAACAGAAAGTGTGTGCTTCACCATGGAGAAACAGGAGGAGTGTCGGGAACAGGAAACACCGGAAGTGTATCCTGTAAAGTGGAAGAATAGAAAGTGTGTGCTGCACGGAGGTGAAAGAGGAAGTATATCTCTCACAGGGGAGAAAAAGGAAGTGTGTCTTGCACTGGGGAGATGGAGGAACTGTGTACTACACAGTGGAGACACAGGAAGTGTATCTAGCACACAGGAGGAACAAAAAGTGTGTGCTGCTCAGGAGAGAAACAGAGTGTTATGACCAGGGGATACACAGGAAGTGTGTCTTTAACAGGGGAGAAACAGGAAGTGTGTCCTGTACAGAGGAGGAACAGAAAGTGTGTGCTGGACAGGGGAGGAAGAGGAAGTGTGTCCTGAGCAGAAGATGAACCGAAAGTGCAACCTGCCCAATAGAGTAACAGAAATGATTTTTTTTTTTTTTTTTTAGATGGGTTCTCGCTCTGTCACTCAGGCTAGAGTGCAGTGGCGCGATCTCAGCTCACTGCAAGCTCCTCCTCCCGGGTTCACGCCATTTTCCTGCCTCAGCGTCCCGAGTAGCTGAGACTACAGGCACCCGCCACCACGCCCAGCTATTTTTTTTTTTTTGTATTTTTAGTAGAGACGGGGTTTCACCATGTTAACCAGGATGGTCTGGATCTCCTGACCTCGTGATCCGCCTGCCTCGGCCTCCCTAAGTGCTGGGATTACAGATGTGAGCCATCGTGCCAGTCCAGGAAAGAAATTTTTAAATTTTTTATTTTAATTTCAGTTCTAGAAAATTTTTAAAAAGACATATACACAAAATCTGGAGCGTAAACTCTGTGTTTGAGAAGCCGGGGAATAGCTAGATGACACTACCTTAGATGCTGCAGTGGTGTGGTTGTACTTTTCTTTTTTTTTTTTTTTTTTTTTTTTTTTTGTTTGAGACAGAGTCTCTCTCTGTCACACAGGCTGGAGTGCAGTGGGGCAATCTCGGCTCACTGCAAGCTCCCCCTCCCGGGTTCACGCCATTCTCCTGCCTCAGCCTCCCTAGTAGCTGGGACTGCAGGTGCCCGCCACCACACCCGGGTAATTTTTTTTTTTTATTTTTAGTAGAGACGGGGTTTCACTGTGTTAGCCGGGATGTTCTCGATTCCTGACCTCGTGATGGGCCCGCCTCGGCCTCCCAAAGTGCTGGGATTACAGGAGTGAGCCACTGCGCCTAGCCGGGTGCACTTCTTTCACATTGCCCTCCACCCCAGATGGTTGACACAGGTATGAGAGGGCCAGGAAGAGGGTGTCTGTCTGTTACAGGGGGTCTGTCTGCTGGAGCTGTTGTCAAGATTGCCCTAACAGCAGCACTCATGTGATGCCATCTGTTGTTTCATCCCACCCTGTTATCAGGAGGCATTATAGTACCTCTTCAGCACTCAAAGCATAGCCTGAGTGAACTTGAAAATCACCTGAAGCCTGTGCTGCTAACCCAACGTTTAAAGAAAAAGGTGACAAACACACTGGCCCATGTTAGTTACTATGTTAGTAACTGCCCTAACAGTTAGTGCTGTTTTTGATTTCCAAATTAAGAGATTTTGTTGTCATTTGAAAGAATCTCTTCTCTGTGTCTGGTCCAGTGCAGTGGGTGGTTCATGCCTATAATCCAAGCACTTTGCAAGGACTAGGCAGGCAGATCACTTGAGGTCAAGAGTTCGAAACCAGCCTGGCCAACATGGTGATCTCCCACCTCCATTAAAAACAGAAAAATCAGCCAGCCTTGGTGGTGCATGCCTGTAGACCCAGTAGCTCCGGAGGCTGAGGCAGGGGAATTGTTTGGACCCTGGAGGCAAAGGCTACGGTGAGCTTAGTTCACGCCACTGCCCTCCAACCAGGGCAACAAAGCGAGATTCTGTCTGAAAAAAAAGAACAAAATATCTTCTCGCTGCCTGATTTGTGGCTTCCTGTGCTAGAACAGGCTGTTCTGAGGCTGATACCCTGAGAACAGGGATATATTGGTTAGACCCTGTACTGTCTTTAGATGCTGACATGGTTTCCCTTCTGTACCCAAGACAGACAAGAATTTTGAGTGCTGATTTCCATAAACATCTCGTAGGCAGAGGTGCACTTAGTTGGTCCCTGTGCCTGGATGAACCTGAGAGAAATTTTCAGTGACGGACTGCAGTGCTTCACTTGTCTCCCACAGTTCTCCTTTGATCTTGATGGTGCAGTTGTGAATCTTGACAGCTCCTCAGCCCTACGCCATGCAGCAACTTGGGGTGGCAGACAGTGGAGAAAGTAGAAGATGTCCCCACCAGCCTGTGTCTCTGAAGATCTTTGAGCACCAGAGAACACACACATCCTGCCTAGATGTCCCCATTTGTGTCTGCCTTCCCTCTTTTCAGGCTTACTTAACAGGGTAGGAGTCTCATGGATTAGGAAATTGCTCTGGCAAATCATCTGACTTGAGAACTTGCCTGGTGAGGGAAGATGCTATGTCTTTTGGGGACACTGTGAGGCCAGCATCAGAACACATGAGATAGGGACAGCAATAGGATCCATATAGAAGGAGGCAGTTTAAAGCAAAGAGGAAAATAGGGTAACAGGGTAAAGGGCAGATTGAAAGGTCTGGTTCAGTGCCAAAGGAAGAGGACAGTGGACATTGTAAGGTCCTCACTGACTCAGGATAGTGAGTTACATGTTCAGTGCTGCAGAATAACTGGATGAAGATCTGGAAGTAGTTGGGAAATAAGAATTCAGAATTGATCAACCTTGCTAGTATCCCAGTTCCTTGTATTGAGCAGGTAACATGTGCCAGGTGTATTGTGAAGTACCTTACTGCACTATCCATAGTCAGGATTTCATTTAATCTACATCACATGAGCCATCTCAAGAAGGATAATGTTTTCTTGCCCATTTTCCAGATAAAGAAAGCAAAGATTTAGAGAGATGATAACCAAGTATTTTCAGGCAAGTATTCCAACTCCAGTGCATACCCCCCTTTAAAAAATGTTTTTAAGAGATGAGGTCTTGCTATGTTGCCCAGGCTGGAGTGCAGCGGCAATTCACAGGGATGATCATAAGATCATAGCACACAGTACAGTCACTCAAGAAATCCTCCTGCCACAGCCTCCTGAGTAGCTGGGACTACAGACACATGCCACCAACTCTGGCTACCAGTGCACACCCCCTTAAGCACCACATGAATGATTAGACTGTTCACATAAATGTTGAAGTATAAAGAAGGAAGCATAAGCTATAAATGGGACCCACCCTACATGGGTAGGGAGAGAGAAGAGGCAGGGTAGGGGGCAACTGGAGAAGTCACACCATCCCAGTTCACATGAATGCCAAGGAGGACTGCTGTCATAGGAAGGCTGGTGTTGAATGCCTCCTGGCCCTGTTGAGCTGTTCCAGGTGAGCCAGCCAGGTGCAACAGCTTCCTGTTGTCCTGTGTCCCCATTTAGGGACTAAGAAGGGCTTTCTGCTGCTGTAGTCAGCACATAGCTGTGAAGCTGTTTGGTTTGACTCAGTATGAGAATGCAAGTCAGGTTCTGACTGTTCTCTTTGGCCAAGAGTGCAGTGGGTACCTAGGTAATTTGTAAAGGGTAGTTTATCTGATCCTGCTTGGCCACGTGAAATGTCTTTAACAAAGGAATTGAGCTTTGGCCTTATTAAGTCACATACAGCAATAGTAGACATAGTGAGACCCCTGTACTACAAGGTGCTATATTATTTATTTGGAGGGTTTGTTTGGTTTGTTTCCTTTTTTGTACTAAATTGCTGGAAAAACTTGATGGGGAGTACTTTTTATTTTTAATACTAGAGGTATTTATTTTTCCATTGCATAGAACAGTACGTTGTTCCTTAATTTTCAGGTAATTTCAAGTATTTTCTGCTGCTACTAAAAGAAGCAGTCTTCTTCTGGGGATATATATTTTTGTGCTGGTGGTTGATTTGTTCATTTGTTGAATTTATGTTTACTGATCATCTTCTATAGACCAGCTATCATGTCAGCACTAGGAAAACATCCATGAACAGGACAGGTACAGTCCTCAAGGAACTTGCCCCAACTCCCTAACTTTTTTTTTTGAGGTAGGGTCTCTGGCTTAGCCCAGGCTGGAGTGTCGTGGTGAATTCATAGCTCGCTGCAGCCTCTAACACCTGGGCTCAAGAAGTCCTCCCGCATCAGCCTCCTGAGTAGCTGGGACTACAGGTGTGCACCACCACACCCAGCTAATATTGTGTACAGACAAGGTCTCACTATGTTGCTTAAGCTGGTCTCCAAGTTCTGGGCTCAAGTGAGCCTCCCACTTGAGGCCAGCACTTGAGCCTCTCAATGTGCTGGAATTACAGGCAGGAACTATGGCATCCATACAAACTTGTATTCTTTGAGGACACAGATGTGAATAGATTAATTAGTAAGATGGTTTCGACACTGGAACTAGTTGTGATAATGCTGAGATGAAAAAAGATTGACCACTGGGCATTATTTTTTTTTTTTTTTTTTTTTTTTTTTTGCACTTCCTGTTTCTCCCTTTTGAGGGATACACTTTTTTTTTTTTTTTTTTTTTTTTTTTTTTTTTTGAGACGGAGTCTCGCTCTGTCGCCCAGGCTGGAGTGCAGTGGCGCGATCTCGGCTCACTGCAAGCTCCGCCTCCCGGGTTCACGCCATTCTCCTGCCTCAGCCTCCCGAGTAGCTGGGACTACAGGCGCCCGCCACCACGCCCGGCTAATTTTTTGTATTTTTAGTAGAGACGGGGTTTCACCGTGTTAGCCAGGATGGTCTCGATCTCCTGACCTCGTGATCCGCCCGCCTCGGCCTCCCAAAGTGCTGGGATTACAGGCGTGAGCCACCGCGCCCGGCTGGGCATTATTGAAAGGAGTTTTATTGAGATATAATTCACATATCAGATAATTAATTCATTTAAAGGCTGCAGTTTAATTTAATTTTATTTTTCAGTAATTTACAGGGCTGTACAAGCATCACCAGTTTCTAATTTTAGAATACATTTGTACCCCAGGAGAAAAAACTCCATACTCATTACAGCAGGCCCTCTCAACCTCTCTTCCCCTTCCACGCTTAGGCAACCCCAATCTACTTTCTGTCTGTAAATATATGCCTATTCTGAACATTTCAAATAAATGTCTTCTGTGACTGGCTGTTTTTGCTTAGATAATGTTTTTAGTCTCATCTGTTCCTCCTCTGTGCAACACAAACTTCCAGTCCAGTATCTCCCCATGGAGCACACACTTTTGTACCTCCCCTGTGCAGGACACGCTTCCTGTTTCTGCCATGTTCAGCTTATATGTTGTTTCTTTTTTGTGCAGGACACACTTCCTGTTCTGCCTTTGTGCAGAACACACTTCCTGTTCCTCTTCTATGCAGGACACTTTCTGTTTCTCCCCTGTGCAGGTCATACTTCCTGTGTTTCCCCTGTGCATAACACACTTTCTATTTTTCCCCTGTGCAGCACCTATTTTTCTGTTCCTCCCCTGTGCAGGACACACTTTCTGTTACTCTCCTGAGACAGACAAACTTCATATCTCCCCTGTGCATGCCACTCTTCCTGTTTCTCACCTGTGCAGCACACACGTTCTGTTCCTCCACTGTGCAGGACACATTTCCCATTGCTCTCCAGAGACAGACACACTCCCTGTTTCTCCCCTGTGCATGCCACACTTCTTGTTTCCTCCTTGAATGGCCACCCTTTATGTTCTTCCTTTGTTAAGGACACACTTCCTTTTTCTCTGCTGTGCAGTACATACTTCCTTTTCTTGTGAGGGACACATCTTTTTTTCCTCTGTGCAGCATTCACTTTCCCTTTCTGTACTGTGCATGACGCCTCTCCTTTGTGTCCCCTGTTCATGAAACTTTTCCTGTTTCTCCCTGGTGCAGCACACACTGTCTGCTCCTCGTCTGTGGAGGACAGACTTTCTGATCCTCCCCTGTTCAGGCCACACTTTCTGTTTCATCCCTGAGCATGCTACACTTCTTGTTCTTCCACTGTGAAGCACACACTTTCAGTGTCTCTATTGTGCATACCACGCTTTCTATTTCTTCACTGTGCAACATACATTTTCTCTTCCTTCTCTGTGTGGGACACTCTTCCTGTTCCTCCCTTGTGCCTGTCACACTTCCTGTTGCTCCCCTGTGCAGGACACATTTCCTGTGTGTCCCCTGTGAGGACAACACTTCTGTTCCTCTTCTGTTCAGGACACACTTCCTGTTTCTCCACTTTGCCTGACACACTTCCTTTTTCTCCCCTTGCAGGACATATTTCCTGTGTCTCCTCTGTAAGGGCCACACTTCCTTTTTCTCCCCTGTGCAGCACACACTTTCTGTTTTCCCCTGTGTGGGACATACTTCCTGTGTCTCTCCTGTGTGGGACATACTTCCTGTTTCGTCTCTGCAAGACGCACTTACTGTATTGCCCCTGTGGGTTACAGGCTTCCTGTTTCTACTCTGTGGAATACACTTTTTGTTTCTCTCCTGTGCAGGACACACTTCCTGTTTCTCCCTTTTGAGGGATACACTTTTTTTTTTTTTTTTTTTTTTTTTTTTTTTTTTTGAGACGGAGTCTCGCTCTGTCGCTCAGGCTGGAGTGCAGTGGCGCGATCTCGGCTCACTGCAAGCTCCGCCTCCCGGGTTCACGCCATTCTCCTGCCTCAGCCTCCCGAGTAGCTGGGACTACAGGCGCCCGCTACCACGCCCGGCTAATTTTTTTGTATTTTTAGTAGAGACGGGGTTTCACCGTGTTAGCCAGGATGGTCTCGATCTCCTGACCTCGTGATCCGCCCGCCTCGGCCTCCCAAAGTGCTGGGATTACAGGCGTGAGCCACCGCGCCCGGCCCACTTTTTTTTTTTCTATCTTCTGCAACATTCATTTTTTATTCCTCTTCTGTGCTGGACACACTTACTTTGTCTCTGCTGTGCAGGGCAAACTTCCTGTTTCTCCCTTTTGCCTGACATACTTCCTGTTTCTGCCCTGTGCAGGACACATATATGGCTTTCCCCCTGTGCACCACACACTCTCTGTTTCTCCCCTAGGCAGGACACGCTTTCTGTTACTCTCCTGAGAAAGACACACTTTCCGTTCCTCTCCTGTGCAGGATAAACTTCTTGTGTTTTAGTAGAAGAGTGTCCTGCACAGTGGAGACACAGGGAGCATGTCCTGCACAGGGGAGAAACAGAAAGTGTGTGCTGTATAAGGGAGAAACCAGAAGTGTGTTATCTGCAGTGGTGACACAGGTTGTGTGTCCTACATAGGGGACAAACAGAAAATGTGTCCTTAACAGGGGAGAAGAGCATCCTGCACAGTGAAGGAACATAAAGGGTATGCTGAACAGGGGAGGAACAGAAAGTGTGCCCTGAACAGAAGAGGAACAGAAAGTGCATCCTGCCTAGAAGAGTAACAGGAAGTTTGTCCTGCACAGGGGAGAAACAGGAAGTGTGTCCCCAGCAGGGAAGACACAGGAAGTGTCTCCCTAACATGGGAGAAAAAGGAAGTGTGTCCTTAACAGGGGAGAAATAGGAAGTATTTCCTGCACAGTGGAGACACAGAAAATATGTCCAGCAGAGGGGAGGAACAAGAAGTGTGTCCTACACAGTAGAGGTGCAGAAAGTGTGTGCTGCATGGGGGTGAATGAAGAAGTGTGTCTGCCAGAGAGGAACTACAGGAAGTGTCTCCAGTAGAAGAAAGAAACAGGAAGTATGCCCTGCCTAGTGGAGGAAGAGAAATTTTGTCCTCCACAGGGGAGAAACAGGAAGTTTGCTTTTAACTGGGTAGAAACAGGAAGTATGTCCTTTTCAGTGGAGAAAAAGAATGTATGTGGGGCACAAGGGAGAAAGAGGAAGTATGACCCTACAGGGGAGACACAGGAAGTGTGTCCTGGAGAGGGAGAAACAAGAAGTGTATGGAGCACATGGAGAAAAAGGATGTATGTGGGGCACAAGGGAGAAAGTGGAATTATGACCCCACAGGGGAGACACAGGAAGTGTGTCCTGGAAAGGGAGAAACAAGAAGTGTGTGGAGCACATGGGAGAAACAGGAAGTGCATCCTTAACAGGACAAACAAGAAGTGTGTCCTGAACAGGTTAGGAAGAGTAAGTATGTACCCGACAGAGAAGACACAAGAACTGTGTTCTTAGCAGGGGAGAAACAGGAAGTGTGTCCTTAGCTGAGGAGAAACTGCAAGTGTGTCCTTAACAGGAGAGAAATAGGAAGTGTGTCCTGCACAGTGGAGGAACAGAAAGTGTGTGTTATGTAGGGGAGAAAGAGAAAGTGTATCCCCCAAAGAGGAGAATCAGGAAATGTGTCTTGCACAGGAAAGGAGCAGAAAGTGTCTGCTGCACAGGGGAGAAACCAGAAGTATGTTACCCTTAGTGGGGACAAAGAAAGTGTGACCTGGAACAAAAAATAGGAAGTGTGTCCTTAACAGGAGAAATAGGAAGTATGTCTTGCACAGAGGAGGAACAGAAAGTTTTTGCTGTACTGGGAAGAATCAGGAAGTGTGTCTTGCACAGAAGAAAAACAGAAAGTATGTTCTGCCTAGAGAAGTAATAGCAAGTGAGTCGGCCACAGTGGAGACAAAGGAAGTGTGTCCTGCAAAGAGGAGGAACAGGAAGTTTGTCTGCCTCAGGAGAGTAACAGGAAATATGTTCCTTCTCTTGCAGAGAGGAGGAACAGAAAATATGTTGCACAGAGGAGATGCCAAAAGTCTGTTACCTACAGTGGTGACACAAGAAGTGTGTCCTATGTAGGGGAGAAACAAGAAGTGTGTCCCACACAAGAGAGACACAGAAACTGTGTCCTGCAAAGGAAAGGAACAGAAAGTGTGAGCAGCAAAGGGAAGAAACAGGAAATGTGCCCCTCACAGGGAAGACATAAGAATTGTGTCCTGCACAGGAAAGTAACAGAAAGTATGTTAGGCACAGCATAGAAGCAGGAAGTGTGTCCTGCACAGAAGAGGAACAGAGAGTGTGTTGCACGTGAGAGAAACCAGAACTGTGTTACACACAGGGGCGACAGAGGAAGTGTGTCCTGCACGTGGGAGAAAGAGGAAGTGAGTCCCACACAGATGAGACACAGGAAGTGTGTTCCACACAGCAAAGACACAGGAAGATTGTGCTGCACAGGGGAGAAAGAGGAAGTGTGTGCTGCACAGGGGAGAAACAGAAAGTATGTCCTGCACAAGGGAGGAACAGGAAGTGTGGCCTGCTTAAGGAAGAAAAAGAAAGTTTGTACTGCACAAGCAATGATGAAACAGTGCGTCCTGCACAGAAGAGGAATAGAAAGTGTGTGCTACACCAGGGAAAAACAGGCAGAGTGTCATGAACATGAAACACAGGAAGTGTGTCCTGCACAGAGGAGGAACAGAAAGTGTGTGCTGGACAGGGGAGGAACAGGAAGTGTGTCCTGAACCAAAGATGAACAGAAAGTGCCTCCTGCCCAGTAAAGTAACAGGAATGAAATAGTTAAATTTTTGGTTTTAATTTAAGTTTTAGAAAATTACCAAAAAAGAAGCATATACAAAATCCAGAGTGTAAACTTCCCATGTTTGAGAAAACAGTGAATAGCCAGAGAATGGTCAGTGACACTACCTGAGATACTGCAGTCATGTGGGCGCATTTCTTTCACATTGCCCTCCACCCTAGAAGGTTGACATGGGTAAGAGAGGGAGGGGCAGGGAGAGTGCGTGGGTCTGTCTGTCTGGAGCTGTTGGCAAGACTGCACAAACAGCAGTGTTCATGTGATGCCACCTATTGTTTCATCCCACCCTGCTATCAGGAGGCATTGTAGTACCTCTGCAGTACTCAAAGGCATAATCTGAATGAACTTGAAAATAACCTGAAGTCTGTGATGCTAACCTAAATTTTAAAGAAGGTGACAAACATACTGTCCTCATTAGTGCTGTCCAATTTCCACATTCAGAAGTCTGGTTGTCATTTGGAAGAATCTGTTCTCTGTGCCTGGTCGAGCACAGTGGGTGGCTTATGCCTGTAATACCAGCACTTTGGGAAGTCAAGGCAGTTGGATCACTTGAGGTCAGGAGTTCAAAACTAGTCTGGCCCACATGGTGATACCCCATCTCCATAAAAAATACAAAAATTATCCAGGTGTGGTGGTGCACGCCTGTTGTGGATGCACTTTTTTACGTTACCCTCCACCCCAGATGGTTGACACAGGTAAAAGAAGGGCAGGGAGAGTTCATGGGTCTGTCTGGAGCTGTTGACAAGATTGTCCTAACAGTAGTGCTCATGTGATGCCATCTGTTGTTTCACCTCACCTGGCTATCAGGGGGCATTATAGTACCTCTTCAGCACTCAAAGGCATAGTCTGAGTGAACTCCTACCATGTGCCTGACACACTTCCTGTTTCTTCCCTGCTTAGAGCACACTTGCTGTGTCTCCTCTGTATGGGACACATTTCTTGTTTTTCCCCTGTGCAGCACACATTTTCTGTTTCTCCCTGTGCATGACACACTTACTGCTTCTCCTCTGTGCACTACACACATCCTGTTCCTCTCCTGTGCAGTTCACTCTTTCTGTTCCTTGGCTGTACAGGACATATTTCTTCTTAGTCTCCTGAGATAGACCCACTTCCTGTTCTTCTTCTGTTCAGGACATACTTCCTATGTCTCCTCTGTGCATGCCACACTTCCTATTTCCGCCCTGTGAAGCACACACTTTCTGTTCCTCTGCTGGACATGCCACGCTTCCTATTTCTGACCTGTGCAGTACACACTTTCTGTTCCTCCTCTGTGCAGGGTGCACTTTCTGTTCTTCCCATGTGCCTGACACACTTTTTGTTTCTTCTCTGTGCAGGACACACTTCCTAAGTATCCCCTGTGAGAGACACACTCCGTCTTTCTCCTCTGTGTAGCACACACTTTCTATTCCTACACTCTGCAGGACACACTTCCTGTGCATCCCTTGTTCATGACACTTTTCTTGTTTCCTGGTGCAGCATGCACTTTCTGTTTCTCCTCTGTTCAGGACCCACTTCCTGTTTTTTCCCTGAGCAAGACACACTTCCTTTTTCCCCGTGTGCAGCACAAACTTTCTGTTACTCTCCTGAGGCAGACACACTTACTATTCCTCCCCTGTGCAGGACATACTTTCTGTGTCTCCCCTGTACGTGCCACACTTCGTGTTTCTGTCCTGTGCAGCGCATACTTTCTGTTCCTGCTCTTTGCAGGACACACTTCCTGTTTTTCCCATGTACCTGACACACTTCATGTTTCCTGTCTGTGTAGGACACACTTCCTGAGTCTCTCCTGTGAGAGACACAGGTCCCCTTTCTCCTCTGTGTAGCACACACTTTCTGTTCCTCTCCTCTGCAGGACACACTTCCTGTGTGTTCCTTGTTCATTGGACTTTTCTTGTTTCTTTGCATTGCAGCACATACTTTCTGTTTCTCTTCTGTTCAGGACACACTTCCTATTTCTCCTCTGTACACCACACACTTCCTGTTCCTCCCATCTGCAGGGCACACTTCCTGTGTCTCTCCTGTGTGGAACATACTTCCTTTTGCTCCCCTGTGCAGCACATTTCCTGTTCCTCCTCTTTCATGACGTACTTCCTGAGTCTTCCCTGTGCATGCCACTCTCCTGTTTCTCCCCTGTGCAGGACACCTTCCTGTGTCTTTCCCGTGAGAGACATAGCTCCTCTTTCTCCTTGTTGCAGCATACACTGTCTGTTCCTCCACTATGCAGGACACACTTTCTGTATGTTCCTTGTTCATGACATTTTTCCTCTTTGTCCCCAGTGCACCACACACTTTCTGTTCCTTCTCTGTTCAGGACACACTTCTTGTTACTCCCATGTGCCTGACACACTTTCTGTTTCTTCCCTTTATGGAACACACTTCCTGTGTCTCCGCTCTGTGGGAAACACTTCTTGTTTTTCTTCTGTGCAGCACATGTTTTTTGTTCCTCCCCTGTGCATGACACCTTTTCTGTTTCTCCCATGTGCCTGGCACATTTCCTGTTTCTTCCTTGTGCAGGACACACTTTCTGTTACTTTCCTGAGACAGACCCACTTACTGTGACTCTCCTGTGAGAGACACACTTCCTGTGTCTCTGTTGTGCATGCCACACTTCCTGTTTTGGCTCTGTGGAGCATACACTTTTTGTTCTTCCTTTGTGCAGGACACACTCCTGTGTTTCCCATGTGCCTGAAATACTTCCTGTTTCTCCTGTGTTCGGGACACAATTTGTGAGTCTCACCTGTGAAAGACACACTTCCTCTTTCTCCTCCGTGTAACACATACTTTCCGTTCCTTCACTGTGCAGGACACACTTCCTGTATGTCCCTTGTTCATGACACTTTTCTTTTTTCTCCCCTGCAAAGCACACACTTTCCTTTCCTCCTCTGTTCAAGACACACCTCCTATTTCTCCCATGTGCCTGACACACTTCCTGTTTCTTCCCTTTGCTGGACACACTTCCTTTGTCTCCCCTGTGTGGGAAATACATCTTGTTTTTCCACTGTGCAGCACACACTATCTGTGCATTATACACTTCCTGTCTCTCCCATATACCTGACACACTTCCTGCTTTTTCCCTGTGCAGAACACACTTCTTGTTACTCTCCTGAAACAGACACACTTCCTATTCTTCCTCCTGTGTAAGACATAGTTTTTGTGTCTCTCCTGTGAGGGACACACTTCGTTTTTCTCCCCTGAGCAACACACACTTTCTGTTCTTTGTGCAGGACACTTTCTGTTTCTCCCATGTGCCTGACACGTTTCCCATTTCTCCCTTGTGCAGGACACTTTTCCTGTGTCTCTCTTATGAGGGACACATTTCCTCTTTCTCCTTTGTGCAGCACAAATTTTCTGTTCCTCCACTGTGCAGGACACAGTTCCTGTATGTCACATATTTATGGCACTTTTTATGTTTCTCCCCAGTGCAGCAGACACTTTCTGTTCCTCCTCTGGTTGGAACACACTTCCTGCTTCTCCCATGTTCCTGTTACACTTCTTGTTTCTTACTGGTGCCTGAGACACAGTTCCTCTGTTTTCCCTGTGAGGGACATACTTCTTTCTCTTCTGTGCAGCACACAATTTCTCTTCTACTATGTGGGATGCACTTCTTGTGTATCTCCTGTTCATGACACTTCCTGTTTCTTCCAAGAGCAGCACACGCTTTCTGGTCCTCATCTGTGCAGGACACACTTTCTTATTCTCTCTGTGCAGAACACACTTCCTGTTTCATCTCAGAACAGGCCACACTTCCTGTTTTTCCCCTGTGTAGCACACACTTTTCTTCCTTTTCTTCAGGACACACTTTCTGTTTCTCTGCTATGCCCAACATATTTCCCATTTCTTCCATGTGCAGGACACACTTCCTGTGTTTCTCCTGTGACACAGGAGAAAAAGGATACACTTCCTTTTTCTTCCCTGTACAGCCCACACTTTCTGTTCCTTCCCTGTGCAAGACACACTTCCTTATTTCCCCTATGCAGGACACACTTCCTTTTCTCTCCTATGCAGGATACACTTTCTATGTCACTGTAGACGTTAGCACACATCTGGTTTCTTTCCTGTGCAGCTCACTTTCTGTTCCTCCTCTGTACTGGACACACTTTCTGTTCCTCCATTGTCCCAACACATTTCCTGTTTCTCCCTTGTGCCCGACACAGTTCCTGTTTCTCCCTTGTACCTGATGTCCCCTCTGAGGGACACAATTCTTATTTCTCCCCTGTGCAGCACTCACTTCTTGCTCCTTCCCTATGCAGCAAACACTTCTGTGTCTCCCCTGTGGGTAATACACTTCCTGTTTCTCCTCTGTGCAACACACTTTCTGTTCCTCTCATGCACAGGACACACTGTTTCTCTCCTCAGCAAGACACACTTCCTGTGTCTACCCTGTGAGGGACACAGTTCCTCTCGCTCCCTTGTGCAGCCCACGCTTTCTGTTCCTTCTCTGTGCAGGAAAAACTTCCTGTTACTGTGCTGTACATTCCACACTCCCTGTTACTCCCCTGTGCAGCACACGTTCTGTTCCTTCCATGTGCCTGACATACTGTTTCTCTTCTCTGCAGAACACACTTCCTCTTTCTCCCCTGCTCCTCATACGCTGTTATTCTCAAAAGACAGACACATTTCCTGTTTTCCCCTCTTTAGGATGTACTTTCTATTTCTCTTCTGTCCTGGACACACTTCCTGTTTCTCTACTGTTTGGGACACACTTCTGGTTTTTCCCTTGTGCAGCAAACACTATTCTTCCTTTCTGCAGGACACTCCTTCTGTTTCTCTCCTATGCAGAACACACTTTCTGGCCCTCCAATATGCAAAAACTTTTCCTATTTCTCCCCTGTGGGGGACACACTTCCTCTTTTTCTTCTATTCCTGACACACTTCTTCTTTCTTCTTTGAACTGGCCATACTTCCTGTTCTTCTTCTGTTGCCACACTTCCTGTTTCTACCATGTGCCCAACATACTTCCTGCTTCTTCTGTCTGTACAACTATTTCCTGTGTCTTCCTTTGGGGGACACAGTTCCTCTTTCTACCCTGTGCAGCACACTTTCTATTCCTCCACTGCAGGACTGACTTTCTGTTCCTTTTCTGAGTAGGATATATTTCCTGTGTCTCTGTGAGAAACAAGTATGTCAAGCACAGGGGAGGAACAGAAAGTGTGTGCTGCACAAGGGAGAAACCAAAAGAGTGTCATGAACAGGGGACATACAGGAAGTGTGTCCTGCACAGTAGGCCAACAGAAAATATGTGCTGCACAGTGGAAAATAAGGAAGTGTGTCCCCCAAATGGGAGACACTGGCAGTGTTTCCTGCAGAGGGGAGAAACAGGAAGTGTGTCAGGCACATGGGAGAAACAGAAAGTGTGTCCTTAACAGGGGAAGAACAGGAAGTGTGGCCTCTTCAAGGAAGAAAGAGGAAGTATGTCCTGCACAACAGAGACATAAGAAGTGTGTCCTGCACAGGGAAGGAAGAGAGAGTGTGTGCTGCACAGGGGAAAGGCCAGAAGTGTGTTACCCACAGGGGCGACACAGAAAGTGTGTTTGGCCTAAGGGAGAAACAGGAAATGTATCCTTAAAAGAGGAGAAACCGGAAGTGTGTCCTTAACAGGGGAGAAATAGGAAATATTCAAAGAATATTTCCATATATTTAATTTATATATCATTGGTTTTGTTTACATATAGCTGTATATGTGTGTGTTTATACATATTTATTCAAAATAGGCTTGTCTACAAAGCAAATTAACATGTTATTAATATATTATAAAATCACACATACACGCATATACACATCATTCTGAGAAAAAAGAAAGACAGTAATTTCTTCACTTTTTAGTGGAACTCACAATAAACTTTCAATGGAGATGCTTTTTTAAGAAAAACATTTAACAATTTTTTAAAAAACTTTAAGTTTTTTTTAAAAATCTTTTTTAAAAAAAACTTTAAAGCATTCTGTCCATAAATGTAGAGTTCAAAGCTCTGTCATCTCCAGTTTTATTATTATTATTGTTAAAATGTGGCACCCTTCTCATATTTTGTCATTCATCTAACTTTGATGATTGTATTTGAGGTAGAAAACAAACTTTTTAATGGTGGTGGAGTGAGAATAACATATGAAATGTGATACATGACTTAACACACACAGACTGGTTTCAGGAATATTGATGGATGTTTGTCCCAACACATGTCTGCAAATGCCTTTTCTCCCCATGCAGATGAGAGAATTTGACAGGTCTTGCAGTTGAGGGCCATCTGATGATAGCTGTGGAATCTAACGTGTCTTGAGTTTCCTAGGGTTTGTCTTCTTTAGCTGTGTTAGGATGATGGAGACAAGTCTCTCAGTTGCCTGTGAATCCTTTTATACATTATTCAAGAAGGTTTGATGGTAGAATAAATTACTCTAGTACTAACCGAGGTCTCTCTACAAACCCATGATAAATCATTTTCTATTTGAAAAGCTAACCATTTATCACAAAAAATAAGTAAATAAATTATCCTCTTCTGAGGACTCCAATATATACACATTGAATAAATTGGCCTGCCTTTTCTCTTATTAAAAAATAAAAATAAATAAAAAGTAAATTCTCCTCTTTAGGTGTGTGTGTGTGTGAGAGAGAGTGTGTGTGTGTTTGTGTCTTCTGATGGAACCTACATTTTTCCCTTCCCAAATGTGTCTGATTCCTCATTTTCTCCATTTATTATATATGTATCAATAAAACATTTTTCTTTCTTGTATCTGGACCATTTTGAAGAGCTGAACCCTTTTTTCTTACAATATTTCATTATCCATTTGCAAACTGAACAGCTGAAAGGATAATGGACACCTACATGAGGTTCAACGTGGCTTACTCAAGGGTATCTGACCCTACACAAAAAGTAGAACCATTTTACCATTAAATTAAAAGATTTAGATAGCTAATCAGAACAAATGAAACTACAAAAAGGATTTTTTTTTACCATAATTGTACATTTCATTTTGTTTCAGTTAGAGGGTTCATTGCAGCAGTGCCTGCTGTGTTGTTTAATTTTCGGATCTATGTTGATGTGAGCTCTGCATTACCATGAACCCAAACATCAGAAATCCAAAGATCTTGTGTTAACATTTACTATTAGACACATGATGAAAGCAAGTTTAAAGGTACTTACTTATGCCTGACAAATATCTTTTAATTTTTTCAAACTAATTTTAAAGACTTGAAAGGGCCTTTTATAAACTGCTTCTACAAATAACTGAAATAATTCCAAATGGGACAGTGGGCCAGCTCAATTTTGAGGATATTGGTGAGGAGAAGTTATGAAAGGAAGAAATTTAAACATCAGAAGTCTAGGGTGGTAATTTCATGGAAAGACATACCCAAAGTCATAAATATCACAATCCTCAGAATGTACTAAAACAAGATCTTGTATTTATGTTTGTGTTTTTTGTTTATTCTTAATAACACTCAGGTTAGACAGGAATGTTAAGCTGTTCATTATTGTATCTAAGGAGCCCATATTTATAACTCCTTACCTGCAAGACATTTCAATCTATGTCATTGCTATATCACACATATCAGGAAAAAAGCTTCCATGATTTTCTCTTTAGAATGTTTCATCTTTTCAACACACACACACATACATCATTCGTTTTATTTGTTTATTTGTTTTGTTTTCTATTAACAATGACTTTGAAATAAGAACACTTGATTTTCAGACACATAAATCTACATTATGAAATGTTTGTTTACAGCATTTCTAGTTAACACCTATTCATAGGTCACCATCCATGGATGTGAAGGACATTTAAAAACACTAGATGATTTGCTCACTTTTGGAGAACATACTATCAACCAACTTGAATAATTATTTTAGAACTGAAATGTCCTATATGGTATCTGATAGTCAAAAGTGACTATTCTACCATGAAATAAAATGAAATCAAATTTAAAACTCTAGTTTCTCAGTCACACTAGCTGTAGTTCAAGGGATCAATAGTCACATTTCAAGGGATCAATAGTTTCCTGAACATGATATAACAAATGACCTGAAACAGTGCGGTTTAAACCAGACTTTCTTTCTGTCTCACAGTTCTGGAGGCCAGAAATTGAAGATCAAGGTCACAGCATGATTGGTTCATTTTGAAATCTTGAAGGAAGAAACTATTATGTGCCTCCCTCTCAATTTATGGTGATGATTGTTGGTTCTTGGCATTATTTGGCTTGTGGCTGTATCTCTCCTATATCTGCGTCCATCGTCAAAGGGTATACTTACTGGGTGTCTCTATATCCAGTTTCTCTTTTTCTTGTAAAGACACCAGTCATTCAATGCCAGCCCACTTTAATTCAGTATGAATGCACTTTAACTTGACTACATCCGCAAAGCCCCTGTGTATTAGTCCGTTCTCAGATTGCTATGAAGAAATACCTGAGACTGGGTAATGTAAACAGAAAAGAGATTCAATTGTCTCAGGGTTCTGCAGGCTATACAGGAAGCATGGCATCATCTGATTCTGGGGAGGCCTCAGGGAGTTTTTATTTATGGAGGAAGGCAGCAGTGAGAGCAGGTGTCTCACATGGCATAAGCAGACAGAGAGAGAGAGAGAGAGAGGGAGAGAGAGATGACGGAGGTGCCACACACTTCTAAACAACCAGGTTTCATGAGAACTCACTGACTATACAGTACTGGTTGTGGTGGGGTGGGGCTAAACCATTCATGAGAAATCTGCCCCATGATCCAGTCACCTCCCTCCAGGCCTTATCTACAACACTGAGGACTACAATTCAACATGAGATTTGGGAAGGGACAGAGAGTGAAACTGTATTGCTCTAATTACAAATAAGGTCACTTTCTGAATTACTGCATGTTAGTGATGGCAGCAGCAGTCCATCTGGAGTGGCCACTATAAAGATGCTGACTCCAGGAGTAAAGGAATTGCCAAGGCTGCATGCACTGGGCTGGTGGGACTTGGGAACAGGCAGGAGCCCCACCCGCCTCTGAGTTGGCAGGGTGAGAAAGCCACCCTCCTGGGCACAGCCGCATCTACCCAGTCACAGCTGTGAACCTGAACATCCTTGTGCTCTCAGGGGCCCAGGAATTCTCCTCTACCCATTCAGGATCAGAATTGTCTGTTCCCACTGCCTGGCCTCTTTCCACTCCCAGCACCCATTCTGATTTTGGAGCAAAGTTGAGGCCCAGCCTGGGCACTGTCAAAACCTGGCCAGCTGTGTGCATGCTCAGGGCAATGATGACATGCCGGGACCCTGGTGCTTCAGCAACCTTTGAACTTTGGATGCCAATGAGCATGAGAGGGATGCTCAGGAGGGGCTGAGGGTGGCTTAGATTGGGCCTGC
Organism: Homo sapiens; assembly: GCF_000001405.40. Classification (NCBI taxonomy): domain Eukaryota; kingdom Metazoa; phylum Chordata; class Mammalia; order Primates; family Hominidae; genus Homo; species Homo sapiens. Next base: position 17,089,824 of record NC_000024.10, read on the forward strand.
AGGTGCCCCTCTGCACAAACTGCCTGAGAGCTGTTGACAACATGATTGATGGCAAGACACAAACAGGCTTCTGGGTGGAAAGGGGTGGGTCCACAGTGAAGCCCCACCTTCAAGCCAGGGCAGCCTAAAGCATGGGATTCAGGCTGTCATGAAACATGATGCCATTCTTGCCACGTTGTGTGCAACCAGAAAGAGAGAAGAACTGCAGCCCTTCAGGGATCCCAGACCTAGGGATTCTTTGATCCAGGGCTGTGACATCCTCTTTGGGGCCCTGTGATTCCTGGTGCTTCCAAGCTTCTGGGCTCCAAGTTCCCCTTATCCTTTTCTAGACGTGGGTTCCTACTCAGTACATCTGGTCCAGTAGCAGCCTTGCATGGAGCCAGCACCTGTGCCAGCACAGCTGGCATGGCTGACTGTGCAGTGAATGGAAACCATACTCACTTGTCCACACACCTCTTGCCACTCTGCTCCTGGATCATCCTTGGCAGGTGTCGGATCCAGGCTGTTAGCACCAGTCAAACACAGTCTGCTGGGGCAGGTGGGCCAAATAAAGCCAGTGGGTGTGAGCAACACTCAGGCAGAAGGCATCGTTGGCCACAGAGGTTTCCAGCTGGTGAAACAACATCTCAAAGATCCTGTGACATTAGGACTGGAACATAGATTTCTGGGAAAACCAGTTCAAACTCCAGCAACGTTTCTGAGTCTTTTCTTCCCTGACTGCTATTGGGGAATACACAGCTACATTTGGCCCCATGCTTTCACCATAGGAAATGAGTCCGACACCCGTTGCTTAGTATATGGATAAAAAAGTGTTTTTTAAATTGGAGAGTGAGCATAAATTTGTGATGATTGTGGAATTCGAGTAATTGGGACAAAGTGAAGCAGATACTTGGCTTCTCCCATCAGCTCTCCATCTCTACATGAAAGCCATAAGCGGCCAGGCACGGTCGCTCACAACTGTAATCCCAGCACTTTGGGAGGCCACGGTAGGTGGATCACCTGAGTTCAGGAGTTCAAGACCAGCCAGGCCAACATGGTGAAACCCTGCCTCTACAAAAATACAAAAAAAAAAAAAAAAATTAGCCAGGCCTGGTGGTGGGTGCCTGAAATCACAGCTACTTGGGAAGCTGAGGCAAGAGAATTGCTTGAACCTGGGAGGCAGAGGTTGCAGTGAGCTGAGATCATGCCACTGCACTCCAGCCAGGGCAACAGAGTGAGACTTCTCAAAAAAAAAAAAAAAAAAAAAAAAAGAAAGAAAGAAAGAAGGAAAAGAAAAAAGAAAGCCAGAAGCATTTCACACCTATGTTTATACCACGAAATAAATATCTGGCCAGGTCTTCTGGAGATGCAAGCATTATTGGGCTTTCCATTCAGCATTGTAATTCTGGGCATTAAGATGACTTTTCCTCTAGCCAAGCCTAAGCCTGATTACAGTTTGAAAGAGAATGGATACAGTTGAAATAGACATAAAATCTGAGTAACTGTTCTAAAATACTGTTCAATAGTGTAACATCTTTAATCAAAGATGTTACATTGAATTCTGAGGCTAAGGAGCAGAAAATAACTTTTACAACAGTAATTGCAGGCTCTCTTCAGTCTGATTGAGATACTAATGAGAAAAGTCATGGAGAAGTGACATTTTTATCAGCATCAACAAAATGCTGAAGAATCTGTGGCTGTTCATCAGAATTCCTGACTAATCTGGGGGAATGTACATGGGAAAATGACCTAACAACTTATTAGATATGAAAGATTTATTCAGCAAAACAAGTCAAGGCTTGACCAAGAGGGAAGATGTTATTCCAAGACTACAGGATACAGAATGTCTGGGTAACCAAATAGGGACCAGATTACACCTTAGGCTTCTAAAATTAAAATTCACAGTCAACTGAGTCTATTGACACAATTTCCTTTTCATGTTCACTCTCTTTGTTAGCTTTCTAGGGATGCTAAAACACAGCACTACAGACTGGGTGTCTATAAAAAATTATTATAATAGAATGAATTTGTTGATTGCATCAATGTCTGCTGTCTTATAATCTGTCTATAATTGTTATTTATATGCTTTATATAATATATAATGTCTATAATAATTATTTAATGTGTGTCTTAAAATTATTATATAATAATCAGTTCATTGCATTAATTCCTGCTCATAAAAATTTATTTATTACATGTCTACAATAATTTCTTATTAGTATATTTATTATAATACTTGTCCTAAATTATTATTATATAATGTTATATAATAAATTTAAATATTTATAATAGTAAATTATTACATAATAAATTACTTCATTTCATCAATGCCTCCTCTTATATTAATAATTTACTTAGTAATATCTGTCTATAATAATAACGTGTCTTAAAATAAATTATATAATATGTTATTATATAATACATTAGATATTAATAGTTCATTGCCTCAATGCCTGCTGTACTATAATAATGTATTATGTTTATAATAAATATTTATTATTAACATATTTGTTATATCTGTCTTAAATTATCAATACACAATAATAAACTATTATATAATAGTTATATATTCATAACAATAAACTTTTATGTAATAAATCAGTTCATTGCATCAATGCTTGTTTTCTTTTTAAAATAATTTACTTGGTATTTGTCTACAATAATGTATTAATTGATAAATTATAACAATCAACATTACATTTATTATATTTGTCTTAAAATAAATTATTATCTACTAATAAATTATATGATACATTAGTCCATTAGATCAGTGCCTACTATCTTATAATTACATATTTACTATTATATCTATAATTTATTAAATGGATAAATTATTATAAGTATCAATGTATTATATTTGTCTTAAATTATTATTATATAATAAATTGTTATATAATAGATAGTTCATTGCATCAGTGCCTGTTAATAATAGGCACTTTTATTAACAGGGTGTCTTATAATAATAATTATTATTTATTTATTATACTATATTGATGATCATACTTTATTATGATACCCAGTCTGTCTCATACTTCTGGACACCAGCCATCTGAAATCCGCTTGTCAGGTGGGCATATCCTCTCTGTCCAAAATTTTGCAGGGAATCCTTCCTTTCTCCTCCTGAGCAGATGCTAGTGGTCATTAATCTTTGGCATCGCTTGGCTTGTGGCTGCCTCAGTCCCATCTCTGCCTCCATCTTTATATGGTCTTCCCCTGTGTCTCTTCTTATAAGGACATCAGGAGTAGTGAATTGGGGCTATTCCAGTATGTATGAATTAGGGGCTACTCCAGTATGACCAAATATTAACAATTACATCTGCAAAGACCCTATTTCCAAAGAGGGTCACATTCTGAGGTGCTAGGGGATAGGCCTTCAACATATCACTTTGGGGAAAATAATTAGACAGATAACATTTTCTACATAAAACAATCTGATAATATTTTTATTAACTTTTGAAGCTGTAAACTCCAATGTGTCTATTCTGACATTCTCAAATACTGAAGCCCTTATTTATTACTCTGTTCTCAGAAAAGCCCATATGACTTAATAACCAGTTAATTTCTAATTGTTTCCTGCTTGTTTGTTCTTTCACATCAATTCAGTATTTCTTTTTTATTAACTTTTATTTTAGATTCATGAGTCCTTGTGCAGGTTTTTTTCAGATTTCTTTTTTAAACAAAATAAATATTCTTCCCTAAATTCCACAAAATGCTTAGTCTTTAGCCATATTTTAACAACCACTCATACAAGCCACTCTTTGTTCTAGGAAATGAAATACAGTACTCTTGGCTTAGTGATTCATTCCTCCCTGGAAAGTTTGGGTGCTAGCTTTTTCCTTTAATTCACATGCAGTATTATTTATAAATGACCACAGGCAAGCTTTTGAAGTTCCGTGATAACTCTGCTGTGGCCTGAACTTTTCTTTTCCCCCAAGATTCATATGTGATACCTAACCCCCATGTAGTAGTATTAGGAGGTGATTGGATCATGAGGGTGAAGCCCTCATGTATGGGATTAGTTCCTGTGAGTGGAAACCACCCCTGCCCCACCACACAAACATAAATTGGCTCTCACACCACAACAATCAAAACACAAGACATCTGTGACCAAACCTGTGGGGGTTTCTCCTCTCACGCCAAACATGCAAGCAAGCCATTCTGCAGCACACACCAGCTGGGTGTCTTGCAATTCAGTTCTGACACTGTCTACATGGAGATAATGTCAGATCCCATAGGCTGAGGGATAGTCCCACAAGACTGCTCCCACTTTCCACGAGTTGCAGGTCTGGACCTTCAGAACTTCGGACTGGCCAGCTTCAAGTTGGGTTCCCGTGACTCCCTAGGTAGATTGGTTTGATTTGCTAGAGTAGCTCACAGAATTCTAAAAAACAAGTATATTAGTTTATTATAAAGGATATTACCAGGGACACAGGTGAAGAGATGCATAGAGGAAAATATGGGGGAAGGGTCAGGGAGCTTCCATGCCCTCCCATGTTGCACCACCCTCCTGGAAACTCCATTTGTTCACTCATCCAGAAACTCTCCAAACTCAGTCCTTTTGGGTCTTTATGGAGACTTCATTGGCTAGGCATGATTAACAACTATGTAGAAATGTGATTGGACAAAAGACTTGTAACTTAACACTAACAGACGGAGTGGAGAAACCCAGCAATGTCTGTTCAAATTCTTCTTGCTGTGCCTCTACAGCATTCCCTCCTCTCAGGTATGGGGCAGGACCCCTTCTGAAATGAGGGTCTTATGACCCACAATCAGACAACCAAGAAAAGGCTTGGCACTGTGGCTCATGCCCATAATCCCAGCATTTTGAGAGATGGAGGTGAGCAGATCACTTCAGCCTGGAGTTTGAGACCAGCCTGAGCAAGATGGAAAAAACCAGTCTCTACAAAAAATTAGCTGGATGTGGTGTATGCCTGTAGTCCCAGCTACTTGGGAGTCTGAGGTGGGAAGATTGCTTGAGCCCAGTAGGTGGAGGCTGCAGTGAGCCATGATTGTGCCAATGCACCCCAGTCTGGGCAAGAGTGTGACTGTCTCAAAAGGTAAAAAAAAAAAAAAAAAAAAAAAAAAAAAGAAAGAAAGAAAAAAAAGAACCAAAGGAAAAAATAGTGCCCTGGTGAAAATAGGGCAAGAGAAGTTCAGGGAGAGAAATGCTGCCTTCTGAGGCTTAAAGTGCCCCAATACTATAACATGGGCTGTAGGCATTATGGAACCATAGACAAAAACCTATCTCATTTTATATATATATATATATATATCACACTGACGCTTGAGGAGGACAAGAAACCACAATTCTTTCTTTTCAGCATCTGAGGACACAGCCAGAAAATATCTTCTAAATCAGGAAGGAAATCCTCCCCAGACACGGAATCTGCCACACCTTGATCTTGAACTTCCAGCTTCCAGAACTGCAAACTATAAATGTCTGTTGTTTAGAAGCAACTCAATCTCTGCTATTTTGTGATAGCAGCCTGAGTGGACTAAGTCATTCTTGGTGGGAAAATTATCAAATGGAGAAGATACTAATATCTCTTCCTGCTACTGTTCTGTTCTATGAGTGATGAGTCCAGGCTCAACCTAGCTTCTTCAGCAGGAGTGCTGCCTAGACATTGAATTGCCTCTAGTTGCCTCCTCAAAGCATCTGGTCACAGATCTGTGTAAATTCTAGTCTTGAATTTGTGCATGATGCAACCATTATGAGAGTGGATACATTGCATCTTTGCAGAACATCTGAAGCTGACTCTTACCCTTAATTCTAGCCTGACAAGTATTTATGGTACAGCTGACAAATACCTAATTGTGTGATAACTACAATGAAATACAGTTACAGTTATGTTCTGAACTGTGTTATCAAGCAGTTTACATCTTGGGAGAGAGGAATGGAGAAGAAACAGCATTGTGTTCCAGTAGAAGTCAGAAGGTTCATATTCAGACACTGTTATTACCTGGGGAGGGATCGCAGGCAGGTTCTTTAACCCTGAGTACTCTTCTATGTAGATTTTGATTCTGAGTGCTCTCCTAAGCAAAATGTTCTATGAATTTACAATGAAACCCATGAATAGTGAGGGCAGGATGTATAAATTGGTCTTCCATGGAGTACAATCAAGTGTAAAAATATGTCTACAACAGATAATAGGGATCCTTGACTGTGCTTTAATTCCCCCTGCTGATTGGAGGTGACCACATGCTGTCTGTGTTGCAAACAGCATTTTCAAGAGACAGTATGTCTGCTTTGATATGATGGGTTGGTAAGAATGGTGGGTGAGGCACTGAAAACTGACTATTCATCTGCCTATAGTTTTGTATATCATGCTGGGTTTTTCAACCCAGTCTGTAAAGGAAGTTAGCTTCTTCTACCTATTTCAGGACATGTCCGTCCTTTGTCAACATGATAAGACCTTAATTCAAAAGAGCTGCTTACCAAAGATGAACCACAGAGTTGAGCACATTACCTTTCATCCCAGATTTCAGAGTATATTTGTAGACTGTGGCTGAAAATTGGCTACGAGCATATGAGTTTATTATTTAGTTCTTGGACCCTGGTGAATTTATTCTCAGCAGGAACACCAGGAGTGGTAAACGCAGAACAGTGACAGCCTTCAAGCAGCAATTCTTGTCTTCCATTGATCTTGTCTGCTTCATCCCTGCATATTTATTCTAGCTTGATGATTCAATAAATATAAGTACCTATGCTCCAGGAATAGATTTCTCTAGAAACTCTGTTATGTGGGACTAGCAGCCAAGTCATTGGAATTTGAACTGAGTGAGTCAACAACAACAAGAAAGAAACAAAATGACATTGGAAATTAAAGGTGATTAAATTTCATTACTTGAAATCTGAAGACCACAAAAACTGTCACAAATATGAAGATGATGAGCCTCAAGCCTACAAATATAAGAATGATCAAGGATGATACAGGAAACATATAAAGCAGTGGCTATATGCCACCCAAAGAAATCAAAATAATGCAAAGGAACGTAGTATTAAGCATTAGGAATATAAACTAGAGAGTGAATATAGACACAAGATAGCTATAAACCTATAATTAATTCCAGAGAAAATGAAGTTGTTCCTTTGACATATGCAAAGCTAGTGAAATGCTACTGGGAACATTTAAATGAGGTTTTCTCAACCTTGGCACTATTGAATTTTGAGTGACATACTGCTGTGCTGCAAGGATTATCCTGTGCATTGAAGTGTGTTTTTTAGCATCTCTGGCACTTACCCACTAAAGGCCAGTAGCAGCCTCCAAGTTGTAACAACCAAAAGTGCCTCCAGACATTGCCCCATTTCCCTGTGGTATAATTTTCAGTATGTATGAGGATCACTGCTTTAGATGTTTTCTGAGGTTCAGCATGTTTGAATATATGGAAAGAAAGTGAATTCAGTGCTCCCAGTGAGGAAGTAACCACAATTAGGGAAAGCATGGGGGCAGGAAGTTACTTATCAACTAATTTTTTAGTGTAGACAAAATGGGTCAATATGAGAAAAAGGAATGCTGCTTAAAAAACATGCTTGCACAATTAAGATAAAAATATGGTTTATAAGTTTTAATAGATTGATTTATACTCCACTTGGGTAGATACATGTCAGAACACTGAAGGGTTAAACCTCTCATACTTATTTTGGATTTAAAAGCACAAGATTTGTAAACAGACTTCTAGAATATAATCTGATTTCTTTCCACTTCTGCCTACAAATCTGAGGGGTGAGAAGACTTTCTAGAGATGATGTTTATCAGACCATGATAAGGAGAGCAAATAGTTGTGATTAACCAAGGGCCAACAGTTAGTGCCGGGAAGAATGGTCTTGGACACAAATATTCCAACCACAAATAACACTTGCCGCACTGTCATAATATTGGGATATTAATTTTCTCTTTTTTGAGCATGAATTTTTTTAGCAGATATCCCTTTTCCCAAAATTGACTAATTTGTCTACACTGAAACATTCGTTGATTTTTTTTTAATTTTTTTATTATTATACTTTAAGTTTTAGGGTACATGTGCACATTGTGCAGGCCAGTCACATATGTATACATGTGCCATGCTGGTGCGCTGCACCCACTAACTCGTCATCTAGCATTAGGTATATCTCCTAATGCTATCCCTCCCCCCTCCCCCACCACACCACAGTCCCCAGAGTGTGATGTTCCCCTTCCTGTGTCCATGTGATCTCATTGTTCAATTCCCACCTATGAGTGAGAACAGGCAGTGTTTGGTTTTTTGTCCTTGTGATAGTTTACTGAGAATGATGATTTCCAATTTCATCCATGTCCCTACAAAGGACATGAACTCATCATTTTTTATGGCTGCATACTATTCCATGGTGTATATGTGCCACATTTTCTTAATCCAGTCTATCATTGTTGGACATTTGGGTTGGTTCCAAGTCTTTGCTATTGTGAATAATGCCGCAGTAAACATACGTGTGCATGTGTCTTTATAGCAGCAAGATTTATTGTCCTTTGGGTATATACCCAGTAATGGGATGGCTGAGTCAAATGGTATTTCTAATTCTAGATCCCTGAGGAATCGCCACACTGACTTCCACAATGGTTGAACTAGTTTACAGTCCCACCAACAGTGTAAAAGTGTTCCTATTTCTCCACATCCTCTCCAGCACCTGTTGTTTCCTGACTTTTTAATGATTGCCATTCTAACTGGTGTGAGATGTTATCTCATTGTGGTTTTGATTTGCATTTCTCTGATGGCCAGTGATGATGAGCATTTTTTCATGTGTTTTTTGGCTGCATAAATGTCTTCTTTTGAGAAGTGTCTGTTCATGTCCTTCGCCCACTTTTTGATGGGGTTGTTTGTTTTTTTCTTGTAAATTTGTTTGAGTTCATTGTAGATTCTGGATATTAGCCCTTTGTCAGATGAGTAGGTTGCGAAAATTTTCTCCCATGTTGTAGGTTGCCTGTTCACTCTGATGGTAGATTCTTTTGCTGTGCAGAAGTTCTCTAGCTTAATTAGATCCCATTTGTCAATCTTGTCTTTTGTTGCCATTGCTTTTGGTGTTTTGGACATGAAGTCCTTGCCCATGCCTATGTCCTGAATGGTGATGCCTAGGTTTTCTTCTAGGGTTTTTATGGTTTTAGGTCTAACGTTTAAGTCTTTAATCCATCTTGAATTGATTTTTGTATAAGGTGTAAGGAAGGGATCCAGTTTCAGCTTTCTACATATGGCTAGCCAGTTTTCCCAGCACCATTTTTTAAATAGGGAATCCGTTCCCCATTGCTTGTTTTTCTCAGGTTTGTCAAAGATCAGATGGTTGTAGATATGCGGCATTATTTCTGAGGGCTCTGTTCTGTTCTATTGATCTATATCTCTGTTTTGGTACCAGTACCATGCTGTTTTGGTTACTGTAGCCTTGTAGTATAGTTTGAAGTCAGGTAGTGTGATGCCCCCAGCTTTGTTCTTTTGGCTTAGGATTGCCTTGGTGATGCGGGCTCTTTTTTGGTTCCATATGAACTTTAAAGTAGTTTTTTCCAATTCTGTGAAGAAAGTCATTGGTAGCTTGATGGGGATGGCATTGAATCTGTAAATTACCTTGGGCAGTATGGCCAATTTCACGATATTGATTCTTCCTACCCATGAGCATGGAATGTTCTTCCATTTGTTTGTATCCTCTTTTATTTCCTTGAGCAGTGGTTTGTAGTTCTCCTTGAAGAGGTCCTTCACATCCCTTGTAAGTTGGATTCCTAGGTATTTTATTCTCTTTGAAGCAATTGTGAATGGGAGTTCACTCATGATTTGGCTCTATTTTTGTCTGTTATTGGTGTATAAGAATGCTTGTGATTTTTGTACATTGATTTTGTATCCTGAGACTTTGCTGAAGTTGCTTATCAGCTTAAGGAGATTTTGGGCTGAGACAACCACATGATTATCTCAATAGATGCAGAAAAAGCCTTTGACAAAATTCAACAACTTTCATGCTAAAAACTCTCAATAAATTAGGTATTGATGGGACGTATTTCAAAATAATAAGAGCTATCTATGACAAACCCACAGCCAATATCATACTGAATGGGCAAAAACTGGAAGCATTCCCTTTGCAAACTGGCACAAGACAGGGATGCCCTCTCTCACCACTCCTATTCAACATAGTGTTGGAAGTTCTGGCCAGGGCAATTAGGCAGGAGAAGGAAATAAAGGGTATTCAATTAGGAAAAGAGGAAGTCAAATTGTCCCTGTTTGCAGACGACATGATTGTATACCTAGAAAACATTCATTGATTAATTACTTTCTGCCCCCATGGTCTCACAATTCAAATCTCTGCACTTTTGCCTAAGTTGAGAAGTAAGAGTTTTCACTTGTTCATCTGAGAAGCCACATCTCTTCTTGCCATTCTGATTTATGAAAATCCCCAAGCTGAAGAAGACTAAACTTACCGGAAGATTTTTTACCATGTCCTGTGTACATAAGTATGGTCATGTTGCCCACTATTTTAATTAATATACAGTGGATCGCTTAACATGCATATTTGAAAAATGCTCACTGCTTTTTCAAAACTCACTGCCTTTGTATAGGATTTTAAAATCTTCCTGAAAAACATCAAAGCATTGGAAATCTCATTTCTTTTTTTAAAAAATAATAATAATAACCAACATTCATATAGCACTGTCCATGGTGTATTACTTTATTGTAACAGTTTTGTGAAATAAGCCATAAAATGTGAGAATTTTAGATTAGGAAATAAATGCATCTTAAATTTATTCTACCCACTTAAATTTTAAAAAATATTAAATAGCCACATAGATATCAGTAAGCAGAGTTTTTTTCATCACATCAGGGAGGGTATTGATAATCCCTTCCAATAAAGGAATTCTTAGTGCTTTTTTGTGGTTTTCCTTTGGATTTTATGTGATTACCCTTCTCAACCTGGAGAATTGTTGAAATAATCATATGGTGTTTGTTTTTCCTCCTCTATCTGTAAAACTCTAATTAAAAAGAGCTTAGTTAAAGACTTTCTGCTATTGTGGACACATAGCGAATTAATTAGTTAAAAGGAGACCTCTAGTATCAAGTGAGGTGAGAACACAACAGTTTTCATTACTTGGGACAGCATGTAGAATGGCTGATAGCTAGCCAATACTAGAGGGACCACCATCCCTGGGATGGCCTTGTCTTATTGGCAACTACCAAAACGCAGCAGATATTGCATAGACATTGTCCTCATCAAGCTGGGGATCTCCACTTAATTTTACAGCATTTACCAAGAAGCATCTGAGTTTACAGCCTAAGAAAACTGGAGTTTATTTAGTCCAGAGAGCCTTTAACTTGAATGTGCACAAAGCTCACATAGGGGTGTTGTTAAAATTCACATTCTGACTCAGCAGATGTTGTGTTTCTCACAAGGTCTCTGGGCTGTCAATGTTGACTTGTCGGAGGACCACATGTGGAGTCAAGAGATTCATGCTAGAGCCTTTTCATTGTACACTGGAAGGATCTCATCTGCACAGCAATGGTCCATGGGAGGCAGCGTTCAGTGCTTGCTTCACTGGGCAGCGGTCATCCCCATGTCTGACAATTGTCCCTATGTCTCTGACGATTGAACTTGCTACTCTGACTTTCAGATATGAATGAGCCTGTTCACTATGATCATGGTGAAGATATATATGGTAAAGATAATTAGAGGGTAAAGATATACACATATACATATATGCATATAAATGTGCATATATAACATACTATATTACAAGAATTATATGTATTACAGTCAATCCTTGAACACAACATGGGTTAGAACTGTGTGGATCAACTTACACTGATTGATTGTCTTCAGATTCTGCATAGACATTGTTCTTATGAAGCTGGGAATCTCTGCTTAATTTTACAGCATTTACAGATGAGACAGCAAAACAAATCCCTCCTCTTCTTCCTTCTCAATTTGGAGATGATGAAGATGAAGACCTTTATGATAATCCAGTTCCTCTTAATGAACAGTAAAGATATTTTCTCTTCCTCGTGATTTTCTTAATGACATTTTTTTTCTCAAGCTTACTTTGGTGTAAGAACATAGTAGACTGTACATGTAACACATAAAAAATGCATGAATCAACTGTTTATGTTACTGGTAAGGCTTCTGATCAACAAATACTATTAGTATTTAAGTTTTTGGAGAGATAAAAGTTATATTCAGGACTGGGCACAGTAGCTCACATTTGTAATCCAAGCATTTTGGGAGGCCAAGGTGGGTGGATAACTTGAGGTCAGGAGTTCATGACCAGCCTGGCCAACATGGTGAAACGCTGTCTCTACTAAAAATCCAAAATTAGCTAGGCATGGTGGCAGGTGCCTGCAATCCTAGCTACTTGGGAAGCTGAGGCAGGAGAATCTAATGAACCTGAGAGGCACAGGTTGCAGTGAGCTGAGATTGTGCCACTGCACTCCAGCCTGGGTGACAGAGCAACAGTCCGTCTCAAGTTATATTCAGATTTGTGACTATTCGAGTGTTTGGTGCCCATGTCTCACATGTTTGAAAGTCAACTGTATATCTTTCTATACAGTTCAATGTATATTATTTTTAAATAGATAAATATATCACAATATATTATGAGTAATAAATATTACATTTATTGTATGTATATATTATTAATACACATATATACATATACTCACAAATGTGTAATATATATTATATCCACACATGTAGACATGAATTCATATATATGTGTATACGAATAATGTATCACAATATATTAATAGAAATGGGTATGTAGTATGTAGTATATTGATTATGTATATTATGTATATCTCTATCATGCATCTACCTATAAAAAGCAGGGATTTCAACATGTTCATAGCAACATTATTCACAATAGTCAAAGTATACAAACAACCACTGACAGATGAATGGATAAACAAAATGTGGTATATCCATTTAATGGAATATTATTCAGCCTTGAAAAGAAAAAAATCTAACACATGCTGTAACAAAGAATAAGTGATTATAGCTGCAATCTGTGTTACTTCTGAACATCTCTCTTTCTTTTCTTCTTGGCTTGAGGAGTTTTCTTGTAAGCTACTTGTCACTCATTCTCCAATTACACTAATTTTCTTTATGGCCCAAAATAACAAAAAGAAAATAGTTTTTTTACCCTTTGATTCATTTTGCTAAAGGTTGTGGCTGCCTCTTATTTTTATAGTGAGATTATCAATAGTCATTTTTAATCAACTTCAGCATTGTAAGTGAGAAACTAGTAGTTCGCAATCATGTTATTTCAATTAATCATATGGAACATGGATATAGAAGAATTTTATTTTGGAGAAAGGAGTTTCTGACAAGGTGTGTCTCTTTCAGGTAGCTTCTTGGCAGAATGAGAATTGTTACACCTACACATTTTTTTTTTTTTTGACATGGAATTTTACTCTGTCACTCAGGCTGAAGTACAGTGGTGTGATCTTGGATCACTGCAAACTCCCTCTCCAAAATTCAAGTGATTCTCCTGCTTTAGCCTCCTGAGTAGCTGGCACCCGCCACCATGCCTGCTAGTTTTTGTATTTTTAGTAGAGACAGGGTTTCACCATTTTGACCAGGCTTGTCTTGAACTCCAGAACTCAAGTTATCCACCCACCTAGGCCTCCCAAAATGCTGAGATTACAGGTGTGAGTCACTGTGTCCATCCTACCTTTTTCATATGTCTGTGAATATACTTGGAATGTAGATGCTAAATCAATGCTTTGCATCAAGGAAATGCAGCTTAACCTTGATTGTTTTGAAAACTGGGAAGCTACTGCTAATATATTTTCTACTTCATATTCCAGTTTCTTGTTTTGAGAAGTTATAGGTTCTATTTTTCTTATTTTTCATAAATATTAAGTGCTAGAAGTCTAGGAAATGTGTGCTTTGAAATAAAGTTTACTGTAGTGATGGTGATTTTCTCCCCATCTAATGTTTGATCCTACAGGTTGACTTCATGTTACTAATCACTTTCCTCTTAGGTGTTACTAGTCACACTCTGACAGCACTGTCCCCTTAAAGGGGGAAAATGATTTTAATTATGAAAAAACTTCCCTTCAGTGCAAAAGAAGGGTGAGTCCCCAAACAGACCCCAACCTGGTCATCTGAATCATGTGGATGTAACCAGCATATCTGTTCTTAAAAGGGTGATGGTAGGATTTGATATTCTTTTTTTTTCTCTCACTTTGATCTATGGCCTTGCAGAGCAATTCTGTCCAGGGAAAACTTCCAGCATGGGGTGATGCTTTTCACCTGTGCCATCTAATATGGCATTGCTAGCTGTCTGTGGTTATTAAGCATTTAAATGTGACCACTGCAAATGTGTGGGTTTTAATTTATTCATTCAATTGTGATTAAATATTCATAACAAAATATACCATCTAACCATTTAAAAAATTTGCATAAGTTTAAGGGGTATAAATATTAGTTTATTGTCATACCGCTGTGAAGAAATGCCCAAGCCTGAGTAATTTATAAAGAAAAAAGGTTTAATGGACTCACAGTTCCACATTGCTGAGGAGGCCTCACAATCATGGCAGAAGGCAAAGGAGGAGCAAAGGCATGTCCTACATGGCAACAGGCAAGACAGTTTCTGCAGGGAACTCTCCTTTACAAAATGATCAAGTCGGCCAGATGTGGTGGTTCACACCTCTAATCCCAGCACTTTTTGAGGTTGGGGTGGGTTGATCAAGATGTCAGGAGTTTAAGACCAGACTGGCCAACATACTGAAACCCCATATCTACTAAAAATACAAAAAATTACCCAGAATGATGGTGGGCACTTGTAATTCTGGCTACTCGAGAGGCTGAGAAAGGAGAATTTCTTGAACCTGGAAGGCAGAAGTTGCAGTGAGCTGAGATCGCACCATTGCACTCCAGCCCGGGTGACAAGAGTGAAACTCCATCTCAAAAAACAAAACAAAACAAAACAAAACAAAACAAAACAAAACAAAAGCCATCAGGTCTTGTGAAACTTATTCACTGTCATGAGAACAGCATGGGAAAACGCGCCCCCATGATTTCATTACCTCCCACCAGGTCCCTCCCAGGACACATGAGGATTGTGGGACTACAGTTCAAAATGAGATTTGGGTGGGAACATGGCCAAACCATGTCAGTACAAGTTCAACTTTTTTACATGGACATATTATGTAGGGGTAAATTTGGGGCTTTTAGTGAATTCATCACCTGAATAGTGTACTTTGTACCCAAAAGGTGATTTCTCATCCCTCAACCCTCTCCACACTCCTATCTTTCCAAGTCTCCAATGTCTACTATTCCACTCTCCATGTCCATATGGATATATTATTTAGCTCCCACTTATAAGGGAGAACAGGCAATATTGGAATTTGACTTTCTGTTTCTGAGTTATTTTCCTTAAGATAATGGTCTCCAGTTCCATTTGTGTTCCTGCAAAAGACATGATTTTATTCTTTTTTATGATTGCATAGTATTACATAGTGTACTTGTACCACAGTTTCTTTATCCAGTCATCCATCGATGGACACTTAGGTAGATTCCACATCCTTGCTACTGTGAATAGAGCTGTGATACACATAAAACTGAAAACATTAAGCACATTCACATTGTTATGCAACCATCACACCCTTCATCTCTAGAATTTTTTTTGTCTTCTCAAACTGAAACTCTGTCTCCATTAAACAGTAACTCCCCAAACCCCTCTTTCTTCATCCCCTGGCAACCACCTTTCTAGTTTTTATCTCTATGAATTTGACTGCTTTATGTGCCTCATAGAAGTGAAATCATATGATACAGTCATTCATTTAACAATGAGAATACTTCCTGAGAAATGTACCATTAAGCAATTTTGTCTTGTGGGAACATCAGAGGGTGCACTTACATAATCCTAGATGGTAAAGCCTGTTATACACCTACATTATATGGCAGAACCTTTTGCTCCTGGGCTACAAACTGGTATGGAATCTTATTGTACTGGATAAAGTAGGCAATGGTAACACAATGGTAACTGATTGTGTATCTACACATACTAAAGCATAGGAAAGATACAGTAAAAGTATGACAATCTTTTGAGACTACTATTATATATGAAATCTGTCATTGACTGAAATATCTTTATATGGTGCAGTGTGGTGTTTGTCTTTTATTATGACTTTTTTCTTGAGCACAATCTAATCTTTTCTTTTTCTTCTTTTCTTTTTATTTCCCCTTTTCCTTTCCCTTCCCTTCTCTGACAGAGTCGCACATGCCATGTAGGCTGGAGTGCAGTACTGCAATCATTGGCCACTGTAGCCTCAATCTCCTGGACTCAAAAAATCCTTTCACCTCAGCCTCCGAAGTAGCTGAGACCACAGGTGTGCACCCCCACAAGTGGCTAATTGTTATATTTCTTATACAGACAGAGTTTTTGCCATGTTGCCCAGTCTGGTCTAGAATTCTTGAGCTCAACTAATCCACCTTCCATGGCCATCCAAATTGCTGGGATTATAAGCATAAGCCACCATGCCAAGATGAACACAATTTTTTCAAGGTTAATCCATGTTGTAGCATGTGTTAGATTTTTTTTCAAGTCTGAATAATATTCCATTGAATGGATATACCACATTTTGTTTATCCATTCATCTATCAATGGTTTTTTCTATACTTGGACTATTGTGAATAATGTTGCTATGAACATGTTTAAATCCCTGCTTTCTATTCTTTTGGTTATATATCCAGAAGTAAAATTGCTGCATCATACACTAATTGTATGTTTAATTTTTTGAGAAACTGCCAAACTATTTTCCACAGCAGTTGCATCACTTTATATTCTCAGGAGGAAGTGAATTGTTTGTTGCAATTTAAATTTAAATAGCCACATTGGACACCATTGTCTTAGAGAACCAAAACGAAACCTAAAAGTTTATTTACCCTGATGATTAGCAGATAAAAGAGATAGGAATCTTAAGCAATAATAGTTATAATTATGGCATATTGTTCTCCAAAAAATTAGAATTTACTGATTAAGCTTCAATTTTGCATTTACTAAATATAAAAGCCTCTCTTAAAGTTTAAGGTGTCTAGGTATAAAACTATTTTAATTTGAGCAAGCTAATAGATTGCTTGTCTAAAATTTGTACTGGCATCATCTTGAGTTGAATGTAGGAATGATTTAGTGTTTACCATTGAAGATAACGTGTGGCCCATTTCTAAAATACAACCTGCCATAGCTGTGATCATCTCAATATTTGACCTTGATCAACATCGACACTGTTAATATGATCTGCTAATTAAGGGCATGGTGCTTGCTATGGTGTCAACGTTTAAATTCCCTCGAAATTCCTAAGTTGAAATCCTAAACCCCAAGGTGATAGTGTTGAAATGTGGGGCTTTTTGGGGGTGATGAGGTCATGAAGGTAGAGACTTTTATAAATCCCTTATAAAAGGGACCACAGAGAGCTCCCTTGCTTCTTCCTCCATGTGAGGACACAGGAAGAAGGCACTGTGTATGAACGGGGAAATGGGTACCCAACAGACACTGAATCTGCCATCCTTGATCTTGTACTCCCAGTCTCTACGATTGTAAGCAATAAACTTCTGTTGTTCATAAACCTACTGGTCTATGATATTTTGCTATAGCATACTGAACAGACTAAGACTTAACTATTTCTGCTTTTCCTTAAGGTCGGCATTTCCTGACTCCTTTTAAAGCAAGCAAAAATTGTGATTGCTTGCATTCCTTGATCACTTCTTTGCCTGGAGGTAAGAATGTTCTATCGGCTTTTCAACAGGCTGTTTTCTAATGGAGATGTTTCATTAGGGCTATTTCTATACGCTTCTGATTCTTCATTATAATATTGCTTCTTTCACACTGAGATACTCAGTATCTTGAAAGGTGAAATATAACCACACACACACACACACATCCATCCAGTCTTTATTTATACATACACATGTTTACATAAACACACACACAGAGGCAGAGAAAGACAGAGTTTTTAACCTATTCATACACACAAATATTTTTACATGCCCACTGACAGACAGAGATCTTCAGGTATTTATAGCTACAAATATATTTACACACGGAGAGACAAAGATCTTCATCTATACTTACAAATGTTTACACATGCAGAGAGATTTTATCTATGCTTACAGATATGTTTACACTCAGAGAGAAACACAGAGACCATCATCGATTTATACTCACAAATATGTTTATGCACACAGAGAGACAGGAAGAGAAAGATTTTCATCTATTTATACTTAAAGATAACATTACACATGAGAAAAAGAGAAAGATTTTAACATATTTGTACTTACAAATATATTTACACACACACGCAGACAGAGACAGATCATCTATTTATACCTACAAATGTTTACACACACTGAAAGGCAGAGAGAGAGATTTTCATCTATTTATACTTACAGATATGTTTATACAGAGAGACAGAGATCATTATTTATACTCAGAAATATATGTATACACAGAGAGAGAAACATTTTATCTGTTTATACTGACAGATATGTTTGCACAGAGAGAGAAAGAGACAGAGATACTTTCTTCTATGCGTGTTTACACAGAGAGAGAGAAAAAGAGAGACATTTTCTCTTTTTTGTTAAGAGAAAACTTTTTAAAATTATACTTTAATTTCTGGGTTACATGCGCAGAATGTGCAGTTTTGTTACATAGGTACACATGTGCTGTGATGGTTTGCTGCACCCATCAACCTGTCATCAACAGGGGTCCCTACTCCAGTGGAACCTGATCTTTAACTAATGATATCTGCACAGACCCTATTTCCAAGTAAGTTCACACGCAGGTATTGGGGGTTAGGACTTGGACATAACTGTAGGAGTTGCACAATTTAAGTTGCAACACTTTCTTAGTAGGTTCTTGCAAACATCAGGAAAGTTATGCATTTATCTACTACATTTTGGCACCACTTTCAGGGATTCTCAGATGTGTAGTAGAGAAGGTAGCCTCACCAGGGGCCCTGCTTGGGGAAACTGGACTATCAGAGGCTGAGAAAAGCTGGAGGAAGAACTGTCCCTCACTTGGTGGTATGGTTTGGCTCTGTATCCCCACCCAAATCTCATCTTGAATTGTAATTCCCACATGTTAAAAGAGGGACGTATAATACCCATATGTTGAGGGAGGAAGGTGATGGGATCATGGCGGTGGTTTTCCCCATGGTGTTTTCATGATAATGAGTGAGTCCTCTCCTGGGGTCTGATGGTTTTATAAGCATCTGACATTTCCCCTCCTTACACTTCTCTCTCCGGCTGCCGTGTGAAGAATGTCCTTGCTACTTCTTCGCCTTTCTTAATGACTGTACGTTTCCTGAGGCCCCTGCCAGCCATGCAGAACTGAGAGTCAATTATACCTCTTTTCTTTATAAATTACGTAGTCTCAGGTATGTCTTTATAGCAGTGTGAGAAAAAACTAATACACTTGGGGAACACACACATGTCAGAATTCAGGGTGCATGCTTAATATTTAAACATTGGTCTAATTTGATTCTTTCCTGTTTGTCTACCCAGGGCCTTTGTCTCACTGGGCAGATTTCTTCTCTCCAGATGCATTTTGCTTTCCTGGTATTTGCTTTCCCAGTATTTACATTTCATCAAAGTTAGCAGATCATTACACAGTTTCTATCTGCTGTCTGAGCTAGTTGTCTCCTGGCAGCATAAATCCTTGAGAGGGTAATCAGCTCAGTTTTCTTTCTATTGATCCTGCACACCCTTGAGTTTTTACCATGAGTCTACTTTTATGCTAGATACTGCCTTGAATTTGGCATTTTTTTATATGAAGAGGAAGAGCACATCCTAAAGCACATACACGTAGTAAATAATTAGACCACAGAATTGTCATCATGGTAAAACCAATTTAAATTTTTTAAAAGAATAGAGTACATCATATCAGTGAGCTATCTGTCAAAGGGTTTATTTATTCAACTCTACCCTCAGTGACTTTGAAACACATAGAGAACATAGAGACATGAAATCATAAGTGTCTCTACTGTAGAAAGATTTCTAGCAGATGTTAACTAGGACTGTTAACTGCTTACTAATGGGAACTTATAGGTGATGTCCTTGTCCTAATTTTGAATAAGTAGCAACACTGATTCTTCCACGAAGCTGTGATCAAATCCACCTACCCCTAACTTCTCTGTACTACTGTTCCCCGGAACACTACATTCTTCAACTATGAAGTACGTGTGTGTGTTGTGTGTGTGTGCCTTTCTTTGTGTGTGTGTGTGTTGAGTTCAGTTGTGTCATGCAAATGGATATGTTGAAGTCTTAACCCCTGGTGCCTCTGAATGTGATATTTTTTTAAAAGAGTGTGTTTACAGTTTGTTCAAGTTAAGATGAGGTCACTAGGGCTAGACTCTCATTCAACATGACTTTTAAGCAGAGGAAAGTTTAAACATAAAGAAAGAAATCAGCCTTGTGGAGATAGAGGCAGAGACTGGTACAATGTGACCACAAGCCCAGGGATGCCTGAAGCCACTGGCAGCTGGGAGGGACTGGAATGATCTTCTCCTAGAGTCTCCAGATGGAGCACAGCCCTGAGACATCTTGATCTTAGACTCCTGGTCTCCAAAACTGGGAAAGAATTAATTACTGTTGTTTTTAGTCACCGTATATGTGTGTTATGGCAGCCTCTGAAAATTCACACACTGTATGTGTGTGGTCTTTTGGTGTTTCATAGATCTTGAATGCTCCCTCCAAATTTTGAATTTTTCTCATTTGTTTTATTTTACTTTGAAGATTCCTTTGTTTATATTTCATGTAAACACTTGGAGTCCAAGAACAAATTGTGTTTTAATTACTTTTTTGTGCTCTTAAAGCCTTTGACATAATCCATTGCACATAAGAAAGGAAATCAGATTAATATTTGTGAGAGATTATTTATGGTGATGATTATTATTTGGTTAATAGCTCCTACTTCTAGGAGTCCATATTTCTACAAAGAGTATATTCAAGTAACTAAGATGGAAAATAGAAAATGAGCTAAATCCAAAGCTTTCATGTTCAAAGTAAGTATATCACACTAAGATGATTATTAAACCATACCCCATATTTGTAACTACCACTGCAAGTAATTTTAAAGTTTTAATTTGGTATATCTGTAAAGTCATTTCTAAATTTTGTGATAGACCTAAAATTTATTATATTTAAATATGTGTTAGAATTATTTATATACTTAATATACAACTAGGAGTCAGCAAAGAGATTAAGAGTTGGTTCTAAGCTTTAAACTCCAAGCCTTGAAGAAAAATATAATACATGTTTTCCACAATATGCTAAAATTATAATTTTAACAGATTATAATGGTTATATAATGAATTTTTCAATGTTTTCATCAGTGGAAGGAAAGGTCATATGATTAGCTTCTCAGAAAAATAGAAAAAAGTAATTTGTAATTAGTATATATAATACACTTATATGTATTATATTCTTGTCTTTTTTTTTTATTTTCCTTTTTCTGGAGAATGGGGTCTTGCTATATTGCCCAGGCAGGTCTCAAACTCCCAGGCTGAAGCTATCCTCCCACCTCTTGCCTCCCTGAGAGCTGGGATTACAGGCTTGAACCACTGCACCCGGCCATATATGTATTATATTCTTATACAAATAGTTTTTTTTTTAATTATTATACTTTAAAAGTAATTAACACTTTTATCTTTATAGTGTATTTTTTTAATGTTATATTAATAGTTGTAAAGCCATGTGCAATTACAAGAAATTATTTTGTTTATCTTAGCCTCATGGAATTAATTCCCTATACTTGAAAAGTAATTAAATACTTTTATTTTAGTTATCTTTTCCATATATGTTTATGTTTATTTTATTTTATTTTGAGATAGTTTTAGAGGCACATGCAATTACAAGAGATTAAAAAAATATATTTCTCTCTAATTAGAGAACCCCTGTATTTCTCTCTAGTTAGAGAACCCCTGTGTTCCCTTGACACAATTCCTAATATCTCTGGCGCCTTGATGTTGGCATCTATTGTTTGTTCTGCTATTGTTGTTTATTTTGATATTTTCCTGGTTCTTGGCATAACAAGCAATTTTCAATCAAAATCTGGATGTTATGGGTACAATGCTATAAGACTCAGGGTCTGTCTTAACTCTTCGGCTTCAGCTGACTTCTTGTGACAGCACTACAACAGAGGGCCTGGAGACATCGTCCAGTTACCTGCAAGTGGGTGCAGATGTGTACATTCCTTCCTCAGCCTCTACTGAATGAGGGAGATGGAGCCATTTGTTACTGGTGCTTGGGGATGATGGGTGCCACTCCCCACTAGACTTCCACTCACACCAATGATGGGAGTGACATGGTTCCTCCTGCCTAGTGTTGAAGGTCCTGCCTCACCCTTGAAACTCCCTTGACACCACACCAGTGGAGAGAGAGAGGAGTATTATCTTAATTGCTGGGGTGGATGAGAGTACTGTCTCTTCATGTGGTCCCCAGTGTCATCATGGTTTTGGGGCTACAGCTTAGAAAGCATGGAAGTCTTGGCTCTCCAGTTGTCTGACATTACACTTTTATCTGTAGTGTTAGATTACCCTTTTGTCCAGCAGTTAAAGGCAGTAGCACATGTGAATCATGTTTTGCTCAAATAAAGCCTGGTTAAGACTCAAAGCCAAGGATTTTTACAGGGACCTGTTCACTCAGGGTCCACTCAGGTTCTCTCTGTCTGGGTCATCAGCTACAATCACCCAAAGTCTGCGTATTCTGAAAGAAAGCATGTTTTTGTAGAAACAGCCGAGGCAGGCTGATACAACTTTATCGCTTAGTAATTTAGGAACAATTCTGAACACTGAAATTCCAGATGCCACCCTAGAGTCAGTCCCAGAAGCAAGTCATTTTAAATACAATAACTTCAACCTTATTTCTTTAATGCCTTCTTCAACAAACCTGTATTTGAGGCACTAATCTACTTTGTCTCCATATCTTGTATTTATCATTCTTAGTCAGCCATGTGAGAGAGTGAATAAAATCATAGACCATTGAAATATCAATGGGCATGAGAAAGTCTTGAGTCCCTTTCAGCTGCCAGGCTCAGAAACTCCAATTCAAATTACCATCAATAATTTAATATCTGAATGCTCCCATCCATGGAAGCAGCTCAGGCTCAGCGATGTCTGTAAATGTTGGCCTTTCTTTCTAACCCTCCTCTCTGACCTCTTGGATTTTGGTTTCCAGATGTGTCTTACCAAGATAATAGCCACAAATGGGGTAGCACAAACTTGTCTGTCATACTCCATACAGAGATAATAAAGGTGTCTCTTATTTAGAAGTGTGGAAATACTTCATGGAACCACTCCAGCAGCCTTTTTGTCTTGTATTTTTGGACAGAATTTAGTCCCAAACCCATTTTAAAATCAAAAGTGATAGCATTACTATGATTGGCTTGAACAAATCTGAATATCTCTTCCCCTCCATCCTTCCTCAGGATAGGAATGGATTCCATTAATATGAAGCACTTGTGCTTGCTTAATTGTTGTATAAAATTGGGATTTTGTTAGGAAGGAGAAAGGGAGGAGAATGCTATGTAAGACACCAAAATGTCAATAACAGTAAGTCTGTAGGGGAACTCATCTTTGCATTACTCTTGAGATGAGCCCTGGAGGAGATTTACTGATCATGTGCTCAATAATTTGGTTAAATCAGAAACAGATTCAAGGTTAACTGCATTTTTAACACAGCTCTCTACTAGTTCTTTAAGGAATTCCTCACACCTCTTGGATATAACAAGAGATTCAAAGAATTGGAGAATTCGTTTTAAGGCACCAGAATCATACACCTATGTCTTTTAGATGTAACTAATTTCTCTTTTGAGGTGTAGGCTTACATAATGAAGCCACTTCAGTGAGCCCTCAAAACTCTTCTTTAATCGATATGCTCTATGCCCTAGGAGAAAAAAAAGCCTTTCAGAGCTTTTTCTTATTTTTGAGTCTCATATTATATTGATTTATATAGGCTTTCAAATTCCATTATTCTCTCCTCCAATTGTAAAGAGTTTGTGGTAAGGCCAGTGTTTCTTTGTAAGAATGTTTTGGAGGCAAATATATCATTTCAGCTTATTTACTTCATTCCACTGGCTTTAAGAAAATATCATTTCTTTCTTACCTTCTTAATGTCAACAAAAGAAAGTCAAGCTCTTTCACTGACATGAGTTTTGGGAGCCCAAAAAGGGCATATTAAAATTTTATGTAAGACTTAATATTTTTTAATCTGAAATATTTACATTTATGTATTTGTCATTTTTATGTCACATTACATATTTCAAAAGTAACTGATTTCTTGCTTAAACATTTTTAAAGAAAAACAGGAGATTATATAAACCATAAATCACTTATAATCACATCAACATAGAATGAAAGGTGTGAACCATTTGGCATGTTTATTTTCATTATTTCATTTTCTCTCTTCTCCACTTTAACCAGTATACAGAAAGAACTCTAAGTATTAATTTACAATACAACACATGAATTATAGTGCAATAGATATATAGGTAGGTAAGTAGGTAGGTAGATACATAGATAGATAAATAGATAGATAGATAGATAGATAGATAGATAGATAGATAGATAGATAGATAGATAGATAAAGTTGACCCTTGAACAACGTGAGTTTGAATGGCATGGGCTCACTTATATATAGATTTCCTTCTGCCTTTGGATCCCTTAGACAGCCAGACCAAAGCCTCCTCTTCCTCTTCCTCCTCCTCCTCAGCATCCTGAACATGAAAATGACTGGAGTGAAGAATTTTATGAGGATCCACTTCCACTCAATGAATAGTAAATGTATTTTCTCTGCCTTATGATTTTCTTTAACATTCTATTTTTGCTAGGTTACTTTATTGTAATAATACAGTATACATAGTATATAATGCATATCACATACCAAATATGAGTTAATCTGCTGTTTATGTTATCAGTAAGGCTTGGGTCAACAGTAGGCTATTAATAGTTAACCTTTGGGGAGATAAGTGTTATACATGGATTTTTGACTGCACAAGATGTCAGTGTCTGTAACAACTGTGTTGGCCAACTGTCATTTATTTATATATAGCTATATAAATATATAAAAATATGTATATATAACTATATATATATATACACAATACATATAATGGATCTCCAGAAATAATACATATTAGTGGGTGACAATGTTAGAGCATAATTGAGAGGGCGATGATTCTCCACATAGACTTTTATTTCCAGATTCCAGGTAAATATGACTTTTGAAGAGACATCACACAACCCATAACACCCCTGAACCATTTGTTGTGTAGAGAAGATAAAAACAATGTAATCCCATTAATTCCTCAATTCACTTACTCTTGAGTTTTTGTTTTGTGTAGACCAAATTAGTCAAGATACACAGCATATTGTGTTTTTTAAAAAATACATTCAATCTTTGTGCCCAAATTTTCTAGTCTGACTTTCAATGTATCTATAAATCCATTCATCTATTCCATCTCCCCATCTATCTAATCTATCATCTATCTATTGATCGATCTATGCATCTATTTATCTATATGTCTGTCTGTTAATCTACCTATTTTCTAGCTATCTACCTATCACCTATCTGCCATTTATCTACCTACCTACCTATCCATCATCTAGCTATCTCTCTATCATCTATCTGTCATCTATCCATATACCTATCATCCATCTATTATCTATTTATCTATCATCTATCAATCTATCTATATTTATCTATGTATCTATTATCTATTAATCTTCCATTTATCTATTATCTATTGTCTCCGTATTATCTATCTATCTTTCTATCTTCCATTTTTCTATGATCTATTATCATCCTACTATCTATCTATCTATCAATCATCTATCCTCTATCAATCCATCTATATCCATCATCTATCCATCCATCTAAATATCATGTATCTATCTATATAGCTAGCTAGCTATCTTCTATCAATCAATGTCTGTCTATCATCTATCCATCTATCTGTCATTTATCTCATTTATCTATCTACCTATCTACCTATTATTGATCTATCTATATAACTATCTGGCAGCATCCTAGGAGCTTTTTTGAGTGTATCTATGGGGAAACCATAAAAATAAGAGTGATGTTTTTCTTTCTGCCATAAGAAGTCATCATGTAAAAGTATAACAGGGTCATCGAGTAGACTTGTACAATTCCATTTGGTCTTTTTAAATTTTTCCTCTAGAGAGCAATCAATGATCTCTTTACAACAGAAATTTGGCCTTGTCATTCCCTGTGTCTCATTGTACTTGAAGTTCTAAAGAAGGTGACCATGACTGACAATGTCCCCATCTTACCTGGATCCCACAGGCAGCTCCCTCCTCCATTCCTTGCTCCCCTAGAGTTTCTTGGATTCAGATACACCAGTCTTTAAATTTCTGGGCAAAGACAAGTTTGTTCCATCCTTAAAATGTTCTTCTGGAGCCCTTCACTTCTTTCTTGGGGTTCCCTTGCTGCTGTCTCCCTCTGATGTCTCAGATTCATATAAATTCTGCAGAGATGTTTCCATTATTCCTATATTCTCTCACCCTGTATTTTACCTTCAGAACACTTAGCACAAGGTATAGGTACATAGTGTATATAATAACTTTTTTATCTTTCTCTACTCTTCTACTGATCCATAGTCTCTATGACAGCAGGGACTCTATTTCTTCATTGGTATTATTCAATAATTTGTACTCAATTATAGCTCCTAATAGAGTTAACCATGTGTACTTATTGAAGAACTGCATATGCAATCTCAACAATCTTCATAAACTTTATGCAAAGCATATGAAGATCCAAAGAATATTCATTCATAGTCTTTGACTCATTTCCAATTTTAACAAGATTATGTGAAGAGGTAACAAACACACATGTAAATAGGATAATGTTTTGCACGTTAAAGAAAAATAAAGGTGGTTTTTAAAGGATATTGTATGTAAACACTCATTTAACCATTATTTTTATTAGTGAAATAAAAACAAATATAATCACACATACTATATGTCTTTTATCTCATAATTTCAGTAATAAGCAATTTATTGTATCTTGGGAAACTCTTGTTTTACAAATTACTAACCATCTCCTCCTGAAAGCCCTAGTGCTAAGTTAAGTAAAATAATTATTTTTAAAAATGGGGCCAGGTGTCGTGGTTCATAGCTGTAATAACAGAGTTTTGGGGGGCTGAGGTGGGAGAACCACTTGATATCAGAAGTTCAAGACCAGCCTGGGAAACATAAAGAGACATTATCTCTCTCTATATATAAAAAAAAAAAGCCAGACATGATAGCAGGCACCTCTAGTCTCATCTACTAAGGAGGTTGAGATGGGAGGATCACTTGATCCCAGAAGTTTGAGGCTACAGTGAGCTCCACTGCACTCTAGCCTGGGTGACAGAGTGAGATTGTGTTTTAAAGACACACAAACAAACAAAAATTTTGAATTATCTATCCTTTCTTAAATTAAAAAATAAGTAACGACCTTGATGCTTTTGAAGACATGATTTCCAGAATTTACTTTTTTAAGTGATTGCTAAATTACCACCCCCTCAAGTAAAAGGCTTTATATTAGTAACTGACCACTACTGTAACTTAAGAAAGAAAAGGACACGTACAAGACACAGGAACTCACTCTAGCCATCTCTGTTACACAGACTGATATCAGGGTCAGACCCAGCAAAGCACAGCTACCTTCTGGGAAGCTTAGGTGACCAATGCAGGGCATGAATCCTGTTTCTCCAATACCAAGCTTCTCCTTTTTATCCAATACTGAGTTTTTTGTTTTGTTTTGTTTTGTTTTGTTTTTCTTAAAAGCTCACTGCAGAGCATTCAAACCCCAGTTGGGGTTCTTCCATTTAGCAAGATGTTAGAAAATTTAGTGAGTCTCTCTCACCCTCAGTTGCCTTATCAGTGAACTACAAGTAACAGATGCCTCACACAGACCTGTCAGTGATGGTTGTGGTGATGTGGAGGAAATCAATGTTAAGCCCAACATCTGGGCTACATCGGAGAATCCAGCAGTGCTAGTTTGACAATGTTATTCTTTTTCTCATCTTTGACTACTTTTTCTTTCTTATTTTGCTTCTCATTCTTTTTCTTCTCTTATTTCTCTTTCATCTCAATGCTATTTTACTCATTTTGCTTCTCCTTACCATAGAAGATTTGTAGGCAACTGGGGAAATGACAACAAGCACTCAGTGCACTGCAGGACATTTTGTCTCAGTTTCATTAAGTCTTCTTATTTGAACACTGGACTGAGTGTCCCGAGGAGCTAAAAATTCTATTGTATGCTTTCAGTTCACTTGCCTAACACAGCCTCCACAGAAATTATGAACAGTTAAATAATTGGAGGTTTGAACAGGACAATAGATGAATGGAAGTGTGCCTACTTGTCTTTTTTTCAAATAAGAAACCAAGGCTGAATAGGATACATGACATAGAAAGACAGATAGGTAGATAGATAGATACTAGATAGAGAGATAGACAGAGAGATAGATGTGATAGAGGGGTTAATGATATGATAAAGAGATAGACATGATAAATCAATAGACCGATGATATATATATGATAGTTACATATGTAGATCATATGATACATAATAGACAATAGATGTGATTGACAGATGTGACAGATATATGATAGATATAAATAAATACACAGATACAATAGATAATAGATGATTGATAGACATATCATGACAGATGATGGATAAATGTAGAAATAGATGATAGATTAAAGATAGACATGGTAGATATTGAGAAAGATAGGTAGCAGATAATACATGTATAATAGATATTGAGGTAGATAACAGGTGATGGATGGATAGATAGGTAAACAAATGATAGATACATGGGTAGTTAAACAGATGATTATTAAGATAGGTAGTAAGTAGAGAATAGAAGTATATAATTGATAGATGGAGAGATATATACATAGATATATAGATAGATATGGATAGACAGGAAGGAAAGATATATAAATATATATAGACAGACAGAAATAGATGTGATAGATAAATGGTTCAGGATGATCACTGAGGCCAGGAGTTTGACACCAACCTGTGCAACATAATGAAACTTAATCTCTTAAAAAAAGAAAATTTGCCCATTAAGATGGCAATGAGTCCCATCATTTCTACTATTTATGGTGTTTGTTGCTTATATAAGAATTGTCTAACATTTTCCATCCATTTTAGCACTGCGCATCCAAGAACATAGGGCCTGACATTTTGTAAATGCCTTGCAAATCCTTGTTGGATAAATAATTTTCCACTCATATATATGTATTTGGAGTTATCCAGGCAAGAACTACAAAATATTGGAGAGACGACTGCATTCTCATTTATATTACAACACTATTCATAACAGTCAAGATATAAAACAACCTGTGTGTTCATCAATGGATGCATGGATAAAGAAAATACACCTATCCACAATGGAATATTACTCAGAAGTGAAAAATCATGGGATCCTATCACGTGATATTTTGTAGTTGCATGGGACAACTACCTATGATGTACCCAGTTAGAAATAATCACACACCCTTGTTGGTGGCTTCTTTAGAAACTTATCTGCAGTACTAGCACTGGTCTTCAATCTCTCTTACAATATTGGTGCATGCTTATGGTTCTATTCCACTAATTAAAGCATTCTCAGTGACACAATTAAAAGTTTTCTTTGTTTCTTTTTTTTTTTTTTTTTTTTTTTTGAGATGGAGTTTTGCTCTTGTTGCCAGGGCTGGAGTGCAATGGCTCGTTATCGGCTCACTGCAACCTCTGCCTCCTGGGTTCAAGCGATTCTCCTGCCTCAACTTCCCAAGTAGCTGGGATTACAGGAACCCACCACCACACCCAGCTAATTTTTTGTATTACTAGTAGATACAGCGTTTCACTATGTTGGCCAGACTGGTCTTGAACTCTTGACCTAGGTGATCCACCTGCCTCGCGCTCCCAAAGTGCGGGGATTACAGGCCTGAAGTCACATGCTACAATTAAGATTTTACTTATCCTATTAATACTTCTCAAGTGCTTAGCATGGTGCTACGTATCTGGACCTATACTTGTGAGCTAGATGGCATTCCAAGAGCTCTAATCCACCTTCAAAGATTATGAGCAAAAGTTTATGAGCATTGTATTTTTCCAGGAAGAACTTGTGGTTTTTATGAGATTGATAATGTTGCTTGAGATTAAAAAGAGAGAGAGAGAGATGGAATGTTTCACATAGTAGACATTCAGTAAACATTTGCTGAATGTAAATAAATTATTGAGGCAGAAGTGAGGCATACATGTATTTATTAACAGCACTGGGGGCTCTTCATAGACTTTGAGCATTTTTTACTTCAGCCCCTATTGAGACTGTTTATCCATATAGACTTTTACTCATTTTATGCAGCTGTGCCTTACAGTATCTGACCTTCTTACTTTCTTCTAGAGAAAGTTTCCTCTGAAAGGCAACTCCTGATGAATGGGAGGCAGATTCCAGTGGATAAATCAATACCAGACCCTCAATGTGTCCTGGGAGTAGACGGTTCTGATATACATTTCACAAGATGAGTCAAAACACCTCATAGACGCAAACACTATTTGACCATTGAGTGGTGAACACTATCCTTAAGCCATCTTTTTTTGGGGTGGGGGGTGTTTCTTGCTTTTTTCTTTGAAATAAATATTTGTTGGGCAGTAAATTATTGTGTTTTCAATTGATAAAGAATAGTTGTACATGTTTATGGGACACATGTGAGGTTTTGATACATGCTGATATGGTTTGGCTCTGTGTCCCCAACCCAAATCTCATCTTGAATTGTAATCTGCAGGTCCTGGGGGAGGGACCTGGTGGGAGGTGATTGAACTTGGGGGCATGGATTTCCCCCTTTCTGTTCTCATGATAGTGAGTGAGTGCTCAAGAGATCTGGTTGATAAATATCTGTCGTTTCCTCCTTCTCTCTTTCTCTCTTCTGCCACCTTGCGAGAAAGGTGCTTGCTTCCACTTTGCCTTCCATATGATTGTAAGTTTCATGAAGCCTCCTCAGCCATGTAGATCTGTGAGTCAATTAAACTTCTTCCCTTTATAAATATCCCAGTCTCAGGTTGTATCTTTATAGCAGTGTTTAAGTGAACTAATACACATGAATAAAATGTGTCATGATTAAATCAGGGTAATTCACATATCTGTCACCTCAGTTCTTGTCTTGCAATTCTCCCAATTCTTGTCTTCTAGTTATTTTGAATTACACAATACATTATTAACTATAGTCATCCTACGTGCTATTGAACACTAGAACTTACTCCTCCTATCTAAGTGCATCTTTGTACCCATTGGCCAATCTCTCTTCATCTCCCTACACAAAAACTCTTCTCATCCTCTCATACCTATTATTCTACTCTCTTCCTCCATGAGATCTGCCTGTTTAATGCCTACAGATGAATGAGGTCCTGCGCATTTGTCACTCTGTGTCTGGCTTATTTCACAAATGGCCTCCAATTCCATCTATGTTGCTAGACATGATAAGAGCTCATTCTTTTACATGGCTGAATAATATCCCATGGTGAATATGCACATTTTCTTTATCTATTCATCCATTGACAGGCATTTAAGTTGGTCTATATCTCAACTATTATGAATAGTGTTGTAATATACATGAGAGTGCAGTCATCTCTCCAATATTGATTTCATTTCTTTTGTAGGTACACCCAGCAGTGGAAATGCTGTATTGTATGGTAGCTCTTTTTGTAGCTTTTGGAGGAAACTTACACTAATAGTGTACTAATTTACATTCCCACCAACTGTGTAGGAAGGTTCCCTTTTCTTTTTACCCTTGAATATGGCATCTTAGAATAGACTTTCATTTCAGTACTTATTCATTCGTTGTTTCTTGAAATCATGTTATTAACCTACTTATGTTAAAGCCAGAATCCATGGGATGCACCGTTGTAAAAATTTCAGAGAATGTCCTCACAGCCTATAAGTTATGGATAATACACTTATCTGATCTGTTGCTTACTAACATGCCATTACAAATCCATGCATGTTGTAACCAGATGGGTATGTTTCTCTGTCTAACACAGTTTCTTAGGATGGACTGGTGTATGTTAAAAAGTCAGTGTAGGCAAAGAAAACTCAGAAATCCAATAGATTTGTTTAAAGAGGCTCTGGAATCCTCAAATTTATTTCCCTGCCATAATCATTCCAATCTGCCATTTATGAAACAAATTAACTTCCTTATTTAAATGAAAGAGATAGTATTGTGTTATAAGTTACCAGTGTTCTTCTCTGTCCCCCACCTGACATAATTTCTTCTCCAAACAGATATTTTAAACAAAACATCTATAAAAACATTTCAATTTTAAATCTTTTTAAAAAAAATTTTAGTTACAAGATAAAAAAGTTGTCCACAAAATACTCTTGGATATTAATCCCAACATTCAAAATAATGCATAGTAGAGGTGCCTGGAAAAATTATGTTGTACTTGATCCATCAGTTAAAACTCAGATTAATTCAGTCTACAAAAAGGGCTCAGCTCCTTGCTTTTGGATAAGTAATAAATCTCTTATATCCTCTCATCCTGATAAACAGGGAAGGTCTGCAGTTTAAATATTTGGTAATCGGAGGAACTAAATATATTATGACTCACAGAACAAGGCTTTGCTCTGTAAGTCGTAAGCACTTCAAAGAAGAGGAAAGGAAAGGCAGCCACAAGTATTCCTTCCTATTACTGTGTATTTCAGTGAAAAACTATTTCTATGTTTACTCTAGAAAATTGAAGACTGGATACAACTGTGTTTCTGAAAATTCAATAGAAACAGTTGTCATTTAGAAATAATGATACAAGGACATTCATATATCATTGTTCCGATAAGTGTCCATTCAAAACATTAATCCCGGATTTGAGTTGTTGTTCTCTTCATTACTGATGCTTTGGATGAAAAGTTTTAATATATGTAAACACAAATACGAGGCTATTATTTTTAAAATATTACCTGAATTTACATATCTAAATAAAAGTGCATATTGTTCCCCTCTGCTATTCCCTTGGATGGATAATTATCTGCTGTCTTTGAACTGAAATGGGTCTTTGTGGCTTTAGACTGCATATCCCAATTGACATCCACTTTCCCTGGCACCATATTTACCCTAATCGAGATCAGTGGATGAGTCTGGAAACTACAGCATAGGATGTGGTACTTTCTTCCTCTCTGCAAAATATATTTATAAAATGTAATGCAAAACAAAATAAATAAAATAAACTTCAATGCAATGTAACATTGACTCAGAGCTTTAAATTAGCTGCTACATTTGATAGGACTTTTAAAAAGCTACTCATTTTAGGAATCACATATTTATTAAAATCTCTGAACAACAGTTAGAAAAGGCAGCATTTGTGTTAAATGTCTTCATGTTAGAAAATATTAGATTTTTTGAGAGCTTCACATATTGCTGGAAACATGAGTGATGAGTAATATTTCAGGGAGTCTACACATCTGTAGATATTTCAGGTACATAATTTCCCACAAAAATTTTATTTTATTAAAAATATAAAGCCTTGGCATTTCAAATTTTATGTCTTTTTTTTTGCTTTATGTTATGAATGGATAGTGATATCGAATTTTAGATTTAACATATGCATTATATAGGATGATGTACCTTTCACCATAACAGATCAATAATAATCTGTTTATTTTTACTTTGGTTTTCCTTCCTATCTTTGAAAATCATTTTTAATATTTATTTTTTGTAGGTACATAGTAAGTTTATCTATTTATGGGGTACATGAGATGTTTTGATGCAGGCACGAAATGTGAAATAAGCCATCACGGAGAATGGGGCATCCATCCCCTCAAGCATTTATCCTTTGAGTTACAATCCAATTACACACTTTAAGATATTTTAAAATGTACAATTAAGTTATTATTGACTATAGTCATGCTGGCATGATATCAAATAGTAGGTCTTATTTATTCTTTCCATTTTTTTGTACCCATTAACTGTTCCCACCTCTCTACTGCCAGCCACCAAATACCATTCCCAGACTCTGGTAACCATCCTTCTACTCTCTATGTCTATGAGTTCAATTGCTTTTGTTTTTAGCTCCCATGAATAAGTGAGAACATGCAATGCTTGTCTTTCTGTGCCTGGCTTATTTCACCTAGGAAATCAGCTTATCAAAGAGATATCTGCACTCCTATGTTTGCACTGTTTATAATATTATAGTTAAGATCTGGAAATAGCCTACATATCCATCAACAGATGAATGGATAAAGAAAATGATTTCTGTTTAGATCTTTATGTTGAAATAAAGCTCACACATGAATGTGTTGCCTTGTTTTAAGTTTAGATTCTAGAAATAATCAAACAGGCAAAAGAACATGTAGACATTGGCTTTTATTACTTGAATAACTTCCAGTTACTTCTCTAAGCCATGTATTCTCGCTGTACAAAGGTCAGGCATGTATTCATCATGTAGTTTCCAAATCTAGAACCAATATTGCCAAAGTCATTCTGAGAATCCATTCTTGAAATAATCAATGTTCAGTGCATAACTTATTCTAGATTGTTACCTAAACTTTTGTCAGTTAAGTTTGGAAAATAAGTCTCATTAATTGAATTCAACGCAGCATGATTTTACTTAAATATAGAAGCTCATGTTTTAAAAATCAGGTCTCTAACTAGGAGTTAATTACACAACATTGTGTGTGTGTGTGTATGTGTCTGTGTGTGTGTGTGTAAACATAATGTATTTTCTTTCATTTTGCATTTCAGATTTTTATCATTTGATTGTCTTAATTGTTCAAATTCTTATTAAGCAAGGAGCAGGACATCAATTGCCTTATTACTACAGCTTATTCAGAAGGGAGTTTTAGGGCAAGAGTAAAACAGGAATCTCTGTAAAATATAAATCTTTATGGATATATAATTGAAGTCATCTTCTGGTAATGACAAGTAGACTAAAGCTGCCTCTAAATACATAGAGACAGAATTGCCTCTGAAGTGTATGTTTATAGCTGATAAAGATGGTCAGTTTCAGTTATCCAGACAATGATCTGAATTGTGGCAGATTAAACTAGGTTTTTAGGCAGGGTTCAGTGGCTCATGCCTGTAACAATAACACATTGGGAGGCCAAGGCAGGAGTATTCCTTGAGCCCACAAGTTCAAAACCAGCCTGGGCAATATAGGGAGAACCCATGTCTCCAAAAAATAAAAATAAAAATATTAGCCAGACATAGTGGCACAACTGTAGTCCCAGCTACTTAGGAAATTGAGGTGGGAGAATCACTTGAGCCCAGGTGGTTGAGGCTACAGGGAGTTATGATCCCATCACTGCACTCCAGTCTGGGCCCCAGAGTAATACCTTGTCTCAAAAGAAAAAAAGTATTTTTATATCTTTATTGTCCTATCAACCAAAATATTTACACAGGCACATATGAATAAAATAGTCTCTCTTTCTTTCTGTAAATATATTCTGATAGCATACATACACACAAATAAAAGGACATATACATGTAAACACATATCAACATACATCCTTCCTATATTACCTTGAAAATTGTTGATTATCTTTAAGTGGCTACTGTCTTCACCTTTCTACTGCATACAGAAAACTCTGAGGTGCAGCTTGACTGAAAAGAGTATTAGCATTTGGAGTTTTTGTGTTTATGGTATTCGATCTAGGATTTGTGCATTTTATTGGAGTAAAATTATATAAAGTTTGTGGAACTTCAATGTATAATCCAATGAGCTTATAAATGTAAATGTTTCTATTCATGTGAAAACATGAATAGTGTTCAACTGAAGTCTTTAGTGAATGTGTTGTTTTTTGCATAAAAGTGTATTTATGGGAATTGTAGATTGTTTGTCGTAAAAGAAACTGCCTGATTTACATAGCTATTGTGCCATTTTACACCCTTACCAGTAAGAACTGAAGTAATTTATGTCTTCTCCAACTCTTCATATTGATAATTTGCTAATTTCAGCCATTTTATTGGGTTCATGGTGGTGTACCATGTTTCTTTTAATTTTTACTTTGTTAATAAGTACTGATAATGAGAATCATTTCAAGAGTGTGGTGGACAGCCCTATATCATTCTTCCCACATGTGTCTATTTAACATTTTTGTTCCATTTTGAATTATGTCTTTATTATTGATATATATTAAGTTTGTGTGAAATATGACTATGAGTTAATTCTCAGGCATTTGTACTACAAATATATTTGCTCATATTGTGCCTTGTCTTTTTATTTGTTTAATTTTCCTTTGGATAAAAAGTTTTAAACTGTGATGTCTGTAGTTTATATTGTTATTATAAGATTAGTATTCTGCTTCGAAAATCTTTGCCTGTTCCCAAGTTGCAAAGACATTCTCCCATGTCATCTTCTAGTTTTGTTTACTTTTTATTTTCATTTTTGTCTTTTTTATTTCAGTCTACAAATCATTCTGAGTTTATTTTAGGGGACAGTTTAAAATATAGATGAAGATGCACATTTTCTGTGCTAGGGAATCCAATCCCAGCCATTAAAACCTCTCACCATTCCCCATTGATTTGTGTGATGCAATTGTCAAAATTGTTTGAGTATGAGTGGGTTAATTTCTGAACTACTGACTCTATTCTATCAGTCTCTATTCTATAAGACTCTGTGTATCCTTATACCGTACCATGCTGTCTTCACAACTGTAATTTCATAATTCATTTAAAATCAGGTCAAATAATTACTTTCTTTATTTTGACTTTTTTCGGGCAACTCTAGATCCTTTATACTTACATTAAATTTTAGTTTCAGCTTCCCAATATCTGCAAAAGAGTCTTCTGCATATTTCATTTCATTTGTTTGGAATCTATAGATCACTTTAGGGATACTTAGGGCTTCTATAATTCAAGTTGGCACTATTGTGCAGTTTTCACAATAGAGGTTTTTGACAATTTTCTTAAATGTATTTTAGATGCATTGTGTCTTGATGCCATTGTACACAGAAGTGATTTACAATCAATTGTAAATGGAATTGAATCACATATGGTGATTTTTTATTAGTAGAATATAGAAAATTTGCAGCCTAGGAACTTGTAGAACTCATTTATAGGATCCAGCAGTTTGATTATAGATTTCTTTGAATTTTCTACATGTATAAAGCCACCTGTGAATAATCTTTTTTCTTCATTCTCAACCTTTTTTCAATCATCTATCTCTATCTGTCTATGTATCTATCATCTAGCATGTCTACTTATCCATTATCTATCATATCATTTATCTGTATCTATAATATCTATTATCATTCCTTCTATCCATCTACTTATTATTATCTATTTTTATCTGAATATAATATTTCTGTATCCATGTATCCTCTATCTACACATCATTAATTCTATCTGTTCATCCATCTAGGTATCTATAAATTATCATTTACATGTCTATTATCCACCCATTATCTATCTATCTATCTATCTATCTATCTATCTATCTATCTATCTATCTTCTATCTATCTATCCATCTAACTTCCTTTTTGTCTGTTTTGTACTATAAGTTCAAAACTTATAGAACTTCTTCTATAGATTTCATTTGAAGTGTTAAGAGGGACATCCTTCCTGGCATTCTCCCCAATTTTAGGATAGAATATTTAACCTTATAATGTGATGTTAGGTGAAGGCTTCTTAAAGGTGTTCTTTATCCAGTTGGACTTTCTTTTCTATTTATACTCTGTTATTACTGAATGTGTGTGTTAAGTCATGAATATATGTTGGATGTTGTGAATGGTTTTATCTCCATTTATCGAGATGATCATAGTAGTTTTCTCTTCTAATCTGCTAGTGATATGGTTAATTACACTTTTCTTAAAATGTCAAACCTACTTTGCATTCCTGGTATCAACCTCACAATATAATGAAACATTCTTTTTCGTATATTTAGCTAGATTCCATCTGCTAGAATTTTGAGGAGAATTCCTGCATCATCTATTGTCATGAGTGATACTAGTCTCTAAACTGCTTTCCTTAGAATGTACTTCTTTGGTTTTAGTGTTAGGATTATGCTGGATCCATTATTTTAAAAGTCTGGAAGTATTACTTCCTCCTTTTCTACAAATTAATTTGAGATTCTTTTAAAAAATATATTCAGTAGAATTCACTGGAGAATTCAAGTCAAGACAAAGTGGTTGATTTTGGAGTGGGTTGGTGGGGTGAGGGGGGCAGCTGGCAGCAGCTAGCGGTTAACTATAAATTCAAGTTCTTTGACAGATATAGTGCTATTTGGGATATCTATTTTATGTGACACTGTTGGCAAATTGTGTTTTTAATAAAATCATTCATTTTACCTGTGTCATCAAAATTCTAAGAATAAAGTCATTCATGATATTCTCTTACTATCTTTACGGAATTTACGGTAATATCCTCTCTTTCATTTTTGACTTTGGCAATCCTTTTTCTCTTTTTTTTCTTGATCAGTCTAACTAATAGCTTATCAACTTTATTGAGCTTTTCAAATAAACATTGTTAATGTTTCACTTTTCTAAGGTTTGGTTTTTTATATACTAACTATTTTCTCTCCTTTATTGACTTTTGTTCTCTTTTTGGCTTTATTCAGTGTTCCTTTCCTACATTCTAAAGTTTAAAGCCTAGATTGCTGATTTTAGATATTTTCTTTATTCAAAAATTGTAAGTATTTAAAGCCATCAATGTCTCTCTTCACATGATTTTAGATGTATTGCTTAAGTCTTGAAATACTGTGCCCTGGGAAGAATGAGGACTGAGGTGGAGCCTCAGGAAGTTCATGCCATTTGCAGGGAGGAGAAGCCTGGCCCCTTCTCTTCCTGTGGAGAACTAAGGATTTGAAAGGCTGGGCAGAAGGTGCTCTAGCATGGATTCTGGCCTTGAAAGTGTCCCTGTTTCCCCTGTTATTCTTTTCACCCAATAAACCCTGTCTTACTCATTCTTCAAATCATCTGCCAGCCTAAATGTTTGTGGCCATGAGACGGACAAGTACCTCATCTTTAGCTGAACCACAGAAAAGTCCTGCAACACTTGCAAATTGTGTAAATTGTGGGATATCATGCTTCATAAATATCTATTAAGATGACATGATTGATAATGTGGTTCAAATACTCTGTATTTTCCAACCTGAATCTACATGCTTAAGTTTTTGGGAATTTTTTTTTTTTTTTGGTCAACTTGTTTTGAAATAGGATTGTCCCCATTTCCAACTTTAACAATGGATTTTTCTGTATCTGCCTTTATTTCTGTTAATTTTTGCTTTATTTTCTTTGAATATCTGTTTTTAGAGGCATACATATTTAGGATTTTTATATCCTCTTGGTAAGCTGACCCTTATAACTTTGAGAAATATTTCAATTTATATCTGATTATACTCTTTGTTTAGAAGCCTATTTAATAAGGTATTACTTTGGCTAATCTGACTTGGCAGGTTATTTGTTACAAATAGAGTTTACAAAGCCATGCACTCTTACAAGTAACTGGACCTAGGAGAAGGATCAGTGGCCTAAACAAAGTTTGGTCAAGCAGAGAATCTTTGTCACTACCTCTCTTTGAAAGTGATACTGACCTATAGACTGTTCTTTTGGATAAACATATAAATTGACCTTTCTTAATGCTTGAAGCTTAAGTTTGTTTTATCTGAATTCCTTCTTCAGGATACAGCCTTCAGGCCTCTCAAAAAAAGTTTCACGCCAGTCACGTTGGCTGAAGCCTGTA
The DNA here is from genome assembly GCF_000001405.40 of Homo sapiens. Lineage (NCBI taxonomy): Eukaryota > Metazoa > Chordata > Mammalia > Primates > Hominidae > Homo > Homo sapiens. The sequence goes on from NC_000024.10 coordinate 17,129,449, forward strand.
ATCCCAGCACTTCAGGAGGCGGAGGCTGGTGGATCACCTGAGGTCAGGAGTTCAAGACCATCCTGGCCAACATGGCTAAACCTTATCTCTACTAAAAATATAAAACTAAGCCAGGTATGGTGGTGTGCACCTGTAATCCCAGCTATTCAGGAGGCCAAGACAGGAGAATTTCTTGAACCTAGGAGGTGGATGTTGCAGTGAGCAAAGATCATGCGACTGCACCAGATCGCCACAGGTTGACAATGAGATGATGGACTCCTCATTCATCATGATTACTTCCTTACCCTTCTCTAGTTCTTGTTTTCTTACACACAGTTACATTTCTTCCTTGCTATATAAAGTCCTACTTTCAGTTGTTCAGGGAGATGGATTTGAGACTGTGCTCTCATCCCCTTGGCTACAAGACATGATTAAAACCTTCTCCTTGGCAACATTTGATGCCTCAGTGATTGGTTTTCTGTGTGGTGAGCAGCAGGAACAAGTCTGAACCCCTGGTGTTCTGGTAATGAGCAGAAATCAATATCAACACATATTATAAATACAGAAAGCTGTTTTGGTGGTTATAAATTATGGTTCAAGTCTAACCTTTTTTTGTCATAGTATGGGCTTTCAGATAAAATTTGGGAACCTCATTATATTGAGATATTCAATGAAAATACTGCAATATTTAATTTGAGGACTAAACTGTCACCTTTTTTTTCTTGTCTTGTCCAACTTTCTGTCTAAGAGGTCTGAGTAGTCATGCCTCACAAACCATAAAGTCTCATGAGAGAAGTTTTATTTAACCACCATATAACATAGCTTAGTTTCCAACCTGACTATGACATAATATCACAAAACAGATAAAGAAGAAAATCAAAATATCTTAACCTTGAGTACGATTCTTTGGTATATCTTGAAATAGCCCTGCAAACTTGTCTTTTGTCAGGGGAAATCTACATTCTTTAGAAAATCCCTTTCTCTTTTCCAGGCCTTTTCCCTGATCCAGGGTCGAATCACCTAAGAGTCTGACACCTTTTTAAGTCTATTAAGAATAACTTAGAATCTATTCTCCCCAAAGCTTGCTACCTGGAAGCATCATCTGCATATTAAGGACGTTGGTCTCCACAATCCTTTGTCTTAACTCGACATATACTTTATACTGATTCCAAGTGTTTAGATAAACTCTTTCAACCAACTGTCAATCCAAAAATCTTTGAGTTTGTTTCATACAACCTGGAAGCCCACAGCTTTCAGCTTTTCCACCTTTCCAGACCATTACAATGTACATCTTACCTATTTTGATTGTTGTCTTATGTCTTCCTAAAGTGTATAAAATCAAGCTGTACCTCAACCCCCTTGGACATGTTCTCTGGGTCTCCTGAGCACTGTGTCATGAGCAATTGGTTACTTATACTTGGCTGAAAATAAATTTATGCAAATATTTTACAGAGTTGATTCTTTTCATGAACAAAATGAATAAAACAAGCTGACTTGCAGTAAGGCCCTTACTTTTATTAATTGCAGGGGCATTGCTTTAACTGACAATTATTCAGCTCTGAGGGTACCTTAAATCCTCTTATTCTAACAGCTTCTATGCCCAGGAGCTTTTTAAAATCCCTAGACATTTGCTCTACATGTGTCATGTCTTACACTTGCCCCTACAAAAACTCCATCTTGCATCCATTTTTCTTGTCACACACTTCTGTGTGGAGACCACCAAATAGGCTTTGCGTGATGCATAAAGCTTTTTAATCACGTGGGTGCAGGGGGGCTGAGTCCAAAAAGAGAGTCAGCTAAGGGAATTAGTTGAATGACACTTTTTTGTCTTGTTGGTGTCATGAGGGGAACAGGAAGATTTTAGCTCTCAATTACAAATTGAATTTTGGGAGTCAAGGAAATTAGTGTACATGTGCCTATACAATTAGTAGGTAGATACATGTAGGTGGAAGAGCCACAGAGGAAGAAGGGATTTTTGTAAGGCAAAACTGGAAATGTAAAGAAAAAGATGAGAGGGAGCACCAAAAGAGGGCTCATGCACCCAGACTCTTAGGGATCTAGCAAGGGCAGCAGCTGTTAAGGGCTGTAATGGGGATTGATGGGGTAACTGGGTAGAGGGGGAGGTTTGATTTTTATGGTGTATAAGAAAGCACATAGTCGCTACAAGCAATCTTTCATTGCTATACATGGGGTTGTGTATAAGTAAACAAGAATGGGGGCTAGGAGGAGAGTCCGAAGAATAAGGGGAAGGTAGCCAAGGATGGAGTGAAATGCAAGCAATAGTAACTGCTAATATTTTTAAGTTTATCAGTATTGATAGAAGGGTTATCTGTAATATGGAGCTGAAAAGCCCTAACGGTTTTGGTAATGTATATAGTTGGGCTTTGGGGATGAAGTGTGAAGGAGCATAGAAAAGGTGAAAGGTCGTCTAAGGGAATTCTAGTGGGTCTTTGCTGAGAGATGAACAAAGGAGTGGCAACAGGGATAGTAGTTTGTGTTGTGAGGGGTCCAAATATGGGGGGATGGAACTGACATAAAAAGAAAGATGCTGTAAATAGACATGGAGAATTGTGGCAGCTTGTTGGTGTAAAATATCTGGGGATTTCTCACAAATCTGTCTAGGAAGTAAAGAAGTTCTTTAGGAGAGTAAAGATGAGGGCTGTTAAAGGAGGTTCAGAGATGTAGGTAAGACCAGGAGATATCAGCTATGATGGTTTGGAGAAAAAGTGTAATCTGGAAATGTAGACAAGGGCAGGGCATTATGGGTAGATGAGAAAGAAGAATAGGAGTATGACTAGGCAGAAGATAGCAGGATTAAAAGTATTTGGGGTGCAATCCACGTAGTAGGGGTGACTGCGTAAAGCCCTGTTGTAAAGAATAGGGTAAGGAAGAATAGAAGTAACAAAATAAAAGGATGTATTAGACTCATAAGTGTTACTACTGTTCTTCAGAAATGCAGATTAGTTTAAGAAAAGTAAGGGTGAGTACTTGCAACTTCCAGGAGGAAGAAGAGAGATCAGCTGGCTATCTGAGGGTCACAGCTTTCTTGTGGAATGGTGAACACAACTGGGAGAGTACTACAGATGGACGGCCATTGGGGTATTATAGATGACTAGTACTACAGATGGACGGCCATTGGGGTATTATAGATGACTAAGTGGGTTCTAGTCCATCAAGGTTGTAGAGTTTGAGGGGTCAGATTCTTAACAAGAACTGATCATCCAGCTGTTTTACTGGTGGGTCTTTGTTCTTAGAGCTCCCAAGATTGTGGCAGGCCACTCCAAGATGGGCCAGGCCACTCCCAAGAGGGTGGAAAGCCTTTTATTCTCTGACCTGGGGTTCTTGGCCTCACAGATTCCAAGGAATGGAACCTTGAGCCATGCAGTGAGTGTGATAGCTCTATTAGAAGCCATGGGTCACTGAAGAGAACTGTAGAACCCAGTGACTAGTGTTGAGCTCAATTAGGGCAAACCCAGGCTCTTAGCCATGCAGGAACAATGGTGAACCTTTAGCCCAACTAGGAGTGGCAATGGGCACCTCACTGTATCAGAAGTACAGCAGACACCCTGCCAGATTCAGAGGGTTGGAAGTCAGTGCCAGGTCTGCCATGGTGGCATTCAGCAGTGGTGGATCGTGAGTGAATGCTCAGCTTGAGAGGGAATAAACATGGACCAGAAGAGTGTGCAGTTGCAAGATTTAGTAGAGTGAAAACAGAGTTCCCATATAATGAGAGGAGCCACAAAGGGGGTTGCCCACTCCCGGGTTGAATGCCCGGCATTTATATCCCAATCATTGTCCCTCCCCCTGTGCTCTGAGATGATGGATGATTTGACTATTTCTTTACCTCCTGTTTTTAACCTAATTTGTATTTTACTGAGCCCTCTTTACTGCCTGATTGGGCAGGTGTGAGCTGAATTACAAGCCCCGTGTTTAAAGGTGGTTGTGGTCACCTTCCCAGCTAGGCTTAATAATTCTTAGTTGGCCTAGGAAATCCAGCTAGTCTTGTCCCTCAGTACCCCCTCTCAACAGGAAAACCTAAGTGCTCTTGGCGAGGATGGCCTATAATTGCTCTAACAGTTTCCTGCTGAACTGGGGGGTAGTAGGGGCCAAGCAGTTGAGATTTCCTTGGGAGGGTTGCCTTTGATGTCATTAACATTGCAGCATGGTCTAGCAGGCCGGTACAGGGATCTATGGTAGATCTTAACCATGGACTGCATCGGGGACTCCATTTGAAGAATGATTTGTAGTTTTAAAGCTTCATTTCTGGAAGAGACAAAGTTAACAAGGAGGTTAAATATACACGGATTGAAACGTATGGCCTGAAGTGCAGGGGATTATTTCCTTGGCACACTTCACAGTCCCTGACTATCCGTTTGACAGTTTTGAAAAGGCCTGGTGCAGTAAATAATGATTTGGCCATCTGATGGGTGCTATCAATGCTTAAGTGAAAGGTTTTGTGAAGGGTTTTAAGTAATTTCCATTGGTTAGCTGCAGGCAAAGTATTTTTCCTTCTTCGGTGGCTAGCCATCCTGAGGGGAAGAAACTATATCCTCATGACTTTCCCCATTCTATTTCTTCTGCTGAGTACTGGGGCTTGGTTTCACAGAGGTGATTACTCCATACTAGGGGTCCTTCTATAAGCATTTCTAATGGAGGGTCCCACCTTGTGGCTTATTTGGCTTCAATATCTGCTTGGCAGTTCTCCCTTCTATTTCCCTTTCCTTTCCTTTCTGATGACCCCAGAAATGTAAGACTGCCACCTCTTTACATTTCTGTGCAGCCAGTAATAATCTCCTAATGGCTTCCTGATATTTGATAGGTGTTCCCTTGGAAGGTAGGAATTTCCTTTCTCTCCATATTGCTGCATGAGCATGGAGGACTAGGTAAGCATACTTAGAGTCTGTATATATATTTACCCATTTTCCTTCTCCTAATTCTAGTGTATAATGGCCCCTGCTTTTGCTAGAATGTATCTCCCTATCAAAGGAGTGGGGCTTTCAGGCATAAATGGAAAGGCATGTGAAAGGAGTAAAGTTCTCCAGTCACAACTTAGTGGCTGGGAGAAATATCTAGTGACTTCTTGTCCTAAGACCCTTTGGATAGTGATGGATCTGAAGGACAGTTGTCCAGAACAGGAGAGTAAGACTTAGAAGGCTGTGCCAGTGTCCAGGAAATATTTAACCTCCTGGTCCTTAATGATCAAGCATACCTTGGGCTGTATGAGGGTGACAGCATGGGCTGGCACTTGCCCAGGGCACCCTCCATCCTGCTGCTGGATCATCCGGTTAGTGGCTTCTGACTCAGATGACCTTCATCCCCTGGGTCTGTGGGCCTTCCACTGATTCCGTTGTCATAAGGGACATGGACAAGGGGGTGGCTTATTCATATTTGAACAATCTTTTTTAAAGTGTTTTTGTAGACCACACTAGAAGCAAGCCCTATTAGGCATTCAATTTGCCCAGTCTTTCCCTATTCCAGAGCCTCCAAAGTCCACTTGCCTGAGGGCCATGACTAAAGCAGTGGCCTTCTTTTTATCCCATTTGTCCCATTCTGCCTGCTTCTCCTAATTACTAATGGTTCAGACCTTCATTTCCTCTAGCAAGTTGTATCTCCAAAGGCATCTAGGCTGTGAACCCAGGGAGTCTTTTCCCTTGTGCCCTTCCCAATTTAGGTATACACCTCTTGACATGGGCAGTTATGTGGGACCTGTTCCCCACCACCCTTGTCGGGGCCCCAAGTTTGTGAATGGCTAAGAAAATTGCTCTCCCATTGTGTAAGATGCTGTCTCACCCAATTTTTACCCAGCTTACCCACACAGCTGCAGTACAATTTCTGAGCCTTGGCTCCTTGGCCAGGGCCTTAGACCTGACAATCCAGTGCTTTAACAATTGGAACTAGGTCTACAACAAAATAATAAATCAGGGTGAAAACAAATTGAATAAATTAAAGGGAGGCACATATTCCTATTGTGGCAAATGGAGCAATGAGTGAATGTTCTTCTGCTCTGTTCTCAAAATCCATGTACATAAAAAGAGAGAAAAAAAGAGGGAAAAGGGGAAGAGAGAAAGAGGAAAGAGAGAGAGAGAGTAAAAAGAGAGAGGAAGGGGAGAGTCAAAGACAGAGCAAAGAGAGAGAGAGAGGGGAATGAGAGAAGCAGAAAGAGAGAGATAGAAGTAGTACAGAAAAAACATTGTGCCCTAATTCTTTGAAAGCCGAGGTAAATTTAAAACCTAAAATTGACAACTGAAGGTCTTCTCTGTGACCCTATAACACTCCAGTACTACCTTATTGTCAGTGTAAACAAGGGCATAGCCTGAAAACATGGAGACTACTGACAACCCATAGTCTTCCTATCAAAAATCCTTAACCCAGTAATTCATGGATAGCCCAAATGCTCTAATACTTGGGAGAGGAAGTGAAAGTTTGAAGCATTAGTATCTAGGAGGCAGGGATTGGAGGAAGTAGATTCAGAGGTAAGGAGAATTTTGGGGCTATAATTTTAAGAAAGTCGTGGTCAGGACCCAGGAGGTATGGGTCAGAAGGAGAGGTAGGGATGCACACATGGCGGACTGTTGGGTAGAGAATTCTGGCTGCACCATAATATTGACCAACCAATGCCAGGAGCTCAGGATGACAGCTTTCAACCTCTAGTTGACTCTTGGCTTCCCCAGGAAAATTGTGAAAGCAGAAGCTGGTTCCAGGAAGACCAACACTCCCAACCCAGAAGGGCTGGAGGTTGTTAGAAAGCCTTTTCCCAGGAAGTCTCACACCTGAGTCTTTACTCTGGCAGCCATGCTAATTGTTTTTAGCGACCAAAGATGCCTGGTATTTTCCTCCAATTCTAACGAAGGTTAGGAAAAAATAGCAATGAAAGTGTTTCAATATTACTCAGCAATTTGGAGAATCCCTGTACAGGCCACCAAATATTATCAGTGGGTCTTTGTTCCTATGGGTCCCAAGATGGTAGTAGGCCACCCCTAAGATGTGTTGGGCCACTCCCAAGATGGTAGCAAGCCTTTTGTCCTCTGGCCTGGGGTTCTTGGCCTTGTAGATTCCAAGGAATGGAACCTTGGGCCATGCCGTGAGTATTATAGCTCTATTAGAAACTGTGGGTCACAGAAGAGAACCACGGAACCCAGTGATTAGTGTTCCACTTGATTAGGATGAACCAGGGCACTTAGCCACGCAGGAAAAATTGTGAGCCTTTAGTCCAATCAGGAGTGGCAAAGGGTGCCTTGCTGGATCAGGAGTGCAGCAGACACCCTGCCAGAACCAGAGGGGTTAAAATCAGTGGCTGCTCTGTGGCAGTAGCATTCAGCAGTGGTGGATGGAGAGTGAAAGCTTAGCTCAAACTGGGACAAACTGCTTAGGTGATTTGACTAATAAATGCTGGTCTATTATTGAACTGTATAGAAGTGGGAAGGCCAGAAGAGTGTGCAGTTGCAAGATTTAATAGAGTGAAAACAGAGTTCCCATAGAATGGGATGAGACCCAAATGGATTTGCCCACTCTGGCTTGAATGCCTGGGGTTTATATCCCAATCATTTCCTCTCCCCCTGTGTTCTAAGATGGTAGATGATTTGACTATTTCTCTACCTCCTGCTTTTAGCCTAATTTGTATTTTAGTGAGCCCTCTTTACTACTTGATCGGTCAGTTGTGAACTGAGTTACAAGCCCTGTGTTTAAAGGTGGTTGTGGTCACCTTCCCAGCTAGGCTTAGGATCTCTTAGCTGGCCTAGGAAACCCAGCTATTCCTGTCTTCACAGCTAGGGTGTCTTCATATGGCTGGGAATCTGGGGAGTAGGCAAAAGAAGGTTAGGAACCTCATGAACTTCCTGTCTATCCTGCTGGAGGACTGGAAGATAGTTGCCTAGAAGGCTGATGTCTGGAAGAAGGTTGCGGCTGAGCAAGACAGTGCATCAATATACAAGTTCAAATAGACTGTACCCTGTAGTATCTAGAGCACAGACTCTAATTCTGAGAAGGGCAAGAGTTAAAAGTACTGTCCAATCCTTTTTAAGTTGGAGGCTGCGCTTGGTGAATTGTGTTTTTAAAAGACCATTAGTCCATTCTACCTTTTCTGAAGATGGAGAATCGTAAGGGGGTATGAAGTTTCCACTGAATACTAAGAGCCTGAGAAACTGCTTGGGTGATTTGACTAATAAATGCTGGTCTATTATTGAACAGTATAGAAGTGGGAAGGCCAAACTGAGGAATTATATCTGACAGAAGGGAAAAATGACTGCAGTGGCCTTCTGAGACTGTGTTGGAAAGGCCTCTACCCACCCAGTGTAAGTGTCTACCCGGACCAAGAGGTATTTTAGTTTCCTGACTTGGGGCATGTGAGTAGAGTCAATTTGCCTGTCTTGGGCAGGGGCAAATCCCCGAGCTTGATGTGCAGGGAAGGGAGGGGGCTTGAAAAATCCCTGAGGAGTAGTAGAATAGCAGATGGAACATGGAAAAGTAATTTCCTTGAGGATAGATTTCCATGATGGAAAATAAATTAGAGGTTCTAAGAGGTGGGCTAGTGGCTTGTAACCTACATGGAAGAGGTTATGAAGTGATGACTGAAAAGAATGGGCCTTGATGCTGCAAGGAGATATTTTCCTTGGTACAAGAACCATTTGGTTTGTGTGGGAAGAGATTGATAGGTGGAAGTTTCAGTGGGATAGTAGGTGGGAGTGACTGATGAGAAAGAGAAAAACTGGCCATGAGGGTCAGAAGTTGGAGCTCTAGCTTCTTCTTTAGCTACCTTACCAGCATAAGCATTGTCCTAAGTTATGGGATCTGATGTCTTTTGATGGCCTTTGCAGTGAATGACTCTAGCTTCCTTTGGAAGAAAAGTGACCTTCAGAAGCACTTTTATTAAAGAGGCATTAAAGATGGAGGAGCCTTGCATAGTAAGGAAACCTCTTTCAGCCCATATAATAGCATGGTGGTACAGCATATGGAAGGTATACTTACAGTCAGCATAAATATTAATGCATAGTCCCTTTGCAAGAGGGAGGGTCTGAGTTAAGGCAATGAATTAAGGCTTGCTGAGAAGTAGTGGAGTGGGTCCGAGTGGTAGCCTCAATGATAGATATGGAAGACAGTATAGCACAGCCTGCCTTTGACAGTGATTGGCGATTGGGCCTGGAAGAACTATCAATAAGCTACGTGTGGTCTGGTTGGGGAACAGGAAAAAGAAAAATATGAGAAAATGGAGAGAATGAATGGTTTAGTTAGGATGCCAAACCAGGTATCCAAAGGCGGAAGTACCTAACCGTGCCTAGGAAGTTAAGGAATTGTTGTTTCATATAAGGGGTTGGGGTTTGCAAGGTTAGCCAGACACAATCAGCAAGGAGAACACATCTGTTTTTTTTTTTTTTTTTTTTTTTTTTTTTTTTTTTTTTTTTTTTTAATAATTAGGTCGAGGTAAATAACGGATGAGAAAGAAATTTGGTTTTTGGAGGGAGATGCACTATGTCCTTTTGAGAATAGACATTGGAGGAGCAGGAGGGTGTTCTGTTGGGAAGATTTGTAGGAGGGGCTATAAAGTAGGTTATCAAAATATTCAATAAGCTGAGAAGCGGATGGATGGAAAGAAAGTAAATCAGGAGAAAGGGCTTGAGTGAAGTAATGGAGACGGTCCATGAAGCCTTCCAGCATTATAGCCCACGAAAGTTGCTGAAAGTTATGGGTGTCTGGGTCAGTCCAAGTGAAAGCAAAGAGAACCTGGGAGGAGGGATGCAAAGGGATAGTAAAAAAGGCATTTTTTTGAGGTCAATAACAGAATAGTGAGTTGTGGAAGGGGTTATTGAAGATAGGAGTGTGTATGGGTTTGGTAATATAGGATGGATGGGGAGGACAATTTGATTAATAAGGCCAAGATCCTGAACCAATTTGTAAGACTTGTCTGGTTTCTGGACAGGTAAGATGGGGGAATTGTAACGAGAGTTTGTAGGCTTTAGAGGCCCATGATGTAACAGGTGATAACAGGCTTTAGTCCTTTTACAGTGTGCTGTGGGATGGATTATTGGCATTGAGTGGGGTAAGGGTGATTAGGTTTTAATGGGATGGTAAGGGGTGCATGATCAGTCACCAAGGGGGGAGTAGAGGTGTCCCATAATTGTGGATTAAGGTGGGGAGTTACAAGGGGAGGATGTGATGGAGGCTTTGAACTGGGGAAAAGCATGGCAAGGAGGTGTGGCTATAGCCTAGGGATAGCCAGGGAAGCAGATTATTTAGTTAAAATGCCTTGACCTAACAAGGGAACTGGGCCAGTGGGGATAACTAAAAAAGAGTGCATAAAATAATATTGTCCAAGTTGGCACCAGAGTTGGGAGTTTTAAGAAGTTTAGAAGTCTGGCCATCAATACCCACAACAGTTATGGAGGCAAGGGAAACAGACCCTTGAAAATAAGGCAATATGGGGTGGGTAGCCTCACTATTGATTAAGAAGGGGATGGACTTACCCTCCACTGTAAGAGTTACCCAAAGTGTCTGTGATCATCCAGGAGGCTTTTGAGGTGATCAGGCAGCATCAGTCTTCAGCCACTAAGCTGAGAAGATCTGGGAGGTAGTCAGTCAGAGAGCCTTGGGCCAGAGTTCCAGGGGCTCTGGGAGTGGCTTCTGGGTGAGGTGGACAGTCTGATTTCCAGTGGGGTCCTGCAGAGATGGGATGTGGCTCAGGAGGAATCCTAGGCTGCAGTCATTCCTTGTCCCAGTGGCCAGATTTCTGAAACTTGAAGCAAAATCCTAGGGCAGGAGGCCCTGGAGGGATGCCTGGCTGCTGTGGTTCAGTTGTTCTGAAGTTCTTGTGTGCTGGAGATGTGGCTGGGGTCCCTCTCACAGTGGAGACAAGTAATTTCAACTCTCCTTTATTATTGTACACCTTGAAGGCAAGGTTAGTTAAGTCCTGTTGTGGGGTTTGAGGTCCAGAATCCAATTTTTGGAGCTTCTTGTAATGTCAGAAGCAGATTGGGTAATAAAATGTATACTGAGAATAAGATGGCATTCTGGCCCTTCTGGGTCTAGGGTGGTAAGGCTTCTAAGTGTTGTTGCCAAATGGGCCATGAACTGGGATGGGTTTTTATATTTGATGAAAAAGAGCCTAAATGCTAACTGATTTGGGAGACGGCTGATAAAGAAAAGCGAACATTAACCTTGACCTTGCCTTCAGCTCCAGCCACCTCTTTATGAGGAAATTGTTGGACAGGTAGGGGAGGGCTAGTCACAGAATGAAACTGTAAGCAGAACCAGGTGTGAGGAGGAGAGGTGATGAAAGGATTATAGGGTGGAGGAGCAGAGGCTGAGGAGGAATTGGGACCTGGCTAGGTCTGTCAAGGAGCAGTCTGGGGAGGAGGGGAGAGGTCAGATGGGCCCCTAGAAAAGGAGGATTCAGAGGACTCAGAGCTTGGGGTAGAGACTTAAGGAACAGGCAGGAAAGGAAGAAGAAGGATTTGGTAAAAGTTGCATTGGGATTAGAGACTAGGGAGGGACACATATGTAAAAGAATGCCTGGATGTCAGGCACCTCAGACCATTTGCACATTTATGACAAAAATTATTTAGGTCTCATAGGATGGATAAATTGAAAGTACCATTTTCTGGCCATTTGGAACAATTATTAAGTTTGTATTGGGGCCAAGCAGTGTTGCAAAAAAAAAAAAATAAGATGCTTAGGTTTTAGGTCAGGTGAGACTTGAAGAGATTTCACTTTCTTGAGAACACAGTTTAAGGGAGAAGGGGGAATGGAGGGTGGAAAGTTGCCCACAGTGAAGGAGGCAAGCCCAGAGAAAAGAGAAAGTAGAGACATGGTGGAGGTACTTGCACCTCCAGGGGAGGTGGTGCTTGCCACCAAGGTGAAGGATCAAGGCCGTCATCCCCATGGTGATCAGACATGTCTGAAATGTGGGTGAATAATCAAGCAGGTGTCCCCACAGTGATTAAACACCAAGGGAAGACTATCTTCCCAAGTCCGTGACCAGTGATGGAGTTTTGGGTTCATGAATAAAACATGTCTCCTCTCTCTCTACCAGAAAAAGAAAGGAACTGAAATTAAGGGAAAGAAGACATTGAAAGGTGGCACTGAAACTGAAAGGAGAAAGAGGTTGAGGGATAGTGAGAGAGGTTGGAGAAGAGAGTAAAAAGAGGCCCCTTACTCAATTTAAAATTAGTGAGATGTTCCTTTGGCTGGTTGGTCTAAGGACCCAAGGTCATAGGTGGATCTTTCTCATGGAGCAAAGAGCATGAAGGAGGACAGGGGATTGATTTCTTATGGGAGGTCCCCCAGTCTGAGTCATGGCACCAAATGTCACATGCATCTGTGTGAAGAGACCACCAAACAGGCTTTGTGTGAGCAATAAAGCTTTTAATCACCTGGGTGCAGGGGGGCTGAGTCCAAAAAGAGAGTCAGCAAAGGGAGTTAGTGGTAGGGCAGTTTTATAGGATTTGGGTAGGTAGTGGAAAATTACAGTCAAAGGGGTCTGTTGTCTTGCAGGCAGGGGTGGGGGTCACAAGGTGCTCAGTCGGGGAGCTTCTGAGCCAGGAAAAGGAATTTCACAAGCTAATGTCATAAATTAAGGCAGGAACTGGCCATTTTCAATTTTTTTGTGTGTTTCTTCAGTTGCTTAGGGTCATCTGGATGTATACGTGCAGGCTTGGGCTCAGAGGCCTGATAGTCTTGTCTTCTTATATTAACAAGAAAAATAAAATAAAATAAAATAGCAGTGAAGTGTTGGGGCAGCAAAAATTTGGGGAGCTGTTATTGAGAGATAATGGGCGATGTTTCTCAAGGCTGCTTCGAGCGGGATTGGGCCAGTCTGGGAACCTAGAGAGGGAGAGGTTAAGCTGAAGGAAGATTTTGTGATAAGGAGTGATATTGTAGGGTCGTTAGAAGGAGTATTTGCCATATAGAATGATTGGTGATGGCCTAGATATAGTTTTGTATGAATCAAGAAACTAAATGGAAGACACAAGGTCCAAATAAGAGAAGGACAAAAGCAGGTATTAAAGGACTAAAAATTGGGAGGAACCAGGACATCCAATTAGAGAGTGCTTGAGGGGGTTCAGCTTAATTTCTTGCTTGGTTGACAAATGTCATGCGTGTCCATGTGAAGAGACCACCAAACAGGCTTTGTGTGAGCAATAAAGCTTTTAACTACCTGGGTGTAAGTGGGCTGAGTCCAAAAAGAGAGTCAGCAAAGGGATTTAGGGGTGGGACCGTTTTATAGGATTTAGGTGGGTAGTGGAAAATTACAGTCAAAGGGGTTTTTTTCTTGCAGGCAGGGTTGGGGGTCACAAGGTGCTCAGTGGGGGAGCTTCTGAGCCAGGAGAAGGAATTCACAAGGTAATGTCAACAGTTAAGGCAAGAACTGGCTATTTTCACTTCCTTGTGATTCTTAAGTCCATCTGGATGTATACGTGCAGGCTTGAGCTCAGAGGCCTGACACTTCCAGCACAGAGTGTGTATTACAGGAAAACGACACTTTAGGGGAGTTCAGTTATGTTACTGAATATGCTTTGAACTTTCCTGAGCTAGCTCATTACCTGGGCTCTCTCTGTGATTTCACCTGATGATCCGGTCTATTCCTCCCAAGTCAGCTTGAAATCACCTTTGCAAACATTATAACTGAGGGAATTATGACAGTGAAAGAGATCAGAACTAACTGATTCTGTGTTGCTTTTACCCTTTAAGCTGTCCTTGTTTATTCCTGGGTTTGGGTAGAACTAACTTTTGGAAGGAATTCAGTTCACAGTTTTGCTGTAGAAAAACCAGGTTCTTGTCACATGACCAAAAAAGATTAGGTTGGCAGACACTTTGAAGGGTGAGTGGGAAGGGAATTTACTGGGTGAAAAGGAATAAACTCAGCAAGGGGTTCCTGTAAACAGGCTCCCATCTCAGAGATTGAATCCCAGGTTACCACCCAGGAACCAGTCCAGGCTTCTCCCAAGTGCAACAGTACAAACTTCCTGAGGCCCCACCATGTCCTCTCAGTGTGCAGGTGGGCATTATTCAGAAAGAATCAGTCAGCTGACAGATTAGATACAAGGTTAGAAGTTATGGTTTAGGGGTCATGCACCCTCTGACTCCAAGAGTCTGAACCTCCCCAAATTGCTCCTGAGGGTAACAACACTATTGTAAAACCTAAGATCAGTGCTTGACTTATTTTGCAGACCCTGCACTCGATGGATTGGCTGGCCCTGCCAAGACTGGTAATCTAGTTCAACCAGTTCTACCTTCCCACTCAGGAACAAAAGACAGCAAGAAAAGTTCATTTCAACCCTCTAGGATTCCGTCCCTAACCTGACCAATCAGCACTCCCCATTTCCCAAGCACCTACCTGCCAATTTATCTTTAAAAATTCTGATCTCTGAATCCTTGCAGAGACTGATTTGAGTAACAATAAAATTCCTTCTCCTGCACAGCCAGCTCTGCATGAATTATTATGTCTCCCTTGCAATTCCCCTGTGATTATAAATCAGGTCTGTCTAGACAACAGGTAAGGTGAAACCATTGGGTGACTATAAGCTTGCCCACAGCCATTGGAACCTGTACTAAGTACTGCCTACTCTGTTCTTATGACATGTCATCTCTTCGTACTTCCATTCAGGTCATGACTCCAAATGCCATGAAGGCATGCAGAGTACAGGGACATGTTCAAAATGTGTTGGCTCTATAATCCCATGGCAAGCTTCTTATGAATGGAAATCAAGGGATTGAAGAAACATCAAAAGAGGAACTGGGTCAAAAAACACAGATTTTAAAGAAAGTACTGTTCTGAAAATGTCAATCTGTATCAATTTTTATTTATTGACTCTCTCTCTGATATGTCTGTATGTGTGCATTATAGTATATTCTCAACAAAAAAGAATCAAACTCTGTAAAATATTTGAAGAGATTTATCCTGATCCAAATATAAGTGAGTAATGTCCCATGACACAGCCCTCAGAAGGTCCTGAGAACATGTGCCCAAGGTGGTCAGGGTATCACTTGGTTTTATACGTTTTAAGAAGACATGAGACTTCAATCAAATACATTTTTAAAAGACACTGGTTTGGTTCAGAAAGGTGGACAACTCAAAGTGGAGGCTTCCACCTTGTAGGAAAATAAACAACTTTTCTGGGTGACATTGGTTGAGTTTATCTAAAGACCTGGGATTAATAGACAGAAATGTCTGGGTTAAGATAAAAGATTGTGAAAACCCAAGTTCTTATTTGCAGAGGAAGCCTTTAGGTAGTAGGCTTCAGAGAAAATAGTTTGTACATTCTTCTTATCATACTTAAAAGTTGGTGTGGATGTTAATGCTACAGAGATATAATGAAGCTTGTCCAACCCTCACCCTCTTCCAACTTCCTATCATGGCCTGAACCAATCTTCCAGGTTAAAATCTAAGAGTGCCCTGGCTGAGGAGGAAATCCATTCAGATGGTTGGGGGAGGGCTTAGAATTTTATTTTTGGTTTACAGTACTTATATAATGATGAAGGATTAGCTTTTTAATTCTAGATCCAAAGCCATAGTGTTGCTGTTATAAGTATGTATACTGTACTTGTGCTTTGAGAAGCACCAAGGACTTTTTTTCTTAAGGTGAGTAATTCTGTGGGCTTTGCTAGTATAATGCATTAAGTTCTCCCTTAACTTTGTTAGTAGATTCTTGGAAACTGTGACTTTAGGTAAAATAACACACACCAAAACTAATTTTACCGTAGGCTACTTGATATAAACAAGAGGTAAGATCCTGTGAAATCCTTCTGGTTAGAAAAACATCAGCAAACTTGTAAATAAAGACCCACAACACTTTTGGTGTTAAAAATTGAATATATATATATATATAAAACATTAAAAGGAAGATAATGTTTTACACATTTATTGGTGAATTCATGAGCTCATGAGAATGAAATAGGGGGTCAGCACAAGCTACAGGACACAAAGACCTTGCTGATAAAACAGGTTGCTGTAAAGAAACAAGACAAAACTCACCAAAACCAAGATGGCAATGAAAATGACTTCTGATTGTCCTCAATGCTCATTATATGCTAATTAAAATGCATTAGCATTCTAAAATACCCTACTACCAGTGCTGTGAGAGTTTACAAATATCATGGAAACATCAAGAATTTACCCTATATGGTATAAAAGGGGAGGATCCCTCAGTTCCAGCAATTGCTCACCACTTTCCCAGAAAACTGATGAATAATCCACCCCTATTTAGCATAAGATCAAGAAATAACCCTAAGTATACTCAATTGAGCAGCCCATTCTGCTACTCTGACTACGAAGTAGTCATTCTTTTATTCCTTTACTTTCTTAATAAACTTGTTTTCACTTTTTGAAGTGGCCCTGAATTCTTTCTTGTGTGGTCTAAGAAAGAATGTTCTCTTTGGGGAATGTTGAATTGAATGACATTATTCAAGAACTTGATGTATGTTCCCATAGCTATCAATATCACCGTGTCCTCTTCTGACACCTGTTATTTTCCACTGTTTTATTTGAACTATCCTGTCTTTATCCCACAAGTTTTTTTCTCCTCTATGTCTGCAACCACAATCTGTTTTAAAGCGCAAGTCAGGTATTAACCCCTCATTGCTGTTTCAATTTGTGAGAGAAAAAAAGACATATGTTTTTATGCAACGGGATACTACTTGAATAAATTCATCAACAATACTCCAGAGTCACTAGAAAGTTACATTCAAGAGGTCCAAACAACATGAAGGTAATTAGTCAAAATTAAGAAGAAGGGTTATTCTGACATGCATAGAGATGACCCAGGTAAGTGGAGACCAAAAGAAGGACAATTGGCTTCAGATGTCTTTCCTACCAGAAATCAACTACAGAATTCTGATTCTTCACTTCTGAAAACTGGTGAAGCAAAATCTACCAGCCTGGTATATACTAGGACTAAGCTGAGGTATCCAGTGGGGGGTTGAATTTGTGTCCAGTTAGAAATAGATTATTATACTATTATTATTATAGAAACATAACTAGTATTATAAATTTTATAAATTAGATGTTTAGAGCACAGGGTCAGCAGATAAATAAAAAAATCAACTTCACCTCCAGGACATTGGATGGGGCAAAGATTTCCTGAGTTATACCCCATAAGCACAGGCAACTGAAGCAAAAATAGACAAACAGGATTACATCAAGTTAAAAAGCTTCTGCACAGCAAAAGAAACAATCAACGAAGTGAAGTGATGATGCACAGAATAGGAGAATATATTTGCAAATTATCCACCTGGCAAGAGATTAAAAGCCAGAATATATAAGGAGTTCAAACAATGCAATAGGAAATAACTCTAATAATCCGATTAAAAATAGGGAAAATATTTGAATGAGTGTCTTACAAGTGGCAAACATGCATATGAAAGGGTGTTCAACAACATTAATTATTAGAGAAATGCAAATCAAAACTACAATGTAATATCATGTCACTCCAGTTAAAATGGCTTCTACCCAAAATACAGGCAATAATAGATGCTGTTGAGGATGCAGAGAAAACAGAATCCTGTATGCTCTTGGTGGGGATGTAAATTAGTACAACCACTATGGAGGACAGTTTGGAGGTTCCTCAAAAAACTAAAAACAGAGCTAATACATGGCCCAGCAATCCCACAGCTGGGTATATACCCCCTGACAAAGGAAATTCATATATTGAAGAGATATCTGCACTCTCATGTTTACTCCAGCGCTACTCAATATAGCCAAGATTTGGAAGCAACCTAGGTATCTATTACCAGGTGTATGGATAAAGAAAATGTGGTACATATAAACAATGGAGTACTTACTATTCAGCTGTAAAAACCACTAAGAGTTTATTATTTGAAACAACATGGAGGAAACTGCAGATCATTATGTTAAGCAAAATAAGCCAGGCACAGAAGACAAATATCATATGTTTTTACTTATATGTGGTAGCTAAAAATTAAAACAATTGAACTCATTTAGACAGAGAGTAGAAGAACAATTACCAGAGGCTGAAAAGGTTACTTAGGAAGTGGGGGATGGGGAATGTTAATGGGTACAAAAACACAGTTAGAAAAAGTGAATAAGACCTAGTATTTCATAGCACCTCAGGGTGACTATAGTCAACCATACTTTATATATTTTTAAATAACCTTTGTACAAATAAAAATAACTAAAGGAGTATAATTAGCCTGTTTTTAACACAAAAAATAAAAAATAAATGCTTTAGGTGGTGGATACCCCATATACCCTCATGTGATTATTGTACATTATATGCCTGCATCAAAATATCTCATTTATTCCAGAAATATGTACACCTACCTACAAAAATTATAAATAAATTTAAAAAATAAAAACAGCCTTATCTTGGTCATACCATATTTATATGAGTGACAAAGAGAAACTGATAAAATAGTAAGAAAATAAATGTACTTTCAATATTTGTATCAGTGGTGAACTTATTCCTGTAATAATAACACTAAAGTTACATATGCTTTTTAACACTGCAAAACAAATAACTGCTGAGTTACAAAGTAAATATTTGACAACAATGTTAGTCTTCGACCAAAACAGCAAACAGCTTGTAAAAAATATTTCATTTCATAGTTATTGTGTACCAATTTAACTACTAAAAATGCCACTTGTTTATGCTTCCTGGCTGTTTTTCTTTTCTTTCTGTATATCAATCATGTGTTACACATCCTGTACATTTTCCATTCCATGCTTGATGTGTAAAAAAGAGTGGATTTTTATCTAAATCATGAAAGCATAAAACTTTGAGGTGTGTTTTAATGTTTTTGATATCCCATTTTTATATTTGCCTTTTACATGTGAGTAGATATCTGATCTGGCGATCATAGTCAAGTTTCGTTAGGAGCACATTGATAATAATAGAAGAAAAATTTATACTGGGATTTCTCTACATTTCAGGTCCTTGAAAATGATGCTTTCTAGTTGAGGTCATATTTGTTCATTTCTGTGTTTATCTCTTACCCACTAATACAATTTATTGGTCATTATCAATCTTATTTTAGTTTTGAACTTTAAATTTTTATCTATTTATACAGGCTAGGAATTACACTCTTCTTCACCCTTCTTAATTTACATGGTCTCATTATCCGTATAATGCATAGATTAAAAATGACAAGATCGATAAGCTAGAAAATTTCCATACAGAATGCAAATTATAACTAACTGTTCACTATGTATTTTCTTTATCTTCAATGGAATGGAATTTTCATATAAATAAAAATAAAATCAACGTATAAGCATATAATACTCCCGAGCATTCTCTTTATGAACCAGAGATGAAAATGACTCTGGTTAATTGGTGAAAGAAATGCAGATTATGAGAAAAAGCATAGGACTCAAAATCAAGAAAACACAGTCTGTATAGCTGCTCTGTATTAGAAAGAATCACCATTCGACCAACATTAATTGAGCATCTACTATGTGCAATGCACTGTGCTAAGATTTAGAATCTCTATGCCTTACCCCAAGCCTTTGCCTAGAACTTTCAGAAACACTTTTCTCCAACTTTTAGGTTGCCAACTTCCAGAAAATGAATATCTGTAAAACCACAAGCAGAAATTTGAAAATATTGTTAGATTTATTTCTGTATGCCTTTGCACCTCAGTCTCTTAGATAATTTCCAATCTTCAAATTTCCAACAATTTCAATGTTTAAATTCTCAGTGCTAATATGCAAACTTCAAACACTATTTCATTAGTCCTTCACTTATGAAAACAGCAATGCTGGAAGGAAGTTTCTTTTTGTTTTGCAGACTAGAAACTTCCAAGGTCTGCTCAAATATTGGGGACAGCAGGTGAGGCTGGTGATTTAGCCTCTAATTCACTAAATTTACTGTGTCCTACTTTTTTTTTTTTTTTTTTTTTCTGAGACAGGGTCTCACCATGCTGCCCAGGCTGGTTTCAAACTCCTGAGCTCAAGTGATGCCCCAGACTCAGCCTCCTGAGAAGGTGGTGTGTCCCACTTTTGAAAGCACCTTCTGCTTTTATTACATACTTTTATTATGTACTTCTTCTATTAATACATATATATGAGTGTGTGTGTGTGTGTGTGAGAGAGAGAGAGAGAATAAAGCAAAATGTAATTATGACTTTCCTTTCTAAACTAAGCAGTGATACCAGAAAGATTCACCAATAAAAGCAAAAAAGTAACTCTGTCTCATTATTTGCAACTATTTTTCTGCTACAGGAGCTGTGTACTATTTATTTTATATCCTCTATATGTAGCATTCCACTTGGCAATTCATGCATTTTTAAAGAAAAAAAAAGAATACTGAAACATAGCCACATTGTGGTTGGGTATTTGAAACAAAAATCACCAACTGGATTTTTATTTTGCAATACAATCTATTATGGAAACCTTTTGAAATATAAAATGCTTATATTTGAAAATAAATTCCTCTGTCAAACAAAGGCTTCAGTTTATACTCTGCGTTGAAGGTGGTTACAGATCTGAGTACTTCCTATTCAGCCAACTTTTAAATTAAGAAGGGAAATCTGAGTCCCCACAGAACTCTAAACATCATGTGGTTTCATTCCCTGCAACTTAGGGAATACCAAATAGAAACAGTTAGTCAATAAATTTTTTATTGTGGCTGGTTATTAATGAGAATTTTCAGCACCAATTTTAGAATTTTCATTTATTTTCTAGATTTTTGCATTAAAAATGCTGGTGGAACCCAGTGTTCAATGTCCTTTCTAACCACACATATGCATCCGTGTCAGTGAACTTTGAAGTGGCCTATGCATCCTTTATTGTGGCTGGTTACTAGTGAGCACTTTCTGCACCCAATTTTAGAATTCATGAGTATTTTCTAGTATTTGCATTTTAAAAATGTGGATAGAACACACTGTTCAATGTCCCTTCTACCTACACCTAGACATCCTGTGTCAGTGAACTTTGAGGTGCTCTATACATTCTTTATTTTGGCTGGTAATTAATGAGTACTTTCAGAATCCTATTTTAACATTTGTGTGTATTTTCCAGTTTTTGCATTTAGAAACATTCTGGTGGAACCCACTGGTCAATATTCCTTCTATGCACATATAGACAACCTGTGTCAGTGAACTTCAATGCTGCTGATTAGTTTTTTTTTCCAGCATAATATTTGACCTTTGTCATTGCTACTGTAACTCCATTTTTTTCATCTTCTTTGACTAACTGAAGAATAAAGTATTGTGAGAATTTTGAAGCTAACATTTCTATAAGACTACATTTATGTCGCTGTGCCCTTTAGGAAATGCTTTGAAGAAAATTGCAGCATGGGGTCATAGGATTCAAGGACTAAATGTGACAATCATGCCATCTTCAAACTTTAGGTAAACCCAGATCCATCTTTATGTATCACTTACGTTAAATCAAATTTAGCCTAAAGCTGCCTCCTTACATATTTTAAGTTCAGCCTAAAGTCTTCTCTTTATATCTTGAACTATAACACCTAAAGAAAGTTGTAAGCAGACTGTAGTCTACTCTTGTGCCAATCACTGAGTTTTGGCCAATCAAAGGTGGCCAACTGTTCAAATTGTGTTGAAATAACACAGACACTGAGCTGTAATCAATCCAGCTGTTTCTGTACCTCACTTCCATTCCCATACATCACTTTCTTTTTTTCTGTCCATAAATCTTCTAACACGTGGCTGTGCTAGAGTCTCTAAGCCCAGTCTGGCTCAGGAAGCAACCTGATTGGCAAATCATTCTTTGCTCAGCTAAACTCTGTTAAATTTAATTCAGCTAAAGTTTTTCTTTGAACACTTGATATATACTATATTTATTACTGAGTAAACATCCTATGTATTTCTTCAGAGAATATTCCCAATCATTTCTGTCTAATGGGAGCATACTAGCTAACTCTGTCTATTCCCTAATGATCTCATTTTTACAAAAACACTTTAATATTTCTCACAGCAAATATTGCATTAAACAGAAATTATATGAAGATTATGAACAAATTAGGACAATGAAGAGATATTCTCTTCATCAGCATGATACCCTTTAAAATTTATTGGCAAAACTGGCTGTAATAGTTGCAGAGCATGGTGAAAAACGAAAATGGAAAATGAAGATTATTCATGAATTATAAAGAATTTCAAGAAGGCCAAGCATGGTGACATATGCCTGTAATCTCAGTATTTTGAGAAGCCAAGACAGGTGGATCACTTGAGGTCTGGAGTTCAAGACCAGCCTGGCCAGCATGATGAAATCCCGTCTCTACTGAAAAAAAAAAAAAATACAAAAAAACAAAAATTAGCTGGGTGTGGTGGTGAATGCCTATAGTCTGCAGTGAGATGAGATCATGCCACTGCACTCCAGCCTGGTCAATAGACAGGCACTCTATCTAAAAAATAAAAAATAAAAAAATTCAAAAAGCAGTGAGCCTTAAACCAAGCACAGTGTCCTTCTAAGTGTGGGCTCCTGTGAGATCTCTGAAATCTGACCCTGTTTCAAACAATTTGAGATAGACTTCATAGCAGAGAAGGACACTTGACATAGACATAGTAATAAACAAATATGATAATAGAAATTGGTAAATTTGAATACATTGAGCCATTGGTTGGCATCAAGGAGGCTCCTCATTGATGTGGGGGACAACTAGCTTCATGAAATTCATATAGAGACAGATTCCACAGAGGCAAGAGATCCTTATGAGTCCCAGAACTTGAGTTAGTCCCACTGTTTCCCATGGTTTAAGATTATGCTTCATTGGTATTGAAACAGTAGAGTACCCTGAGCCCCCTCACATGACATGCAACAGGGATGTGGCTTGTCTGTTAGGCTGCTGTGTACAGGAAAACCCCTTTCAGAAGGAGGGGCACCCCGATGGGCAGGTGCAGGAGCTGGGGTAAGCACTTTTGGGCTTTGGCCCCACAATAGCATCCAGGGGTGAGTGCCTGTGACTCCAGAAGCTACATTTCTCTTTTAGCTCTGCTGTCTGCAGATGGCTTAAGTGTTAAGAAGCTCAGTGATCTCTTCGTACCTGGGTTCTTGTCTAGCGTCCAGGAAGAATCCAGGTCACATGGACAAATCGAATGATGGTAAATGTGGGGGACTTCATTGCCCAATGGAGGTGGCTCTCAGTGGGATGATGGGGAGCTAGAGAGGGCAAGAAGTGGAAAGATGATCTTCCCCTAGAGTTCAACCATCCTGCAGTTGTTTTCCTCTCTGACCATCCCCAGCCAAACTTCTTTCAATGTTCAGACACTCCTTCTCTTCTACACCATTCTTCTGCTCCTCTGCAATTCTGCTCATGGAGCCCGGGGTTTGGGGTGTATATGGGTTCAGGATAGGGGGGTACGGTGGGCAAAAAGGCAACATTTGGGAGAGAAAACAGGAATGCCTGTTCCCATTTAGTCCCACAAATTTCCAGGCTTGAGGGTGGGGCTTTTGCCAGTAAATCACTGTATAATACTGCCAGGAGGCCAGTATTTCTTTGCCTCCTGTCTGTATCAGTATCTAACCTGCTAGCTAATTGATCCAGAACAAAGCCTGATCTCCACATAGTCCCTAAAAGTATTTTGTCATCAATATTGATATTGAGCTATAGTTGCCAAACAGCCCAGTATTGGTATAAAAGTAGACACATAGGCCAATGGAACAGAATAAAGAATCAAGAAATAGTGCAAACTACAACCAACTGATCCTTTGACAAAGCACATAAAAAAACAAATTGCGAAAAGAACACCCTGTTTAATAAATGGTGCTGGGAAAACTGGATAGCCACGTGTGTAAGTATGAAACTGGGTCCCTATCTCCCACTGTATACAAAAAATAAACTCAAGATGGATCAAAGACTTAAATCTAAGACCTGAAACCGTAAAAAATCTTAGAATAATACCTAGGAAAACCCTTCTAGACATTGGCTTAGGCAAAGACTTCATGAAAAAGATCGACAGTGCAACAAAAACAAAGATAAATAGGTGGGACTTAAACTAAAGACACTTCAGACTTCAGTGTTATAAAGTTCATCCATGAACTGTAAATATACTTGTACCCCCAAAGCTATTAAAATAAAATAAAAAAAGTAAAAATTGTCCCTGAGTGTTGTACTAGTCCGTTCAGGCTGCTATAACAGAATGCCATAGACTGATTGACTCAAACAATGGGAATTTATTTCTCAAGGTTTACACAGCTGGAATGTCCATAATCAAGTAGTCCATTGATTTGGTTACTGGTGAGAAGTCTCTTCTTGACTTGCAGATGGCTGACTTTTTGCTGTACCCTCCAATGGCAAAGGGGGAGAAAGGAAGAGAGGGTGGGCAGGAAGAGACAGAGACAAAGACACACAGAGAGAAAAGAGAGACAGATACACACAGAGAGAGAGAGAGAGAGGGAGAAGAAAGAGAACCAGGGAGACAGAGGAGAGAGAGAGAAAGAGACAAAGAGAAGGGAGAAAGAGACAGAGAAGAGAAAGACCGAGAGAAAGGAGGAGGGGAAGAGAGAAGAGGGGAAAGAGAGAACAGAAAGAGAGAAGACAGAGAGAGTAGCGGAAAAAGAGGAGAGTTAAAAACAGAAGAGAGGAGAGAGACAGAGACAGAGAGGAGAGGGAATGGAGATGCAGAGAGTAGATGGAGAGAGAGATAGAGAGAGAGAGAAACACTCTTATGTTTTTTCCTCTTCTCATAAGGACACATCCCATTATGGGGGCCCCATCCTCATGACCTTATGCAAACTTAATCACCTTCCAAAGGCCCCACTTCCAAACAGCATCCTATCAGGGGTTAGGGTTTCAACATAGGAATTTGGGGTGGGGCCAGCACAAACATTCAGTCTGTAACACGAGTTCATGTGGGAATCACAGTACCTTCCAAAAGAGAGATGCGAGGTAATAAAGGTAATTGGATAAAATGAGATCATTAACAGATCAAAAGGTTCAGAAAAGAAAGGCCCAACTGCACCACACGTGCCACCCCGATTCAGGACCTACATTTAATCCCAGTGGATTAACACACAGAAGAATCTCTGATCTGCTTCGGTTCAGAAAAAAAAAAAAAACTCTTGAGTTTTTTTTTCTTATGTTTCTCTGAGTGGAGCATAGAATTGTAGACACTCAGGTTGAGGTGAATATGGAATGGTCACATCCTCCTGCTAAAAATCTCTTCTTGGTATCTCCCCTCCCTCCAGCACAAGCCAATGTTCCTGCCTCAGGCAATATTAGCACACAAGACAATGTGCACCTTCATTTAGGCAGCCAAATGCCCAAGGCAGGAACTTGTTGCTCTATAAGAAGCAAGAAAGAGGTTGGGGCCATAGAAGTGTGAATCAAAAGTATCTGAGACAGGCCTCAATCAATTTAGAAAGTTTATTTTGCCAAGGTTAATGACACTCCCAAGACACTGCCTCAGGAAGTCCTGACGATGTGTGCCCAGGGTGGTTGGGGCACAGCTTGGTTTCATACATTTAAGGGAGACATGAGATATCAATCAATATGTGTAAGATGTACATTGGTTCAGACCAGAAAGACTGGCCCACTCAAAGTGGGGAGGGAAGATGAGGGGGCTTCCAGGCCATGGGTAGATAAGAGACAAAAGGTTGTATTCTTTTGAGTCTTTGATCAGCCTTTCACTGACTATAAAATTTACATGTGGGAGTGACGTAGATGAATAGTCACTTATACCATAGTCTGGCTCAGATAATCTGCATTTCTGCATAAACAATTGAGCAGGAGAAGCAACCAGATATGTATTTTTCTCAATTAACCAGAGTGATGACTTTCTGTCCTGAAATTATGATGATAGGCTATCCATTTACATTGCCAGTGTGAAATTCAACAGAACTCTGTTTTTAGGGTAAACATCTTGAGGCCCACAAGGACTTTCCTTGCAGGCAAATTGTGAGGGAGATATGTAGCTTTTTATATCTTTGTGGCTATCTTATTTGGGAATAAAATGTGAGGCAGGTTTGTCTGATGCAGTTCCCAGATTGATTTTTCCTTTTGACTTACTGATATCACTATTTTATATTTATTTATTTATTTATTTTTATATTTTTATAATTTTTATTTTTTAAATTTATTTTTCTTTCACAGAAGCCTTTGTCAAAGATGCCGTTATTGGTGGAAGAAATGAATTTTAGAGGTGTCTCTTTGCTTTGGAAAATGGTAACAGGGAAACTAAGGTCAACCAAAGCCCTTTAGTAAAATTTGGCAACCTTCTAAGAATGAGGCCAGGTTGAGCTTGGAACCCTCATTCCAGGGAAACTAGTGGAGGACCAAGTTTAATGGCCATAATCACTTCAGTTCAGGAAAACCAGTTGGTTAGAGAGATGTTCTGCCATGATCACCTCTGTCCAGGGAAACCAGTCCATGTTACAGATGTTAGTCCCTGATCCCTTCGGTCCTGGAAAAGCAATCCATGATCAAGAAGGCAGGCTGTGCCTGCTTTGGTCCAGTGAACACAATTATGACGGACCTAGAATATTTATTTCTAGTTAAGAATAAGTGCACATAGTTACTTGAGTTATTCATTTTCAGATAGGTTTATGACTGCTTAGAAAAAAAATCCCATGTTTAAGAAAACATAGGATCAGTAGTATGTGAGTGGGCTTTCTGTTGTTGGGTCGCTATAATTTTCAACTTTTGCATTTGATCAGGGAGGTTTACTACAGGCCAAAAGTCATGTGAAGGCTGGTTTTGTGTTTTTCCATTGCATTAAGTGTGATCTTATTTTTCTTGCTATTTAGAAGAATTTATTCTCTGGGGTTTTAATTGAGGATCTACTGACATACCTGGTTCATTCTTGTCATGAAAATTGTTTGATAACCATAGTTTTTCATAGTATTTTAAATCAGAGACTTTGTATTTGGCTATATGAAACCTTTTTTTATTTTTAAAAGAAAGTTGATAATGCCATTCTTTTATTTTTACTGCAATCTCCTTTAAATGGACTACAAGTGCAGGTGCAATTTTTTTGTGAGTCTTTTTCCCCCCCCCCACCTTTTTTGTTTTTTTGAGATGGAATCTCATTCTGTCACCCCAGCTGGAGTACAGTAGCATGATCTTGGCTTACTGCAACCTCTGCCTGCTGGGTTCAAGAGATTCTCCTGTCTCAGCCTCCCAAGTAGCTGGAACTACAGGCATGCACTATCATGCCCAACTAATTTTTGTATTTTTAGTAGAGATGGGGTTTCGGCATGTTGACCAGAATGGTCTTGATCTCTTAAACCTCATGATCTGCCTGCCTTAGCCTCCCAAAGTCCCAGGATAGCAGGCATAATCCACCTCGCCTGGCCAATTTTTTGTTGTTGTTTTTAAGAGATGATGTCTCATTCTGTTGCCCGGGCTGGGGTGCAGTGGCATGATCATAGCTCACTGTCACCTCAGTCTCCTGGGTTAAAGTGAGTTTCCCACCTTCACCTCCGGAGTCACTGATATTACAGACTTGAGACACTGTGCCTGGCACACAGGTGTGATTCTTAAGGAATCCTCATACACTTGCTCAAGACATGTTATCAGGATCTAGACGTTGTCTGATAATTGTATTCTCCTGGAATCATGGTCACAGTTGCACAGGCATTCACAGGTGCTTTCTTCTCTGATCATAATCAAAGAGTCAGGACATAATAGAGGATCCAATTTAGAAAGGCTCAGCTTTAAACAGTAATGGAAAAATTTATGGGTGACAGGAAAAACACAAAAGGGTCAACTTGCTACTGGAATACTTGCTTCAAGTTGAGTAAGTTTAAAGGAAAGAAAAAATGAAAAAAAAACCTGAATAATTTCTGTTGCAAAAATTGGAAGCATTTATTTGAAGACAGATGTTAGAAATTTTAAATTCCAAGATATCCATTTCTTATTCAGTTTAGATATGAACCTCTCTCTAAACGCAGCCCAAAATGAAAGACCAAAAACAACAATGGCAACTACACCAGTAATAACTTCTACTGAGCTCTGAGCCACCTACCCCAGAACCCATCTC
The DNA here is from genome assembly GCF_000001405.40 of Homo sapiens. NCBI lineage: Eukaryota > Metazoa > Chordata > Mammalia > Primates > Hominidae > Homo > Homo sapiens. The sequence goes on from NC_000024.10 coordinate 17,157,313, forward strand.
TTACATAAATAGGAAGATATTTTTGCATATAATTTTCCTCAATTAAAAATAATATTTCCTGGAGATTTCCAAAGAAATATTTGGCAGCATAAACTAAACAGTGATTAGGAATCCTCTGGTGATCTATGAAAATGTCTTTGAGGACTATGTGGCCATGGATTAACCCGCAGGAATAGCTTGCTTGCATGTCAGAATGTAAATTCTAACTTTCCACCCAGTAACAAGCGTATTCCCTTCCAACACGAGCATGCTGCACGGTTTTCCTACTAGTAAGTACCATCTTTATTTAAAGAAATACCTGCTCATTATCAGAAACCACCAATTTCTCTCAGTTGTCTTGTTTACCTGCTGAACAACCCCAGAAGACATGCCTAAACCATGTGCTTGGCACTGAATAAATACTCGTTGGGTCAATAGGTGAATTTATCTATGAGACAACTAATTCAAAAAATGTACATTTTTCCTGTTGACTAAGTCTTCATTAAATCACCAAGATATTTTCTTATTACCTATGTTCATTTTAGCTAAAAAATTTCAAGTTATGTTTTTTACCTAAATAGGCTTTCCTGCAGGACAGTGGTTCTGAACATGTGATTGGTATGTAAAGCCCAGAGTGTCATGGAGACCCGCTCAGGGAAACTGGCAGGTCAGAAGTATTTTCATAATAATATGAAGACATTATTTTCCTTTCTCACTGGATTGACATTTACCTGATGCTGCAAAAGCTAGTGACTTAGCATGGATGAAAGCAGTGGCACTAAGCCTTATTGGGTGTCATTTCATTCTTTTATTTCTGGCACTGACAGTAAAACAAATAAACAAACAAAAAAGAAAACAAAATTTACCTAAGGACATCCTTTGTGAAATCAGTGCATTCAATTATTACATACGTATTGACACACCACTGAGTACTCATCTTTTTACAATGGAACATGGATTTTACCAGAATATGAGAATGATAACCTAAGTTACTTCTGATTTTCAGTCTTGGGTAGATATTTTCTCTAAAATTAAGTGAGTTCCTCACTTCAAGAAAAACAACTAACAGCATTTGTTGGCAGTGATGCATTTGGACTTGCAAGAGAACCATAGTATTTTGGGAAAATTGCATTCAATACTATAAGCTAGACAATTTTCCAATACATAAAGGCTATTTCTGACTACATCAATGGTGCCTAGCACATGTGATTTTTTTTATATTGCATAATAAAAATTTGTCAGCAGAGCGCAGTTGCTTATGCCTGTAATCCCAGCACTTTGGGAGGCCGAGGCGGGCAGATTATGAGGTCAGGAGATCAAGACCATCCTGGCTAACATGGTGAAACCCTGTCTCTACTAAAAATACAAAAAAAAAAAAAAAAAAAAATTTGCTGGGCAGTAGGGCGGGTGCCTGTAGTCCCAGAACTCGGGAGGCTGAGGCAGCAGAATAGCGTGAACCTGAGAGGTGGAGCTTGCAGTAAGCCGAGATCGCGCCACTGCGTTCCAGCCTGGGTGACAGAGCAAGACTCCGTCTCAAACAAAAAAAAAAAATTAATAAAAAAAAGTTGTCAAAATCTGCAAGATTGGCAAAACATAGGAAAGGAATATTTTCCAGGTGACTATTGTATGATGTTACATAATCATGCGTGGTTAAAACAGCCCCTTGAAAATGCAATAGGTAATTAATATAGTTATTTATATTACTGTAACAGAATAAGAAAAGTTCATTGATAATGATATCAGAGTCCATATGGCAATCTAAAATTTCTTTAAGAAACTACCATTTGTTGCGTTTTGGTATAGTATCAAACCCCGACTACCTGCAAAGACTATTAAAATATTTCTCCATTTTGTCTGAGCGCGGTGGCTCCCGCCTGTAATCCCAGCACTTCGGGAGGCTGAGGAGGGAGGATGACGAGGTCAGAAGATCGAGACCACGGTGAAACCCTGTCTCTACTAAAAATACAAAATATTAGCCGGGCGCGGTGGTGGGCGCCTCTAGTCCCAGCTACTCGGGAGGCTGAGGCAGGAGAATGGCATGAAGCCGGGAGGCGGAGCTTGCAGTGAGCCGAGATCGTGCCACTGCACTCCAGCCTGGACGACGGAGCTAGACTCCGTCTCAAAATTAATAATAATAATAAAATAAAAAATAAAAATAAAATTTATCCATTTTATAATTATCATCTGTGAAAGGCCAGATTTTCTACATATATCAGACAAAACAATATATTGCAAGCCAGGAGCAGTGGTTCATGCCTGTAAGCCCAGCACTTTGGGAAGCCAAGGTATGTGGATAGCTTAAGCTGTGGAGTTTGAGACCAGTCTGGTTGAAACCCCATCTCTAAAAAACAAACTAAAATAAAACAAATCCATCTCTTAAAAAAAAAAAAAAGACAAAAATTAGCTGGTCGTGATGGCATGCACCTATAGTTCTAGCTACTTGGAAGGCTAAGGTATGAGGATTACTTGAGCCTGGGAGGATCACTTGAGCACGGAAGGCAGAGGCTGCCATGAGCAATGATGGCTCCATTGCACTCCAGCCTGGATGACAGAATAACACCCTTTCTCAAAGCAAACAAACAAACAACAACAACAACAACAACAAAAATCATTTCAACAGACTGAACACAGAAGATAAGGGAGTTCATCTGTCCTTTATTAAACCAGACATTTAAAAAATTTGCAAACAGGCCGTGCACACTGGCTCATGCCTGCAATCCCAGCAATTTGAGAGGCCAAGGCGGGAGGATCAGCTGAGGTCA